>NC_000008.11:27435860-27738890 GCF_000001405.40 Homo sapiens | reverse complement strand
GAGATGTGTTTAATCCTTTCTGGAAGCTAATTTTAGATTTCTTGAAACTATTGGAACAGTTTAACACTAAACAGTAGTCTTCAACATACCACAACTCAGATGCCATTGTTGTGGTTATTTTGCTTATTGAAGTTTTCTGTGTTTTAGAGGCACTTTCCACCAGAAATCTAGCCCCCATATTATTTCATGACCTTAGTCATTTTATTCTCATCATTTTGGATTTTTAAAGCTTGTATATAATTCTAGAGTTGAGAAATAAACAAATACACACACACACACACACACACACCTACCTACCGACCTACATACATACATATACAAACACCATCTGATCAGTGACAGATGTTAAAAGTCCCGAGACTAGGAAATTGAATTTGTAGCCCAAAAGATTGCTAATCTTTCTACCCTAACTCTCCCTCTGTTGCTTGCAACCCCTGTTCCTGAGCTCCAAGTATGAATCAAGTTCAAGATTCCAAGGAAGTTTTGCACTGGGTGTTTTTATTCTCTCTTTCAGTGAAAATGTTTTCCTAGTTTTTCTCCATACTTTAAAAGAATAGACTAATTCTCCTTGTAACCGTCTTCTGTTAAGGGATACAGATGTTTGTGTTTTGTTTTGTTTTGTTTTGTTTCCATAAGTTATTGGGGTACAGATGGTATTTGGCTACATGAGTAAGTTCTTTAGAGGTAATTTGTGAGATTTTGGTGCATCCGTCACCCAAGCAGTAAACACTGCACCATATTTGTAGTCTTTTATCCCTCACCCCCCTCCCACTCTTCCCCCTAAGTCCCCAAAGTCCATCGTATCATTCTTACGCCTTTGCATCCTCATAGCTTAGCTCCCACATATCAGTGATAACATACAATGTTTGGTTTTCCATTCCTGAGTTACTTCACTTAGAATAATAGTCTCCAGTCTCATCCAGGTCACTGCAAATGCTGTTAATATATTCCTTTTTATAGCTGCATAGTATTCCTTTGTGTGTGTGTGTGTGTGTGTGTGTGTGTGAGTGTGTGTATACACACACCACAGTTTCTTTATCCACTCGTTGATTGATGGGCATTTGGGTTTGTTCCACAATTTTGCAATTGTGAATTGTGCCACTGTAAACATGTGTGTGCAAGTATCTTTTTTGAATAATGACTTCTTTTCCTCTGGGTAGATACCCAGTAGTGGGATTGCTGGATCAAATGGTAGTTCTACTTCAGTTCTTTAAGAAATCTCCTTGCTGTTTTCCATAGTGGCTGTACTAGTTTACATTCCCACCAGCAGTGAAGAAGTGTAAGTGATACAGATGTTTTATGATCCAATTTAGAACGTGATCAGTTGATTTTTAAGTTAAAGGCAAGTGTTTATGTAATATAGGACTTAAGTTTTAATTTAGCATATACAGGTTCATCAAGAAGAATAATTACTGTAATTCCAAAACATAGCCCCAGACAAGTGGGGACTCTGCACATCTAACTCACAGCCTTTATAGGGAATGGCTTACTTTCGTTGATGACAACCCAGACTGTCTTACTGAGTTGTTCATCCTCAGTGTTTGGGATCTAAAGCTGGCATTTGAAGATACTAAATGACTCTTTCAAACATTGCTACTGCTTTTATTTCAGATTAAGACTCTGGGGCAATCATAGTCTTTGCGCCTGGATATAACACAATCATTAGTCTGTTCTTTGTACAATTATCGAAGGCATTTTTACCTTGGCTTCAGTTCATCGTGCTAATGGAAGAGAACCACAGAGAAAACCACTAAGTGAAGTTGGAGCTAAAACCAGACTTCACAGGAACCAATGTTTTCTACCCATATCGTATTTCTCTACCATCTTTAATAAGGGCCATTTAGATAAGCCTTAGTCTGATCCCTTTCTCTAACAATGCTGGTGTTAAGCAATGGGAAAGAGAAAAAAGATAAAACAACTGTAGTGTTCAGATTGTGACATTGGCAAGCAAATCAGAATGCACACTCTTAGTGAATGTTGTCCAAAAAGGAGTCAGGGCTCTACCTTTGTGTGTGGCCTTCAGGACTTGCTTGTAAGCCACACAATAAAATCAGTCCCTTTGTGCTGTATACCATTATGCAGGTTTTTTAAATTAAAAAATGTGGCAAACCAACTAAGTTGGTAAACTAGCCTATGTTTGACTTCCTGATGGCCTTTCCTATTAAAAAAGAAGAAGAGATCAAAGCCATGTTGTGAAGTCACAAATCTGTGACAATGTTGAGGCTCAAATTACTGGAACTTAGGCCAGAATCAGTTTGCATATTGGCAGAATTGTTGGCATGAGGACATTGAGGCAGTGTTTGCTTGGTACATTTGTTGAAGGATCTGTCATGTTTTCTTACAGTCACATTTGTTTTGCACTATACTAGGTCAGGTGGGACTTACTGCATTATTTAGAGATCAGTGGTCACTTACTGCTGTGTAATCAGGCCATGTAATGACACCTCACAAAATATAGCTGTTAATTCAGCTATGTCAGGAAACTGACAACTTAAGGCGGAGAAGTGATGAGTCAATTTAGTTATTTTACTTTCTGAACTCAGTGACTGAGATGAGAAGGCAGCTCGCTAATTAAGATAATTGTAAATTTTAAATATTGAATTATTTTCAAGGCTTTTATGTTCTCATTTTTGTGTTTCCTACAGGATGGCAATGATTCAGATGAATTCATGTAAAAGGAGAAAAGGAGAAAAGGACCTTTGAAAGATGTGAATGTAGAGACAATTGCAGACCTTTTGGTTTCATCTGTGTTCTGAAATATAAAATACAACCAAAATTCTACCTTCATCCTACCCAGAAATTATTGATTTTCAAGTTTTAAAAAAATTGTACCTTTTTTGCTGACAGAAAAGGATCAGATATGTATAAAATAGTTGAACTTGACAGCATATAACTTAAAGTGAAAATGTTTTTGCCAGAACATGTCTTGGTACCTTGTGAAAGCAGGCTGCCCTTGTTCTTGAGATAGACTTTAAAATGAACCAGCTCTGAAAAGTACTTCTGCTGCTCTGGTCTATCCCTGAAAACAGATGTCTTGAAACACTTTTCATATTCTTAAAATAATCTTCACTTCTGTTAAGAAGAACATGTTGGTGGGTAATTATGCGAATGTTTCCCTGTCCCTGATTTCTCGATTAGGCGTATGGGTTTTGAAAAAGAGATTTTTCAGAAGATTGTCAGCTTCAGTATTCATGTTCCATCGTGTCATCTGGGTCTGTTAGTGTAGTGACCCTCAGTGCAGTCTGTCCCAGCGTTTACGTCCTTGCTTCCTCTGAGCAGAGGCCTCCATCTTAGTATCAACATATTTAAAGAAATTGATGGTGTTCATCAAGCTGGGGCCTGTGGCAGTTGTTGCCTGAGCACCAAGTAACCCAAGCCACCTATGTGACAACTTCTGGGCCCAGGAGTAATTTCTCAGCATTGAGGGTAAAATAGGATGGAGTGCTCTGTTGATCATTTGGGAGATGTAGGTTACCTGATTTGTGCCTTAGGATGCAGCGTGAAGCAGAAGTCCATATTGCAATTATGATTTTAGAAGGAACTAAGCATTTTACTCACACCCACAGCAGCAAGAATGACCTCCTGCAGCAGATATTCCACCTGTAATAGCACTTTGGAACTGTGGGCAAAACCAAAAGGCTAGTGTTTCCATTTATTCCATGTTGGTGTATGGGGTTGAACTGGAAAATTCCCTGAGGCAAAACTCACTGGCCAAATTTTGAGAGGGTATAGAAAATGACTTTAGAGATGAGTGGTTTTGTGTATGTGTCTGATGATATTCAGTCTGATGTTCCGCAATTTTAAAAGTTATAATAAAATACCATTTTTTTAATCTGGAAGGACATTGATATATGAATTCTTAGAATTTGCTATTAAAAAGGGTAGCCCCCATTCCACAAGCTGGTTTTGAGGGTGATCTTGCTCTAAAAAACCTCATTCATCATAGGCTCAGTCTGACAGGTTCTGTACGGGGCTATCATCTTTCTCCTCCTCTGCTAAATGCCTCTTTCTTCCAGCTGCTCACTGGGTCAAAGGGATGTCCTTTCTCAGATGTATTCTTGATACATCTCAGATGTATTCGTAGCTGTGCTCCTTCCATACTTCCAAGGAGTCCGGCTTCTACAGAATTCCTCTGTACCTCACACTGCAACACATGTAGATAGCGCTTTTGAAAAATACATATATTTTTACTATAGTATGAGAGGTCCTGGGGCTCAAACTTTAAACATTTCCTAACTCAGCTTACACTGGTTTAAAATGTCCAGGTCTCTGCTGAATTCTCTTGTTGAATTCATAGCTCTGTGTTGATTCCTATGCCCCTAACCCTGCAGCCTCTTTGTTTTATTTTTTTCCCCATCTCTGTTGGTCCCAGGGAAAGCAAGGAAATTTTCTTTTGAGGACTTATAGGTTGATTGCCCACAGGTCAAACTGTTGGCATTGAACTCCTCTCATTTCTTGCCATTGGATTGTTTCCTAAACGTTGGATAGGAGAATTCGAAATTGTTGCTATTTTTATGAGCTGTGCCCTTGATCAAATCTGTGCTGTGGGTCTGAGTCACTTTGCCAATGTCGTCTTCAGTTTCAACACTCTGATCAGCATGCAGGCGAGGGGCATGTTTAATTTACTTCACTAACTGCTATATTCTATAGCTTTAGACTTCATATTTCTTATCCACCTTTGTCTAGGCTCACGATCTTTGGGCAAGGGAGCTTTGTCACCGTGGTTGGGCTAGAACAAATATTGAGAAGTTTACCAACACAGATGTTGAGAAGTTTATTGAAAGGCACTGACATTAGCAGAATAAGTGATGGACATTAGTTGAACCCCTTCAGTGTCTATGTGTTTTATTGTATTGTCTTTAACTCGTTCTTGAAGCACAGATTTCAGCGAGCCTTTCAGCTATTCAGTGCCAGCGGTTTTCCCCACTCAGGAAAGATGGTGTGAGCCATACACACAGCAGGATTAGACGGGGAGAGTTTCAGCTGCAGCTTCTAGTTTAAGACCAAAGCCCTTCCTCCCGCTGCTGCATCTGTCTGAGAGGGGAAGCTCTTGTTTTCCAAGCTGGAACCGTTTATGAGGAAAACTGAGCAGGGTGGCAAAATGGAAAAGGAACAATTTTCTAGTTTTTCCTACGCGTGATATTGACGCGTGCTTTTTCTTTGATTTGAGGTACAGCATGTAAATAACAAATTTCCATATTCAAAATGATCATATTAGAGTGACTGAGTGACCTTTTGATTTTGAAGCAGACTAAAATCTGACCAGACCACAATGAAAAGTATAAAATTAGAAACTTAAATTCCAAGCTAAATTTCAGCTTTGACCCACCTAACTCCAGTGAATAGGTGGCAGCTCAGAAACAAGGACAGCACTGCTGCTGCCAGAGCAAGCTCACATCCAGCTGGCACTTCGTGAGAGCTCCTTCCTGCCGGGCACGTGTGAGTTCAGCGTGGGCAAGAGACTTTTATGCACATTCTGTCATTCAAAAGGGAAATGATGCCAACCCCAGATGCAGCATGTCCTGAATGAATGATCTGTAAAATACAATAATAAAAGCTTATAGTTTGAGTAGAACTGTGTGTGTGAGAGAGATTTCACTTCTTATTTTCTCCTGCAAGTTCCAGTCTCACTGATGGGATGTGCCTGCTTGTTTTAGGCAAGTGGGGAGACGGAGGTACTTGGCTCCCCATGTGATGATGCCTGCCCTTCACACAGTCACAGCAGGAGGAGAGGAGCAAATCCTAGTAAAGGGAAGGTCGCCCAAGAATTCCAGGAGGAGGATTGAAGAACCCAGAGCTGAAAGGCCACAATATTTGAACACTAGTACTTGGAGTTTACAGCTTGACCCTCTGCTCTCCCAAAATTCCTGGGGGTCTGCCTGAAATTTTGGCCAAGGCAAGCCTGCAAATGTGAAGACTTCCTGGGCGGTTTCATGGATGACTGTAGGGCTATGGGTTGTGTTCTGTTGATAGATTTTCACCTCTTTTATGATAGAGTTTACACTATTGTGAGAATGCTTGCAGGGAGGTTTTAGGCTCAGAGGAGCCACACAAACATACAAGTTTTTCTCCCAGCTGTAAAAGCATATTTGAATTCTTAAATGTTTACCAGAGCACATTTGGTTTGCATTTCTAGTCAGGGCAATACCTGCATCCATTGGTTTTAACTCCCTTAGCTGCTAGTGTTCTGGGGTTTAAATGTTTAAGTAAATTAGTCTATATAGGGAATGTAGTTTGAATCCAGAATTTTTATACAGAAAAATTTAGAGATGTGTGTATATACTAGGTGACTTAGCAGTGCAGTGAAAATACAAATACCTACCCAATGCCATCTTTTAACCTGGGTTTATCATTAGATTATACATACCTCTTTTTCTGTCTTAAATTGATTGCTTAGTTTTGTCTTTCTGATTTCATTATTGTGTCAATTTTTGGAGGGGCTGTGAGCTTTCTACCTTAGCGGTATGACTGTAGGTCTACACCATAGCCAGATGAAACAAGAAACTGGTCTCTGCCCTTGGCATGTGCTGAGTGGCACCGACCTGGCAAGGAATGGCGGCCAGAGGAAATCATTGCTCACTCTAGAAATCCATGTAGCTTTTCTAGTTCTCAAGCCTGGTGAGTGGGTGTCAATATTTAACGCTGAAAAAAAAACACAAGGAATTCTCCAAAGTCAGTGTTGTGTTTTGTTCCAACATCAATCCCATCTTGTAACCACTGCAGTGAAAATATAAGACAAATGGCCTGACATTTCACATCCTGCCTGGATGAGGCCTTAGCTGCCTGGGCTCCTGCTGGTGTTTTGGTTTCTGCATCAGCAGTTTGCTATCCATAGACAAGGCTAACATTTGCTTATGATTTCAGAAGAGAACCGGGATCTTTCAGGTGGTAAAGGCTGATCTGTCAGACTTGAAGCTTTTTGACCCTTGGTGAAGACACAATGCAGGGTCAGCAGATGAAAACCACAGACTGAAAAAGAGAAAATATTCGGGGTACCGTGCAGTGCCCTGGAACCAGCCTAGCCTTGCCAGAATCGTCTTCCACTGTGAAGCCCTGGTCTTCATGTAATGTCCCTTCCAAACTCTGAAGTTCATATTTTATTTTATGTACTCTGCATCAGTGAGGCTTACATAACATTTCAAAACTGGAATTGCTTTTAGGAGAGTCTTTGGAATCAGCTGGAAGGTCTGAAATAGACAAAGCTTAAATCTGGTTACCAAACAGCATTTTTTTTTTTTTTTTTTTTTTTGAGACAGAGTCTCGCTCTGTTGCCCAGGCTGGAGTGCAATGGCAAGATCTTGGCTCACTGCAACCTCCGTCTCCGAGGCAATTATCCTGCCTCAGCCTCTCAAGTAGCTGGGAATACAGGCGCGCACCATCACTCCTGGCTAATTTTTTTATTTTTAGTAGAGACGGGGTTTTGCCATGTTGGCCAGGCTGGTCTCGAACTCCTGACCTCAGGTGATCCACCTGCCTACATCAACAGCTGAGGCAGAAGAGTGCAGTGGCTCAATCCTATAATCCCAACACTGGGAGGCCGAGGCGGGAGGATTACTTGAACGCAGGAGTTCAAGACCAGCTTGGGCAAGATACTGAGACCCTCTCTCTACAAAATAATAATAATAATATAAAAATTAGCTAGGCATTCCTATAGTCCTAGCTACTCAGGAGGCCAAGGCAGGAGGATTGCTTGAGCCCAGGAGTTTGATTCTGCAGTGAGCTGTGATAGCACCACTGCACTCCAGCCTGGGGGACAGGGAGACCCTGTCTCTATTTAAAAAAAAAAAAAGAAAAAAAAGATAAAAGCGGGTAAACAAAACACACAAATCTCCCCTCATTTTAGCTGCTGCCTCCTCCCTGCAGGCCCTCTGTTAACGCCCCCAAAGCCCAGGAGGTCCTGGAGGAGTGGCCCCCCAGGATCTCCTGGGCTTTGGGATCAGGAAGAATTTTTCTTTTCCACAAAATAATTAATTTTTTAAAAATTTACAGGCATAGGTACTCATGGTGCAGAATCAAAAGGTATAAACGGGAATAGGGTGAAAGTGTTTCCAGTTCCCCTGCTTGGGGCCAATCAGCGTTACCTTTTTAAAAATCAAAGGCAGCCAGGGGCAGTGGACTCATGCCTGTAATCCCAGCACTTTGGGAGGCCAAGAGGGACAGATTGCTTAAGTCCAGGAATTCAAGACCAGCCTGGGCAACGTGGCAAAACCCCATCTCTACAAAAAATACAACAATAAAAAAAGTCCAGGTTGTTGGCAGTCGCCTTATAGTCCCACCTACGCAGGAGGCTGAGGTGGGAGGATTGCTTGAGCCTGGGAGGTCAAGGCTGCAGTGAGCCGTTATCTCACCACTGCACTCCAGCCTGAGCCTGAGTGAGACCCGATTAAAAAAAAAAAAAAAAATCAAAGGCAGAAGCTCTTGTTCTGGACTCAGCTGAGCTTGGGGATTCTGCCTGCTTCTAGGCCTGGCGGAAGCAGTGGCTCAGCTACAGGGAAGGGGGAGGGGCTTCTCTCTGCCTTTGCATCCTGGGGCTTGTAATCCAAGAGAAAATACCGCATTCCCACACCATGGGGCTGAGGGGAAGATAATGAGTTGAGAAATGAAGACCAACAAGAAGATTAGGAGCCACTTGGTGTCCCTACCCTTGAGCGGGCCTCTATTTGGACACAGAGTTACAGGATGAATGGTTTCTTAATAAGCTCCTCTGATCCAATTAAAATCTGAGCTCCATGTAGAATGACCCAAAGAAGAAAGCTGTTTGCTTTCATCCCTGTGCTTGAGGGTGGGGCAGAAGTGGGAGTGTCTGCAGGTGCGAGGGGGTGGGAACAGGACTGGCCCCAGGCACCTCCAGTGCCCCTTTGATCCTCTCCCCACGCCCAGCCTGCCAGAGCTTCCCAGGGCCCTGGCACCTCTTCTTACCCCATCAGAATGGATGGGAGAAGAGCTCTTGTGTGGGTGAGGATATTTAATGCACTGTCTACTGAAGGAAAGGGAGCACACACCATTTCCACTCCTAGACTCTACCTTCCGCGGTGTGCATTTAGGATACAGCTCTGCTCCTTTTATTGTTTATATTTTTAATTTTTTAATTTTTTTAAATTGGAGATGGAGTCTTGCTCTGTCATGGGCTGGAGAGCAGTGGCATGATCTCAGCTCACTGTAACTTTCGCCTCCCGGGTTCACGCGATTCTCCTGCCTCAGGCTCCCGAGTAGTTGGGACTACAGGCGCCCACCAACACGTCTGGCTAATTTTTGTGTTTTTAGTAGAGACGGGGTTTCACCATGTTGGCCAGGCTGGTCTCGAACTCCTGAGCTCAGGCAATCCGCCCGCCTCGGCCTCCCAAAGTGCTGGGATTACAGGGGTGAGCCACTGTGCCTGGCCTCTGCTCCTTTTCTATGTGACTTTAGATGCATGACTTGTCCTCCCTGGGCCTCCATTTGCCCACTGGGAGATGAGGAATAGAGCTAGAGCAGGACTGTACATTCTGGTGCTGCAGGGGCAGGTAACACCTGTGGGAGGGTGAGGAAAGTGGCTCACATCCTGTGAGCTGTGGGGGCTGGGATGAGCCAGAGAGCACATAGCTCTTCCTTTAGGGCAGCTGCTTCAGTTGTGGGGAAATGGAGTTTTATAAGGGAAGTCAATGAGTAAAGTGCATTGAAAGAGCTGAACTTGGTAGGACCGAAAAAAGGAAGTTGCTTGTTTCTCCCACTTTCTTCAACAATGCTCTGAATTCTCTTCCCCGCCCTTAGATGCCATCTTGGATGAACAGATCAGATTCCATGATTTCCTGATCACTTTCCAATACAGGAATTGTTATATATATTTGAGACAGGGTCTTGCTCTGTTGCCTAGGCTGGAGTGCAACGGTGCAATCACAGCTCACTGCAGCCTCAACCTTCTAGACTCAAAATCCTCCTGCTTCAAGCTCTCAAATACCTGGGACTAAAGGCACATGCCACCATGCCTTTACTAACCACCTTTACTAACCACTTAACTAAACAGCACACCCAGCTAAGTTTTTAATTTTGTGTACAGTGGGGCCCCCTCCATGTTGCCCCAGCTGGCCTCGAACTCCCGGGCTCAAGTAATTCTCCCACCTCGGCCTCCCAAAGTGTTGGGATTACAGGCATGAGCCATCCCGCCCAGCCAAGAACTGTTCTGTTTTACAATGACAATTTCCCTTTACATATGAAAAGTTCTTCTCATTTAAATCAGAACTTCAATCTCACATATAATTCAGAACTTCAGCTCACCTCCTGGTTCACATCTGATACTTCACCCTGCCTCTTCCAGAATGCCCCATGGTCCTCCTCTTCCCCAGCGACGGCCCCTCCAGAATGGGAGTGGAGGCTGGAGAAGGTGGGTTTAGGGAGGATTAGCCGCTGGATCCTCTAGGACAGGGGCAGAGGGCAGGAGTCAGAGAAAAAGAGGAGAGTCTTTCATGGCGGGCACTCTTACAACCTGGCTGTTGGCAGCCCCACTGCAGCAGAGGCCCCAGGGCTGGTTCTTTTCCACCCATTTGTGGGTTCTTCAGGCTCGCTGTAAGGATTGTCAGTGCCATAGTTGTCTGATCCTGGAATGCGCTTCCCAACTGGGTCTTTACAATCTCACACCCTTTCCCAGTCACAAAGGGCACACCTGCAGCCACCTCTGAGACTTGAGCCCACTTTGCCAGCAGCCCTCGTCGGTGAAGTCTCAACAATTTAGCTCTCACCTGGAACCCAGCTTTCTGCTATTGCTTCCCTGTGATCGAGGGAAACCACTTGCTAAATGAGGCAAGTCCAGTTTGGCCAGCTGCTACCACTGTCTCCCCAACTTGCTGTTGTGGGTAGCTCTAGCTTGTGTCCTGCCTTAAGAATTATCCAGGTGAGAAGCAGGATCTGTCCACCCCCGGCCCATCGCCAAGTTCCAGAAGGCTCCTCATTCAGCTTGGTGTAGTAGGATTGGAAGAGTGGAGCTCTCCCTTCCTGGGCCCGTGGATTCCCTTCAGTGCAGTCCTTTAAATTGTCACATCTTGTAGAGCTGTTGGGGTGATTGGTTTGGCTCTCTTTCTGTATATCATGCATTGTGTGTCTTACAACCAGAATCCCTTCTTGCTCTCTGCTTTGAGACTTCATGAATACCCGGTAACATAACATTACAAATCTAGATTTTTTAGGTAAAGTTTCCAAATTTTTATATATTGGCTCAAAATTATTTAATATTGTATAGGCCAAACAAGGTTTGTCTGTGGGCTGTCCATTGTCCAGGAGCTATCAGTTTTTAAGGGCTCTGGAGAGCTCTGGCTCGGAGCCCAGTTTAGAAAGAGCTCTGGGTCTTCTCCAGTCCTCATCATCTGTGAATTTCTGATTTTCCTGGATTTAGTATGAGCCACTGGAAGGAACTCTAGGTGACAGAGTATTATCCAGTGTGGATACCACCAGTGTCCTAGAGAAAGAAGAGATGCAGCGAAGGACCAGCAGGTGGCAGGAGAGAGTAAACCCTGGTCTCGGCGCGCATCACGCGGAGGTTCAGCGGTCCTTGAGAAGGCTGGACACAGGAAGTGCTGCACCTCACAAAAAGCTGTGCTTCAAGGGGGGTTTCAAAGCTCTTTGCCTTTGAAATCTTAAAAATGTGGGCGGAAGGTGCCTGAATCTTCTTCTAAACCAATACTACGTGTTGATCTCAGAGGCAAACTGAGCCAGGTGCTGTGGCTCACACCTATAATCCCAGCTACTTGGGAGGCTCAGGTAGGAGGATCATTTGAGCCCAGGAGTTCGAGACCAGCCTGGGCAACATAGGGAGGGCCCATTTCATTTTAAAATAAATGCTGTCGGCTGGGCGCGGTGGCTTACGCCTGTAATCCCAACACTTTGGGATGCCGAGGTGGGGGCAGATAACTGCAGGTCAGGAGTTCAAGACCAGCCTGACCAACATGGTGAGACCTCATCTCTACTAAAAATACAAAAATTAGCCAGGTGTGATGGCACACACCTGTAATCCCAGCTGAGGCAGGAGAATTGCTTGAACCTGGGAGGCAGAGGTTGCAGTGAGGCAAGATCGCACCACTGCACTCCAGCCTGGGTGACAGAGTGAGACCGCATCTCAAAAAATAAATAAATAAATAAATACTGTCAAAGCACAATGCTCATATTTAAAATCAAATCTCTTTGGTTTCAGAATAAACTGTTTTTATTTTTTATTTTTTTTGAGACGGAGTTTTGCTCTTATTGCCCAGGCTAGAGTGCAGTGGCACAATCTCAGCTCACTGCAACCTCCACCTTCCAGTTTCAAGCAATTCTCCTGCCTCAGTCTCCCAAGTCGCTGGGATTACAGGCGCCCGCCACCAAGCCCAGCTAATTTTTTAAATATTTTTAGTAGAGACGGGGTTTCACCGCATTGGTCAGGCTGGTCTCGAACTGCTGACCTTGTGATCCACCCGCCTCGGCTTCCCAAAGTGCTGGGATCACAGGCATGAGCCACTGCGCCTGGCTGTTGTTTTTAAGAGACAATGTCTTGCTCTGTTGCCCAGGCTGGAGAGCAGTGGCGCAATCATAGCTCACTGCAGCCTTGAACTCCTGGGCTCAAACAATCCTCCCACCTCAGCCTCCTGAGTAGCTGTGACCACAGATGCACACCACTACACCCAGCTAATTTTTAAAAATTGTGTAGATGCAGGTCTTGCTATGTCACCCAGGCTGGTCTTGAACTCCTGGGCTCAAGTAATCCTCCTGCCACGGGCTCCCAAAGTGCTTCTATGTTTCCTTTGTGCATGTCATGCACAGGTTTCATAGACTCATAGCCTGTGGAGGTTGGAAGAGACTTTAAGGGTCATCTTAGCTGACCTAACTGTGACCTCTGCGACTCCCTAAACAGAAGACCTAAGCCTGGGCATGAATGCATCCAGAGACGGGAGCTCATGACTCACAGTGACTTCTACCTGCTGCTCTGTCCTCTGGAGCCACACAGTACAAGTTGAATTCATCTTTTCATGTGACAGTTTAAAAAGTTTCAAGACAGCTGTCAGCTGCCACCTGTGACTGCCCCTAAACATCCCATTCTCTGTGATCCAACGAGACAGCAGGAAAAGCAGGCATCTGCGGACAGAGGATGGCTTCTGACATCCCATGGGGCAAGACCCCCCAACTCTTCCCTGTTTGGCTTACTCCCAGGGAAGGAGCAGCTCTTGAACTGTGCATGGTCTCCAGCCATGACTCCAGCCATGAACCCAACCATGATCCCAGCTGGCCTGCACAGGAATAGGGTAGAGACAATTCTCCAAATGTAGCCTAGACACCTGACTCTGACTTACACCACCCATTAAATCCCCTGTCTTTTCTGCACTTTGTATTGATTAGATTATTCTGGTTTTTTTTTTTTTGGAGGGGGCAGTGGTTTGGACCATGGTATAGAACTTTAGATTTATTCCTTAAAATTTCTTTTTACTATATAATGTAACAAACACACAAAAGAGTGTATGAAAAGATATGTTCATTTTCAAGGATAATATAAATATAAATATAAATATAATATAAATATTATATGTTATATTTCTGAGGTTAGGAAATAGAGCAGTACTCACCCATCCTTCCTCAAAGTCCCATTTGCACCCTTTCCTAATCACATGCCTGGCTTCCCCCCAGCTCTCCTGAATTTTGTGATAATCATCTGCTTCTTCTTCATATCTTTTATCTCTGATGTGTATTTCTATAAATAATACACTGTTTAGTTCAACCTGTTTTTGTTTGTTTGTTTGTTTTAGAGACAGGGTCTTTCTCTCTTGCCCAGGCTGGAGTGCAGTGGTGCAATCACAGCTCACTGCAGTCTCAAGCTTCTAGGCTCAAGTGATCCTCCTACCTTGGCCTCCCAGAGTGTTAGGATTACAGGTGTGAGCCACCACCGATTCTTCCTATTTTGAAACTCATTCATGGAATCTTATTGTAATGTTTTTTCTATGACTTGCTACTTTCAGTCAATATTATGTTTTGATGAATTTTCTCTGTCAAAGACATCTAGTTGGAATCTGCCTATTGAGTTATTTATGGTTCTCATTATTTCCTTGAACATAATTCCTTTTACAAATATATGTACATGTTTGTAAATATTCCTTCTATATTGTCACCCCCCAAAATTTGGAAGAATGGGATAGGTCTCAGAATAGTGCCTTCAGCAAACATCCCTTCTGACTGAGGTTAATCCATTACTTAGCACTCTTTGGGCACACTTAACCAGTTTTTTGTTTGGTTTTGTTTTGAGAAGGAGTCTTGCCCTGTCGCCAGGGCTGGAGTGCAATGGTGCGATCTTGGCTCACGGCAACCTCTGCCTCCCGGGTTCAAACGGTTCTCCTGCCTCAGCCTCTCAAGTAGCTGGGATTACAGGCACCTGCCACCACACCAAGCTAATTTTTGTATTTTTAGTAGCGACAGAATTCATGTTGGCCAGGCTGATCTCGAACTCCCGACCTTGTGATCTGCCCGCCTCGGCCTCCCAAAGGGCTGGGATTACAGGCTTGAGCCACTGTGCCCGGCCACACTTGACCAGTTTTAATCCTCCTGATTTTACTTTAATCTGGACTATATTCTCCTACTTGCTCACATGGTTGTCAAAAAACAACCTTGCTTTAGAGCCAGATAAAATATATTTATGGCGTCTTCCTGATCTACCAGTCTAGCAACCCTGCCAAAAATAAAAAATAAAAAAGGAATGAGGCTTTGAGAACTTGTATTGACTCCTAGTAATTGCTGTACTATTTTCTAAATAACATAAAGCAGCCCTTTGGTTTCTATAATTTTGCCTGTGATTGATGGCAAGTCATCAAGCCGAGAGTTGTGGGAATTCACTGTTGACCTCTGGAAAATAAGAACTACCCTTTCCAGGCCAGGTGCAGTGGCTTGCGCCTATAATCCCAGCACTTCGAGAGGCTGAGGCGGGTGGATCACTTGAGGCTATGTGTTCGAGACCAGCCTGGCCAACGTGGTGAAACCCTGTCTCTACTAAAAATACAAAAATTAGCTCGGCATGGTGGCACGTGCCTGTACTCCCAGCTACTCGGGAGGCTGAGGTCGGAGACTCGTTTGAACCTAGGAGGCAGAGGTTGCAGTGAGCTGAGATCGCACCGTTGCACTCCAGCCTGGGAGACAGAGCGAGACTCTGTCTCTGAAACAAACAACAAAAAGAACTGCACTTTTTGATACCTAGTCTTGCTTTCCATGGTTGCTCAAAGTTCACAAATAACACTTGAGAAATCTCCACTGACAAGTTTTCAGTACCTGGGGTGTCCGTCATCTGGGCCAGGAAGCTAGGAGTTGGAGAGGACAAGAGGTATTTTTAGTACAGAGAAGGGATCGACTGGGACAAAGCTCTTAATGATTGGCTTCCAGAACGTGGTAGATGAAGTAATTTGTAAGAAATCAGCAGTCGGAGTGAGATTAAGACTCTAAGGATGAAGGGGAAAGATTGAGACAGTCAGTGCGTGACGAAAAGCTCACTCTTACAAGAAATGAATCAGAAGGTTGCCAAAAGGAAGTGGTAGAGTTAGAACAATTTTGTAGTCGGTCCATTTAGCATGGAATGATAACTTTCTCCACCTGCCAATTCGGAGCCAAGGAACAGGAGAGAAGAAAGAAAACAAGATAGCCCAGGGCTGTGGATGCATCAGCTCAGGGGTGAACTTCAAGGAGTTCAGGTCATTTGTGGGGCAGCATCAGAGGGGCTGAGGGGCTCCAGGCCCCGCAAGAAGGAAATCAAATATATATTTTAAAAATGTATGGACAGGTGAAAATGGGACAAGTAACGTGATTGGGGATCTGTCCAAGAGATAAGTGGGTTATGGAAGGAAAGGGAAGCCACCACCAAGTATGAGACTAAGCAGCAGATGCACAGCGTGGTTGATGTTGGGATGTATTCTGGGGAAGCAATGCTGCCTGCTGCCGAAGAGGGAGCCCAGTGTGCTGGTGGGAGGGAGAGATGGGTTCAGGTGGGGCGGCCATATCACCTGAAGTCAGGGACAAGTGGACCTGGTGCCGGGGTCACTAGGAGAAAAGGGATACCCTGTTGGAGAAAGTAACAGGACCAGATGGTGTGACCTTCAGTGTCAATGGTGGGTAACAGTCTGGGGAAGCAGCAGAAAACAAGGCGTGGTTTCCTACTTGGCCATACAATGTTATGGTGAGGGGAGATGGATAGGAGAAAGCTGCTTTGGTTAAGGAGAAAGGCTAAGGAGAAAAAGGCTTGAAAATGAATGGAAATTTGCAGTGATAAGGCTGGGGATAGTAGGGCTTTCTGACAGCAGCTCAAGAGCCATTAGAGAATGGGTCTGAGGCCAATGGCCAGGGGCAGAGCACAGCAGAGAACTGTGGGTGGCTTTTGGAGAAGACATGTTGTGGATACTATGGATGGAGGCACGAGGGTTTGGAGGTCTGTGTGAGGGCCAGGGGTGATCTTGTTGAAGCCTCACAATCATTCTATGGGGTGAATCTGACCTCTTTTTTTATAGATGCAGAAGCCCAGAGTAGCTGTGAACATGAACCATGAGCTCTCTGTGGGCAAGGCTGCCTGTGTCTTCATGCATCTTCACATCTACAGGAGTACCTGTCCCAAGTGTGGGAGTCTGTGCAAAAGGACAGTTAGTCCATTTGCACAATACTTGCAAGCTTTTCAGGAGCATGCAAAAAATGTATGAGACCTTGGAAAAATGTACTGGCTTCTAGATTCAAATAGAAACCACAATCGAATACATATTTAATTAATGTCTACAAATGTCATGCTACCATATCATCCTTACATCTAGATTTAGCATTCATAAATATTTCATTTCATTTAGAGACAGGATCTCACTCTGTTGCCTAGGCTGGGGCACAGTGATGCTATCATTAACTTACTGCAGCCTTGACCTCCCAGGCTCAAGCAATCCTCCTACTTCAGCTTCTTGAGTAGCTGGGACCACAGGCGCATGCCTCCACTCCTGGCTAATTTTTGTATTTTTTCTTTTTTGTAGCGACGGCATCTCGCTACATTGCCCAGGCTGGTCTCAAACTCCTGTTTGAGAGTTTGGCCAAGTGATCCACCTGCCTTGGCTTCCCGAGGTGCTGGGATTACAGGCAAGAGCCACTGCACCTGGCCTTATTTCATTTTAGACTTGTAAATTGGAAGTGCACTTTGATTACTGAGGAATCATGGTCATTTGTAAACTGGGTTGCTCAAAGCCAAACATCAGCATTATCCCTAAGTTAAGGGTGAGTTCCAGGGTCCTGGGTGTTCCTGGCAAGACCCCCATTCCACCTCAGTCTCACCGACACCATCTAACTTGAGGCCATTGGGATGAATCTCAATTGTCTTTTATCACTCTAAAGGCCAGAACCAACCATTTAAAAACCCTTGTTCATGGACAATAAACCAATCTTGCCTCATTCTTTTGTTCTTTATATTTCTTGCTTTATTTTTATCCATGACATTTATCTACCATACTGTATATATTTTCTATCTATTTGTTGGACTCAACCCCAAATAAGTTCCATAAGACCTGAAATGTTTGTTACTTCTCTGTCCCCAATGCCTAGAACAGTGCCCGGTTCATAGTAGGTACTCAATAATATTGGTTGAGTAAATAAAATTTTTGAAAGCAAAGTCTCTAAAAACTTCAAAATTTTACAGCAAATACAGATATATATGTATATTTATTTAATGCATAATATGAGTAAATTTTATTGCATTTGATGTGAGGTGGAATAGAGCTTCTAAAAAAGTAAGAAGCTTGGATGTTCTTAAAATGGCCTTACTCATGAAATGAGGGAGGTGGGGAGGGAGGGAGGGAAGGAGGGATGGATGGAAGGATGGATAGATGAGTAGGTGAGTAGATGGATAATAGGTGCATGAATGGATGAATTGGCAGATTGGGTGAATAGGTGGGTGAATGGATGGGTGGGTGAATGAATGGATAGATGGATGGATGGATAAATAGGTGGATGGATGAATAGATGAATGAGTGGATAATCAGGTGGATGGATGAATGGTTGGATGACTGAGTGGGTGAATGGATGGGTGAGTGGATAAATAGGTGGATGGATGGATGACTGGATGGATAAATAGAAGGCTGGACGAATGGATAGATGAATGAATGGATGGATGAATAGAGGGGTGGGTGGATAAATACGTGGATGAATGGATGGACGAGTGGATAAATAGGTGAATGGATGGATGGATGCATGGATGGATGAATGGGTGGATGAATGGATGGATGGATGGATAGCTGGATGGATGGATGGATGGATGGATGGATGGATGGATGGATGGAGATAGAAAGGACCTTAGAGATCAGCTGGAACAGAAATATACCCTAATTTGATCAGGTGGTGATGGAGACTCGACTAGAACCAGGATCCTGATTCCTAAGCCAGTACTCTTTCTGAAGCCCCACATGCATAGTGGGTGAAAGATGGGGTAAGAGTCTTAGTTAGCAGAGATGAGTTTATTATGAAACTGATGAAGCTTAAGTGGTAGGGTCACCTGACTTACACAGCCCCTTCCCAGACCAATCTCTAATTTCGTGTTTGTAATGTTACATTACTTAAGAGTCTTCTTAAAGAAAGACTCCTGCCAGAGTATATCAGCTTCAAGCTTCCCAAAATCAGGATCCACCTGATCTTGGGCAGAGACAGAATGGCCTCCCCTCGCCACTCAGACTTGCTCAGCACCCTCCTGTTTCTTACTTGCCAGAGAGGGTGAGGTATCCTTCCTCACCTAGCTTTCGAGCACCCAGCCTTGAAGCACCCCACATCTCCTATAATCTCCATAACCTCTCCAACTGCAGTTATTTTATGGGGAAAAGCCCTCATCCCTCCCCATCCTCTGACCTGGCCGTTTCCTGTTTGTCCTTGAAGACTTAGCTCCAACATCTTCAGGAAGTTCTCCCTGATCAGCTGCAGGGTGAGTCATGGGCTTTTTCTCTGTGTTCCTTGGCTTTCTGTAATTCCTGTACATTAGCACTTCTCAGAGTAAATTATAATCAATGAGTCATTCCCAGGGCTCTAGAGCTGCATCTTTTCTATTTTAGACCCCAAGACATTTTGGTGACAGAGGTCTCAAAGAAGTGAGGAGGATTGGGTCTTTAAAGACAGTTGGGAAGGGAGACAATTAGTTTGCCAATTACTACATCTGCTTCTTCAATTGCAAAAAAATCAACAGCATAGGGGAATAAATAATAGGATGTTTACCAAGCACCTCTCCTGTGTCAGAGGCAGTGTTGTTTAGTCTTTTCGACTCCTTTGCTATTGTTAGAATTGAATGGATGAGAACTCCGATACCCTGAAAACTAAGATGGCTTGGTCAAGGTCACACAGCCTAGACCTTACCTTCATTCCTTTTTTTTTTTTTTTAACTTTTATTTTGAATTCAGGAGTACAAGTGTAGGTTTGTTACATAGGTAAACTTGTCATAGAAGTTTGTTGTACAGATTATTTTATCACCCAGGTATTAAGCCATTAACCCATTAGTTATTTTTCCTGATCCTCTCCCTCCTCCCACTCTTCACCCTCTGAAAGTCCCCAGTGTGTGTTGTTCCCTTCTATGCGTCCACGTGTTCTCATTATTTAGCTCCTACTTACATGTGAGAACATGCAGTATTTGGTTTTCTGCTCCTGTGTTAGTTTGCTAAGGATAATGGCCTCCAGCTCCATCCATGTCCCTGCAAAGGACATCATCTCATTCTTTTTTGTGTCTGTGTAATATTCCATTCTTACCTTCATTCTGACAAAGGATAATCTTCATTCTGCCACCTTCTCTCTCCTTGTGTGAATAGGACCAAGCTTGCTGCTATTTCTCTTTTGTCAAAACCTCCACGTTCTTAAAGTCTCCCAAAATAGAAGAGCCTGCATTTCTTCTTGCAGGCAGAGTAGCTTGTTTTTGCATTGGAATGCCTGCTAAAGTCTAAGATTCTAGACATATCCTCTATTTACGTCTTGAGACTGTTGGATTTCCCGGAGCTTAAGTGATTTAGAGGGAAAGAAAGTGATCATTGTTTTTTCACTTTCAAAAGAAGGACACAGGAATTACATTCTGTGTTTCTGAAATTAGTTATAAGAATACAGACACATACATTACCTTCAAGAAGGAGAGGGAGGATAAACGCATGCAAGTTTTGCTTTTATGCAGTCATCTGGGTATTTTGAAATTCTGATTAGTCCTAATGGAAATACATAGAGCATTCACCCCTGTTGTGTCTTCAGCTGGTAAAGCTACATCTCCATATCTGATATTGCATCTTTTGTGGCCTGAATGAATTATTCCACTGTTTTTAGATAGTTTTCCCAATAAATACTTCCCCATCCCCAAAAAGCCTGCAGTTTTTCCATTGGTCCAGCTTGCATTCTAAAAACCATGGAGCTGGAGTGCGAGGTCTTCACACTTCTGGGCACTGGGGGTCTGTGAAGTTTTGAGAGTCACAGGACTCCCAAATTCATTTGAAACCCATTCTTTGCCCAGGAAGGGTCTTCACTGCTGGCCTAATGTTTTGGGGACTGTTTTTTTCAATCCAAATAAATTAGGCAAATGTTCACGAGACACCTGATCATTTCAGGCTTTGCCTGAGCACCCAGTTAATAACTTTCCTCAAAGACATCCTCGGGTTGCTGGGGGCAGATACATCCACAGCAGTCCAGTCACCAGAGGACAGAGTGCTCTGCGAGCACAGAGGAGGGGGCAATTCTCTGGCCTGGGCCAGGGAGTTTTCCACAGAGAAGGTAGCTTTTGATCTGGATTTGAAGGATTGCTCAGAACTCACCAGGTTGTAGAGAAGCATTCTGGGCAGAGTCTGGCAGAGAACAGAGGCCACAGGATGGAAAAGCATGAAATGAGATAAGGCCATGCGTGTGCGGACTGCTCAGCACACCCTGGAGTACACAGTAAGCATCCCTAAATGTTTGGGGGTAATAATACCACCTGGGAGTCTGGGGAGGTAGGATTGAGAGGATGCGGTTGGAAATGAGAACAACAAGGAAGGTTTCAGACAGACAGTCAGACAGACTAACTGACTTAACGCCGTGCTAAGGCATTAGGAAGAGGAGGGGCATGGTAAGAGCCATGTTTTATACTTCTTAAAATTGGTTTCTTTCTTTTTCTTCTTCTTTTTTTGAGATGGAGTCTCGCTCTGTCTCCCAGGCTGGAGTGCAGTGGTGCGATCTTGTATCTCTGTAACCTCTGTCTCCCGGGTTCAAGCGATTATCCTGCCTCAGCCTCCCGAGTAGCTGGGACTACAGGCACGTGCCACCACACCTGACTAATTTTTGTATTTTTAGTAGAGACAGAGTTAAGCCATGTTGGCCAGTTTGGTCTTGAACCCGCGACCTCAAGTAATCTGCCCGCTGCAGCCTCCCAAAGTGCTGGGATTACAGGTGGGGGCCACTGAGCCTGGTCTATTTTTTGAATAGTTAATACAATCATATAGTTCAAAATAAAAATTACATGGAAAGACGTACATTGAGAAGTCTGGGCCCCATGCCTGACTCCTTCCATTCTCCCACTCTGCTGCTGTAGGTTACCACTTGTATTATGTTGTTCGTTGGTGTCGTTCTCATGTTTATTGATATCAGCATCAACATCTATAGCTATACCCACATCTATAGCTATACCCACATCTGTATCTGTATCTAGCTATGAAATTTTATTGTGGAGCTATTTTAATCTTCCAGGAAATTTGCAAAGAACTTCACCTAGAGACTGCATTTCTGTTTCACCAATTGTCCTAATGAGATTATAGCAAAGTACCCAGTCAGGTTCCATGTCACACCCAGCTGTCCCATTTCTCTAGTCTCTTTCACTCTGGAGCAGGTCCTTGGGGATTCCTTGAATTTCAGGCCCTTGGCATTTTTTTTTAGGATTACACCCCAGTCTTTGTAGAAGATCCTGAAATTTAGATTCTTGCACTATTTTCTGGCGATTAGACCCAGATTATGCATTTCTTTGGCAGGGAAATTACAAAGGTGATGCCGTGTTCTTCTTACCATGCCCTACGAGGTTTCACATGATGTGGATTTGTTCCATTCCTGGCGGTGTTCGTTTTAATCAATTAAGAAGATGTCTGCCAGATTTCTCCACTGTAAATTTCTCTATCCCATTTTGTACTGAAGTGCTATTTGGCATGGTGATACTTTGAGACTATGTTATTATTCTTATTTCTTATCCCACTTTCACGTACTAGTTTTAGCATCCATTGATTTTTCTGCCTGAATTAATTAATACTACGATGACTGTAAAGTGATGTCTTTTTAACTTTACCATTCTGTCTACATTTATTAGTTGGCATTTTATTATCAGAAATAACTTTTTCCATGTATTTGCTTGTTTCTTTACTTAGATTAGATTTCCTATTTCATCCAATGAATTTTTGATGCTCAAATTGTTCCAGATTTGAGTAGCAGGAGCCCCTTGAAGCTAACTTTTATGTCCTTTCAACATGTTCCCATCTTTCTTTGAGCATTTCCTTACTTTCTGGTTTAAAAGAAAAAGTTCCAGGCTCATCTTGTACTTCCCCTGCCCAGCTCTGGGACCAGTCATTTCTTCATAGATTCCTGGTTCTTTATATATATATATATAAAGAGATATTTATATAGAGAGATCTTGCTGTCACCCAGCCTGGAGTACAATGGCGAAATCACAGCTCACTGCAGCCTCGACTTCCTGGGCTCAAGTGATCCTCCCGCCTCAGCCTCCCAAGTAGCTGGGACTACTGGCATGCACCACCACACCCAGCTAATTAAAAACTTTTTTTTTTCTTGTAGACACTGGGTCTTGCTCTGTTACTCAGGCTGGTCTTGAACTCCTGGTCCCAAGTGATCCTCCTGCCTCAGCCTCTCAAAGTTTTGGGATTACAGGCATGAGCCACTGCACCCAGCCTAAGAGTGATGTCAAATGACCAAGATGTCAGGGCCAGGCATGCTTATTTCTACTGGAGTGTTGCTGCTCTCAGGCCCTCTCAGTAGAGATACACTCATATACCCCTTTGCATTTCTATTTTTCTATGTGTCTATGTTTCTTTCTATCTATCTATCTATGTATCTATCTATCTATCTATCTATCTATCTATCTATCTATCATCTATCTATCTATCTATATCTGTCATCTATCTATCCATCATCTATCTCTGCCTGTGTCTGTCTACTATCTGTCTGTCTGACTGTGTTTGTCTGTCTGTGTCTGTCTCTACCTTTCTGTCTGCCTGTGTCTATCAATCATCTATCTGTCAGTCTGTCTGTTCCTGTCTGTGTCTATCTGTCTGTGTGTGTCTATCTATCTATCTATCTATCTATCTATCTATCTATCTATCTATCATCTATCTAGGTGCGAAGTGGGAAGGCTGGGCTTCCCAGCATGGGTGTCAGAGCCTGAGTAAGGTAAGGAGAGTTCCTGTGTGGAGAAGTAGCTGCTGCGGAGTGCTGGACCATGGGTGGGGCGGGGAGGGTATCCATGTGGAGCATTGGTGGTGGCAGCCCAGTGCAAGGTATCAGAGCCCTGGTAGGGTGAGTAGTGGGAGCCTCATAGGATGGGAAGTGGCAGCAGCTATGGGAGATTGAGTGGGAGTTGGTCCAATGAGTATATATATTAAGGAAAATAAAAGCCAGATTAATGTAAAGATGAAATTAATGAGGTGGGCATTCTAGGCTTTTGGACTTAGAGCCTTCAATAAAAAACCTGAGCTGGGCAGGGTGGCTGATGCCTGTAATCCCAACACTTTGGGAGGCCAAGATGGGAGGATTGTTTCAGGCCGGGAGTTTGACATCAGCCTGAACACCATAGAGAGATCTCATCTGTACAAAAAATAAAAACAAAAAATTTAGCCAGGCATGGTGGCTTGTGTCTATAGTCCCAGCTACTCAGGAGGCTCAGGTGTGAGGATCGCTTGAGCCCAGGAGTTTGAGGCTGCAGTGAGCCATGATCATGCCACTGCACTCCAGACTGGGCAACAGAGCAAGATCCTGTCTCAAAGAAAGAAGGAAAGAAAGGAAGAAAAAGAAACTTAAAGAGTGGTTGTGAGGGTCAAATATCTGAGGTAACATATACAAAAGAGCCTGTATGTATACATGATATGTAAATGTAAAGCAATACTGTTTTTTATTTTCAATTCCTTCTCCTGAAGAGGATTTTTCTTGGCTCCAAGCATTGGAGAAAAGTATTACAAATACAGAAAGGGAGAAAACAGAATGGGTCCTGTGGTATTGGACAGGAAGTGAACTCATGGTTTCTTATAAATAGATATAGATATGGAAATCAAAATAAATATAAATATAGATGGGTGTATGTGTGTATTTTTATCTCCCCTAGCTGTGTCCTTTGAGAAATCCTGAGAACACAGACACTTTATAAAGCCATAAGCCCAGCTAGCATCCTGTGTTAGGCCACTCTTGTGTGGCTATAAAGAAATACCTGAGGCCCGGCGTGGTGGCTCACAACTGTAATCCCAGCACTTTGGGAGGCCGAGGCGGGTGGATCACAAGGTCAGGAGTTCAAGACTAGCCTGCCCAAGATGGTGAAATCCCATCTCTACTAAAAATACAAAAGTTAGCAGGGCGTGGTGGCGGGCACCTGTAATCCCAGCTACTTGGGAGGCTGAGGCAGAGAATTGCTTGAACCAGGGAGGCGGAGGTTGCAGTGAGCTAAGATTGCGCCACTGCACCCCAGCCTAGGAGACAGAGCAAGACTCCATCTCAAAAAAAAAAAAAAAAAAAAGGAATACCTGAGACTGGGTAATTTCTAAAGGAAAGAGGTTTAATTGGCTCATTGTCCTGCAGGTTGTACAGGAAGCATGGCACTGGCATCTCCTTCTGGGGAGGAGGCCTCAGGAAGCTTCTAATCATGGCAGAAGGTGAAAGGGAAGCAGGTACATCACGTGGTAAAAGCGGGAGCAAGAGAGAGTGAAGAGGGGAAGTGCCACACACTTTTAAATGACTGGATCTCACAAGAGCTCGCAATGGCAAAGACAGCACCAAGCCATGAGGGAGCTGCCCCCATGACCCCAACAGCTCCCACCAGGCCCTACCTCCAGCAATGGGGCTTAAAATTCAATGCAAGATTTGGGCAGGGACAAATATCCAAACTCTGTCACATCCTGATTGTGGTTTCTAAATCCCATTCTTCACAAAAAGGAACTGGTTTCCTTGGAGAAATGGCTGATTTCACAGCTGGGGCAGGCAAAGTACAAGATGAGCCTGGAATATCTTTTTGTAGCAGCAGAAAGTAAGGAAGTGTCCAGGAACAATGGGGACAACTCAGAGAGACACAGAACCTGGTCTGAAGGGGCCTCTGATGACCACATCTGAGATAATCTGAGCATCAAAGCAAATAAGGATCCCAATGGATTATAATCCATTTGATAAAATAGGGAACCATGAGTACATACCGATGAAAATATGTAAATGAACAGCTTGAAAGTTTGACAAAGAATAGGGTATTTACACAATTTCAAAGTACATCTCCGTGAAACGCTTATTGATTACAAGAGGAAAGAGTTACTCTACAAAGGAAACACCTGGCAGTCACCACCTTAATCATTTGTAATCTAACAAATGAACTTGTGTGTCACCTAATAAGATGCAGTGAGAACACATCACTTACGTGATATTCTTGCCCTAGATGTAAAACTTGAATCTAATAATGAGAAGACATCAAACACAAACTGTGGGACATTCCACAAAGTGGCTGCCCTATGATCTTCAATAATGTCAAGGATGTAAAGTTTAATAAAGGAAACAAAATGGTCAAATACAACCCATGGTTCTGAATTGGATCTTTTGCTATAAAAGCTGTTATTGAGATCACAACAAAACCTAAATGGAGTATGATTACTAGAAGTTAGTAAAAGTGTCAATGCTAATTTCTTGATTTTGATGGTTGTATTGTGCCTATGAAGGAAAATATCCTTGTTTGGTGAAAATACAACTAAATTATTTGGGAATCATAGGACATTGTATTAACAACTTATGCTCAAATGTTTAGGGGAAACAGTACTTTGTACTTTACTTGGAACTTTTTCATGAGTTTGAGGTTTTTTTTTCAAAACTAAAAAATAGCATTTTAAAATGTATATTTTTATATTTTTACCATAAGTCCCAACAATCATACTCCTTGGTATTTACCCAAAGGAGTTAAAAACTTACGTCTACACAGAAGCCTGCACATGGATGTTTATAGCAGCTTTATTCATCAGTGCCAAAACTTGGAAGCCATCAAGATGTTCTTCAGAGGGGAATGGATAAATAAACTGTGGTACATCCGGACAGAAGAATACCATTCAGTGCTAAAAAGGAAGAGGTATCAAGCCATGAAAAAACATGGAAGAATCTTTTTTTTTTTTTTTTTTTGAGACGGAGTCTCGCTCTGTCACCCAGGCTGGAGTGCAGTGGCGGGATCTCGGCTCACTGCAAGCTCCGCCTCCCGGGTTCACGCCATTCTCCTGCCTCAGCCTCCCAAGTAGCTGAGACTACAGGCGCCCGCCACTACGCCCGGCTAATTTTTTGTATTTTTAGTAGAGACGGGGTTTCACCGTTTTAGCCGGGATGGTCTCGATCTCCTGACCTCGTGATCCGCCCGCCTCGGCCTCCCAAAGTGCTGGGATTACAGGCATGAGCCACCGCGCCCGGCCACATGGAAGAATCTTAAATGCATATTACTAACAGAAAGAAGCCAGCCTGAAAAGCATACATACTGTATGATTCCAACTATGTGACATTCTGAAAAAGGCAAAACTATGAAGACAGTTAAAAGATCACTGGTTTCCAGGGATTAGGATGGAGGGAGGGCTGAAGAAGTGGAACACAGGATTTTTAGGAAAGTGAAAGAGAATTCCAGAAATAAATTATCTTTCTGGAATTTCTGCTAATAAGTTATTGAACTTCTTGTTTTATTCTCCTACTGTAATGGTGGATACCCGTCATTATACGTTTGCCCAAACTTACAGACTGTACAACACCAAGAGTGAACCCTAATGTAAACTATGGACTTTGGGTAATAATGTGTGTCAGTATTGGTTTATCAATTATAACAAACACACCACTGTGGTGGGGGAGGTTAATAATAGGGGAAGCTGTGCATATGTCGGGGCAGGGAGTATATGGGAACTCTGTACTTTCCTCTAAATTTTGCTGTGAATTTAAAACTGCTCTAAAAAAGGTCTATTTTAAATATATATAATAATTTAAATTATGATAAGTTTTTGTTATTTTAAACACATTAATAAATACAAAAATATATATTTCCTAGCTCTGTCCATCAAAGAGGCTTAGAAGCAATGACCAACCAGTAGCAATGAGTACTTCCTATACCTAGATTATAAATTCTAAATACCATTTTCCACCAAAAGGAATTAGGGTTCTTAAAAGAATTTTGGATTCCAGATGTAAGACAGAAGATATACAAGATAAGCCAAGAAGATGTTATCATTCCAGAAAGCCAGGGAACTATGGAAGACTACTGAGGTTGGTTCAGAGGAATTCAGGAACTAACTTGAGGAGGACAAAGATGGGACTATTTGAGTACAATAAGAAAAATAAGTGCAATGGATTGAAATGCTTCTCTCTGGAAGAGTTCCAGCTAGTAAGTGAAGATGCAATACCAGAATCACCATTTTGCAAACCCCTTATGAGCTAATGGAGCACTAGACAATGATCACCAATGTCTACTAACATCATGAAAAGAGAGCCCAGGGCCTGGTGTGGTGGCTCACGCCTGTAATCCCAGCACCTTGGGAGGCTGCGGTGGGCAGATCACCTGAGGTCAGGAATTTGAGACCAGCCTGACCAACATGGAGAAACCCCATCTCTACTAAAAATACAGAATTAGTCGGGCGTGGTGGCAGATGCCTGTAATCCCAGCTACTTGGGAGGCTGAGGCAGGAGAATCGCTTGAACCCGGGAGGCAGAGGTTGCAGTGAGCTGAGATTGTGCCACTGCACTCCAGCCTGGGCAACAAGAGGGGAACTCCCTCTCAAAAAAAAAAAAAAAAAAAAAAAATCACCTATGAGAGATTCTTGCTCGAAATCATATCTCACATCTATAGATCTAACTTTCAGTTTACAGGAAAGATCTGGAACAGCAGAACATGTTTTAGAAATACCATCCGCACAACCCAGAATGTGAGAAACTATAGGAAAAATGGCCTGGTTTCTTCAACAAATAATCTTTGCAAGGAAAAAGAAAAAAGAGGGAGTGGAAACCTACAAATTTAAAGAGACTTGAGAGACATCAAGTAAAGGTGATATGTAGATTTCGGAAATTTGAACACTCACTGGAAATTTGATGATATTATGGATTTCTTCAAAACAATCCGTTTGTTTTGGAAAGTGGAGTGGCAATGAGGCAGTTGAAAGACGTGCGGCCATGGGGTGATAGTTTTCGTTCATCCGGGTACTTAATCGGTACTTAATTGTTCATTGATCTTTACTTTCGTTATGCTTTGAATTTTTTCAATAACAAGCTTAAGGAGTGGTTGTGAGGGTTACATGTCTGAGGTAATGTATGCAAAAGAGGCTGTATGTATAAAATAATATGCGAATGTATGGCAATATTGTTGTTATTTTCAATTCCTTCTCCTGAAGAGGATTTTTCTTGGCCCCACACTATAAAGATATTGCGAAAAGGAGCATGGGGGAATTATTCAAGCATAAGAGAAATCTCTCCTTTTTTTTTTTTTTTTTTTTGAGACGGAGTCTCGCTCTGTCGCCCAGGCTGGAGTGCAGTGGCACCATCTCAGCTAACTGCAGCCTCTGCCTCCCAGGTTCAAGCAGTTCTCCTGCCTCAGCCTCCCGAGCAGCTGGGACTACAGGCATGCACCACCACACCCTACTAATTTTTTGTATTTGTAGTAGAGACGCGGTTTCAGCATGTTGGCCAGGATGGTCTTGATCTCCTGACCTCATGATCCGCCCCCCTTAGCCTCCCAAAGTGCTGAGATTACAGGCGTCAGCGTCTCTCTTTGATTTTCTGTAATCAAATACCACTGAATCTGCTGACCTGGGGATCCTGACAGCTGGGTCCTAAGGCAGAACTGCCTGGGTCACTCCTTCAACCACCTGCAGGGAGGGTGATCTGGAGGGAGGGAAAGGAAGTGGGGATAGTGGGTGGCATCTGGCTAAGTGATGAAGTAGGTGAATCACAGTTGGCTGGAACCAGGCATCAGCACTGGGTGGGGCCTGGCAAATGACACAGCTGGATTTCCTGGCTCCAGCCCTGGCCAGCATCCCATGTCTCTGGGCATCTTGGGAAGCCAGCAGCTGCCTGCAGGACAAAGGAGCACCACTGCCCCTCCAGATTTAGGGGAATTTGAGGGTGAGCAGTTGAATCTGAGCTGGCTTCTATTAGGACTTGCACACAAACAGCCCCCAAGCGCCTCCCCCTGCCTCAGTGCTGGGTCTCAACACTACTACCCAAACACATGCATGGTTGGAGCCTCCAGAACCCAATGGTATCTGTTAAAGAGAAAATCAGGGTGGTATGGAAACCCAGGTGAGTGTGTGGAGTCTACAGTGCTGTGGGCAGAAGGCCAGGGCCTTCATTCTGGTCCTGCCTCTTCCTGGCCCGGTCAAGGACTTCTCCTCCCTGGGCCCAAGTTACCCCAAAACTTGGGTAAGGCCCAGAAATCTTTTCTTGTAAAAATCCCTCAGGTAATTCTCATGATCACTCACAGGTTAGAAACCTGCACCCAACAAGACTGTCACTAAATCTTCTTTTAACTTGGGCTTCTGGAGAATGCGCCTGCCTGATTCCTTGCCTTTCTCTGAAGACTATGTTCATTTAATTAAATAAATAAATATGAGAAATGCTCCTTCAGGTGGAGAGAAAAGGAAAGTCAACATTTCTCGAGGACATATTCTGTGCTGGGTACTTTACCAACTTTATCTCTGTGCTTCCTACCCAGAAGACAGTCATAGACGTAGATGTGTTTCAGCAACTTGCCTTTCCCCGTTTTCCTGACTTTGAAACCAAAAAAGCTACTCTGTTAGAGACTTCCACACACTGTAAGGGAGGGAAAGTGGGAATAGAAACTCACATTTCTTTTTTGCTATTTTATTTACATTTAATTTTTTTAACTAAAAAAGTTGTATAAAAGAAACATCCAGATGTGGTTTTTAAAGTCTATAATGAACAAGTTATTATCCCCCAAACCTCAGCATCACACAATATACCCATGTAACAAACCTCCACATGTACCCCCTGAATGTAAAATAAAAATTGAAAAATTTTTTAAAGAAGTTATTATCTGTCTCATATCTCTCCACATTCTGAAACTGTCCGCTAACCCACCACCAAGACGATTTTTTTCACCCTTTCTTTTGGTAGTTATCTCTATAATATTATGCTTATTCTTTTTTCTTGATATGTCATTTTAGACATTTATAGGCATATTTAGACAAATTTTTTGTTATGATAGAGTTACGAGATTGTGTAGCTCTTACTATGTCCCCCACCCCATCCTCTCAATATAGTTGAATCACTATTTTTTATTTTAAGTTAGCAGTCAGGGTTTACATCATTAAGACTTTTTAAACATTGTTTGTAGCAGAGTCAAGTAGTATGCTATGATTACATTCTCTTTCCTTTGTAGCTTTTTGTTTTTCCTTGAGTTATTAATTGCCCATATTTTCACCTGCATAATGTTCTATACTTCTTTTCAAAGGATCCATTGTATAACCTATCATATCATTTATGTTATCAACCTATGTTTTTCCTAAAGATCTCCCTTTCAGAGCCCTCTATTCTTCTCCAGTTTGGACGGCTATTCCTTAGGTCTGCTGCAAAGGGTCCTCTAAGACTTTTCTTTATTGTGCCTCTGAGTTGCAACCCCATTTCCTGGAATATATGACTTTTTCCATCTGGGTTGATGCTTTTGCTTTGCTGGCCTATTCTCTTATAGTTTTCCAAGACAGTGTGGATGGGAAGTAAATTTTCTGAATCTTTGCATGTCTGGCAAACATTTCTCCTGCTCTCACAATTAGCTGATAGATTAACTGGGTACAGAAATGCAGATTGAAGATAATTTTCTCCCATCATTTTTAGATGCATTTGCTCTGGAGACATTCAGTACCATTCTTCTTATTTTTTTTTTTTTGGAAGTTTTTCAGTTCTTTTCTTTATGCTTGATGTTCTCAAATTTTAAGATCAAACTCCTACATTTTAGGCCTTTTAAAATTTTTTGTGGCAGGCTCTTGGCAGGTTCTTTTAATTCAGTGACATGCACTCTTTAGTTCTGGAAAATTTTCTTATTTATTTGATAATTTCTTTCCATTTTCTCTCTCTCTTTCTGGAATTTCTGCTAGTAAGTTATTGAACTTCTGGTTTTATTCCCTAATGTTCTTACCTTTTCTCTGTTAGTCCTCATTTTTTTTCTTCTACTTTTTGGGAGATGTCCTCAAGAACATATTCTGGCCTTTCTGTTGAATGTTTTTTTTTGACTTATTAATTTTCAAAATCTATTATTAAATGATTGTTCCTTTTTTCATAGCAGCTAGTTCTTGTTTTATGGCCTTATATTTCTCTGACCATATCAGACTGGTTGTCTGTTCATACTTAAGAATGAGAAACTACAAAAGTTGATTGGAAGGTCTGTGTAGCTTATCACTTTGGGGTAACAGGGAAGAGACTTTGCCATTCCTTTGGGGGACTTCAACCCCACTCAAAACAATTAGTACCTGGAGGTTTTATTCCTTGTAGACTCTTCAGTTTCTCTAAAGAATCATATTTTCCAACCTGAGGGAAAGATGCCCATCAGCAGGTAGGACAAAAGGAAGGGGCTGGAGAACTGACTACCCCATGGTTAGGCTTTCAATTGATACCTCCTTTTCAGCCCTAAATCTCACCCTCACTATTTGGTGCTTGGAGCCCCAAGTCCATGACCTCTTCTGTTCTTTTTCTCCTAAGAATAACCCCTGTCTCTTGCCTAAGGAGTAGGTATTTGACTGCTAGCATTCTGAAGATAGGTGGCTTTCCATCCTATGCCCTCATTTTCCTCCTATACCTCACCTTGCCCTCCTCCCTACCTGGTGCCTTCACGTTCTGAGCTACTTCAGAGCTCTGTGGGGGTGATTGATTCTTTTCTCATAGGTATCACTCCTAACTAGAACATTCCTCCTCCTCAGTCCAAAAATAGTCCCGACTCCTCCCACCTCCAAGCCTCCTCTTCTTCCACTGCAACATCCACTCAGTCCCCAAGTTTCATCCATTCTCCCTCTCCAACACCTCTCACATTTACCTGCTTTTGTCTTCTCTGCCTTCTCTTCACCTCCACAGCTCAGACCTCTGCTGCCTCTTGCCTGGATCCCTCCAACAGCTTCCCTCTAACAGTCTTTTCCCCATCTCGTGTCCTTCTCTCCTCCAATCAGTTCTGCACCCTCTAGCCACAGAAATCTGATCATCTCATTCCCCTACTGGAAACCTTCATTCAAGTGTAGACTCAGGATGAAATCTAAACTCAAGCATGAGGACGGGCATGGTGGCTCATGCCTGTAATCCCAGCATTTTGGGAGGCCGAGGCGGGCAGATCACTCGAGGTCAGGAGTTCAAAACCAGCCTGGCCAACACGGCGAAAACCCATCTCTACCAAAAATACAAAATTAGCTGGGCATGGTGGTGCACATCTGTAATCCCAGCTACTCGGGAGGCTGAGGCAGGAGAATGTTGAATCCAGGAGGCAGAGTTTGCAGTGAGTGAGCCAAGATCATGCCACCGCACTCCAGCTTTGGTGACAGAGCAAGACTCTGTCTCAAAACAAAAACAAAAACAAACAAATAAACTCAAGCATGCTATACAAGGCCTCCATAGTCAGACCTTCACTCCCTTCTTCAGCCTCACCCTCCCTGAGCTCCTTTTTACCAAACATGTTCCATCTCCAGCCATGCTGAACTATTTCTGTTCCTCCATGATGCCATGCTCTCTCTCACCACCAGCTCTGTGCACACATTGTTTTTTTCTTTTTCATGAAGCCGTGCTCTCTCTCACCACCAGCTCTGTGCACACATTGCTTTTTCTTTCTTTTTGCAAGAACTCCTACTTATCTTGCAAGTCTCAACTTAGATGTTCCTTCTTACAGAAAGATTTTTTGGTCTCAAGACTAGTTTATACTCCTATCCTTCCCAGTGTATATCGCTAGGGTAGAAATTCTCATTCTGTTTTAGAAGAACCTTTTTGCTTGTCCTCACTAAGCTACAACTTCCTTTGGAGCAGGGACAATAGGGACAATAGTTTGATTGCTGTTGTATGCACGGTGCGTGGCACATGGTACACACTAAGTAAATACTTATTGAACAAATGAATACATGAAGAAATGACTGGAGCCCCATGTCAGGTGCAAAAGGTGAGGTTTGGAAGGGCCAAGTAAATTACTCAAGGTCACCCAGCCGGAATCTGAACTAAGATCCCTCTGGCTTCACAGCCAAGGAGCCCCTGTCGGGTGATGGGGCACCTCATCTTTTGAGCTGCATTTGCTTTGCTAGTCCCTGGCCTCTGGCTCAGAGATGTTGACATTGGCTCCCCTAGCTCAGTGGGCATTAAATTCCTATGACGTTCAGGGGTAGTTTCTCTCTCCAGCTGGCCCCACTTGGGTCTGCCAAGGTCCCGCAGCTGCTTTCCATCAGCCCAGTGCCTGTCACAAGAGACCCCAGCCCTGGAGGGAGCCAGGTGGGGTCACCCCCTTTCTCTACCAGGCTCCTTCGACCTGCCCCTCTTTCTCCTCTCCCTTCCTCAATACCCCATTGGAACATGCATTTTCTCTCCCTCTGGCACCCAGAGAGACACAGGCTATGAGAGTTTTGATGGGGGATGCAGGGTGGAAAGTGTGAGGGAGGCAGCATTTTGGTACCCTCGCTGATTGCTCCCTTAATGAGCTGTGGTGTGAGTTCCGTTTTGGCCAAATTCACAGGATGCTGCCCTCCTGGGGAGAAGTTGGGGCTGAAAGTTGAGATTATTTTGCAGCTTCTGAAGCAAACATCCACTCAGAAAACATGATGTCACCAAGGATGGTTGGATTACCCTGCAGGGCGCTGGCAGCAAAGACTCCCTCCCATCTCCAGCTCAGCCTCCCTCCAGAGAGGACACGTAGAACACTCATTTCCAAACAGTAGGCATGACGCTTCTGAAATGAGGTGCCCAGTGTCTTCTGTGTGTGCGTGTGTGTGTGTGTGTGATGGAATCCTAGAAACTAGTCATATGAAACAACCCCCATTGCAGACGCTCTGTGAATGCTGTTAGTAACCAACTAACTGTCTACACAGCTGGAACCACAGCTAGTTCAGGAAACTTCCCTCTAGTCCAGCCCAACCCAGGGTCTTTCACACGGACCTGAAGGAAGGTGAGGAGTGTGCTAACTTGATGACTGATACTTTGATATTTATTTTGTCTTTGCGAGGCAGCACTGAGATCCAGGAATCCGTGAAGATATTCACTATTTTAAAAAATTAAATTTATTCTTTAAAATTATTATTATACATTTTGAGGTGGGGTATTGCTCTGTCACCCAGGCTGGAGTGCAGTGGCATAATCATAGCTCATTGCAGCCTTGACTTCCTGGGCTCAAGCAATCCTTCCTCCTAAGTCTCCTGAGTAGCTGAGACTACAGATGCGTGCCACTAAGCCTGGTTAATTTTTTCAATTTTTGTAGAGACAAGGTCTTGCTGTGTTGCTCAGGCTGGTCTCAAACTCCTGGGCTCAAGTGATCCTCCTGCCTCTGCCTCTCAAAGCACTGGAATTATAGGCATGAGCTGCTGTACCTGGCCAATATTCACTCTTCTTGTTAATATTCTTTCTCCTTTCCCTCTTTCACTCCTTTCCTTTAGCTTTGACTTCTTCCTTACTTTGGATGTTCCTCTTTCCCCTTTCTCCCTTCCTTCTGCTTCCTCTTCCTTGCCCTCTCTCCCCTTAAGCTAATTACTTTTAACCTTTATTTATCCATTATTAAATGCCAGCCCCTCATCCTGCTTAACACCTTATGTGTAGTGTATCATTTCATCAAAACTCTTATTTTCCATTATGTTTTTTTCCCCACAGGTATTTTTTTCTCACTGTAAAAAAAAAAAAAAAAAAAAAAAAAAAAAAGTAGAAAGCACAGGTAAGCAAAAAACAAAAAACCACACACAAAACCACAAACTTTAAGTTACCCACAATCACATTGTTGCCATTTTGCTGTAGGTTCTCCCAGATTTCTGTCCAAGAATGAACCCTCCAGAACCTCCTAGGAGATTCTTTCCAGGTCCGGAGTCCTGGGTTTGTAGTTCAAGCCCCATCTTGAAGGTGCTGTGCAACCTTGAACAGATCCCCCCCAACCCTAGTCTCAGTTTATCCAGACTGCACCTGCATCCTGGGAACAGGCATGGCTGTGCGTTTGATAACCACACCCATTGCCGGTTGGGAGACCAGGTTTTTCTCTCAAGGGAGCCGCAGTCTGTTGCCTTTTGCCACCATTTTGCAAATCAGATCTCAATTCTGGGCCCACCCAGCCACCCCATCCTGTCCCCTCCAGCCTCACCCTGACTTCTCAGCTTTCACTTTTTTCTGCTGATGGGTTGGAAATTGCTACTCTCCTGTTTTCTCTCCACCTGCACTAACAAACCCCAAGTGCTGCCCCCAGCACGAATCCCTGGTTCCCGGGTCCTCTGCCAGGTGCAGGTGCTGCGGCTTCATGTTCAAAGGATTCTGGGCACTGCGCTTTCTCCCTTGATGTGCCCAGCCAGGCTGCGGGGATGGGAGGCTCCTCTCCTGTGCGGCTCAGGCTGTTTTTCTCCCCAGAGCCTTGTGGCCAAGTTTCCGTGGCCCTGTGCTCTGGACCCTGGGCCAGGGCTGTGGTGTGGGCAGCCTTGAGGCCCTGGGTTCCATGCCAGTTCTCGACAGGAAGGCCTTTCATGTGGGTGCCAGCTGGCCTCTGGGCCCAGCTTCGGGCCTGGCAGGGCCTGAGGAGGGAGAGCTGCGAGTGTGAAAAACACTTTCTGTTTGGGAGCTGGTTGGTGGGAAGGAAAGACAAGAGGGAGGGGGACAGGCAGGTCAAAGAGCTTACCCAGGTTTAGAGGAGCGAGGCCAAGGTGCCCCTGTAGAAATGAGGCGATTCGGCCTTTCCTCCCCAAAAAGAGGTCTTGGCAGAGATACAAGGAAGCAAAGTCTGTTGGGTGGGGATGGAAAACACTTTCCCAAGCCTGCCTTCACTCCCTCCCTCCCCCGGGCTCACTGAGCCTAATCAGGTCAAGCACGCAGCTCCCTGCCAGACACTGTGGCATTGTTTAAAGCCGCTGCCTCCCCAGTACCCTCTCCCCACAGAACTGAGTTCTGACAAAGGAGGCCCTGAGGGACAGGGCTGAGAGGACAGAGACCCAAGGTCCAGGGACGCGTCACTCCCCTATGGCTCGCTCTCCTTCCCACTGGTTATTGTTTTTCTACCCTGGACCCCAGGGAGAAAAGGAGCCAGGCCCTGGCAAACCTGAAGGCTGTTTGTGTTGACATAAAGGCACTTTCTGAGCAAACAGCACTGAAAGGTCAGCAGTAACCCCAGGCAGTGCCAGGACTGGGCAGCGGGTTTGGGAGGTGTGGAGAGAAAGGAAACTGTGGGCCACTTGGGGTCGGATGACTTCACCAGAAGAAGAAGAAAAGCCAGCCAGGCTGCAGGGAGGGGGCTTCCTGGAGATGGAGCCCTGGAAGACCTTGGCTACCCCATAAAACTTAAATAGGACTTGAAGTCAGTTGTTTATCTGCTTTCCAGAACACCAATGACATGGGAGAGAGGCTGGCGCCCTAGGCAGGACCCAAGCGAGCCTGGTGTCTGGGGCAGGATCTGCCACTACGCTTGGCTTTCTCACTGTAGGACTCAGTTTGCATGGGAAACCAAAGGAGAATTTCAAGTGTCCTACTCACACATATTCTAGCCTTTCAGGAAACATTTACTGAGCATACATCACCCACCTGATAGGGGGCTAAGCCTGGGAATGCTTTCAGAGATGAGTAGCACAAGGTCTCAGATAAGGTGACCCATTTTCCCCGTTTGCCTGGGCCTCCCAGTTTTAGCACTGAACATCCCTTAGCTCAGGAAGCCCAGGAAACCCTTTGGTTTGGGGCATACTTGGTTGGTTGGTCACCCTAGCATCAGTCATCAAGCAGCTCACGATCTGCAAACAATGGTAGACATACGAGTGATATAATAGAGGGTGCACAGGCATGGGAGGTCAGGTGAGCTCAGCTCCCTGCCTCACCTGAGCTCCCGTGCCTGTGCACCCTCTATTGGCTATGATCACACCACTGCACTCCAGCCTGGGTGACAAAACAAGACCTTGCCACTAAAAAAAAGAGAAAGAAAGAAAAGAAAGAAAGAGAGAAAGAGAAAGAAAGAGAGGAAGGAAGGAAGGAAAGAAAAAGCTACTTTTTGAATGAAAGAATGAAAAAGCATCTCTCAGCTAGGAAATGTCTTGCCATGATGACACCTGTGTTCAATGGGGAGCTACGAGAACATTTTAAAAAAATCTACTGTACTGAGGCATAATTTACATATAATACAATGCATACACTTCAATGTAGACTTTGATGAATTTTAACAAATATATACACTCAGTAACTGTTAAATCAATCAAAATATTTATAGCACCCCAGAAACTTCCCTATTTCTCTTTTGTAGTTAATCCCATCCTAACCATCCCATCCCAGGTAACCACTTACCTGATTTCTGTAACTATAGATTCATTTTAGTTTTTCTAGAACATCATCTCAATGGAATAATACAGTCTGTACTCTTTTGAGTGACTTCCTCTACTCAATGTGCTTTTGAGATTTATCCAAGTTGGTTTGCATATCACTAGTTTTTTTGTTTTTTTTTTACTGGTGAGTATGGATTTATCATAATTTTTCCATGCATTTGCCTATTGATGAACATTTGACTTGTTTCCAGTTTTTTGCTATTCTGGACAATGCTGTTGTGAATAGTATGTACAAATTTTGGTATAGAAAAACATTTTCATTTCTCTTGGGTAAAAACCCAGAAGTGAAATTGCTGGATCATAGGTTAAGTATGTGTTCAGATTTATAGGAAATCACCTAACTTTTCCAAAAGGGTTGTACCACTTCACAGTTTCACCATTAATGCATGAGAGTTCTCGTTGCTCCACATCCTCACAACATTTTGTATTGTTGGTTTTTGAAATTTTAGCCATTCTAGTGGTATCTCAGAGTGGTTTCATTTGCATTTCCCTGATGATTAATGAAGCTGGAACACTTTTTCATGTGCTTACATGGTCATTCATATACTTTTCTTGCAAAATGTCTGTTCATGTCTTTCATCTTTTTTTTTTTTTTTATTTTTGAGGTAGAGTTTTGCTCTGTTGCTTAGGCTGGAGTGCAGTGGTGTGATCTCAGCTCACTGCAACTTCCACCTCCTGGGTTCAAGTGATTTTCCTGCCTCACCCTTCCAAGTAGCTGGGACTACAGGAGCCCACCACCATGCCCAGCTAATTTTTGTATTTTTAGTAGAGACAGGGTTTCACCATGTTGGCCAGGCTGTTCTTGAACTCCTGGCCTCCAGTGATTTGCCCATCTCGGCCTCCCAAAGTGCTGGGACTTTCATCCATTTTTAATTTGAGCTGCATGTCTTTTTCTTATTGAGATGTATGAGTTCTTTATGTATCCTGAAAGCAAGTCCTTTGTCTCATATATGTATTGCAAATATTTTCTCTTATTCTGGGATTTTTTTTCTTTTCATGTTCTTAAAGGGATATTTTAAAGAATAGAGGGTTTTAATTTTGATATAATCCAATTTATCAAAATTTTTCTCTTATGGTTTGTGACTTTCATGACCATATTTCTTAAAGTCACAAAAATTATCTTATGTATTTTTTAAGAAGTTTTATAGATTTAGTTTTTACATTTAGGTTTGTGGTCCATATCAGATGAATTTTTGTGTATTATATGAGGTAATATCAAAGTTTGTTTTTTGCATATAAAAATCATTTGTTGAAAAGACTTTGAAATCATTGGTGTCTTTGGGGAAAATCAATTGATATATATGTGTAAATCTATTTCTGGATCTCAATGTGGTTCAATTGATCTATATGTCTGTCCTTACACCATTATCTCATTGTCTTAATTACTGCTGCTTTAGAGTAAGTCTTTTTTTTTCTTTCTGAAATTTTAAATTTTTATTTTTTGTAGAGTTGGGGTCTCACTATATTGTCTAGGCTGGTCTGGAACTTTTGGGATCAAGTGATCCTCCTGCCTGAGCCTCCCAAAGTGCTGGGATTGCAGGTGTGAGCCTCCATGACAGACCTAGAGAACGTCTGGATATTATGTAGTATAGGCCCTCCAACTGAACTCTTCTTCAAAATTCTGTGGATTTTCTAGATCCTTTGCACTTTTATATACATTTTTAGAATCAGTTTTGTCAGTGTCTTTAAAAACAAGGCTGCCGAGGCCTGGCACAGTGGCTTACGCCTGTAATCCCAACAACTCATGAAGCTGAGGTGGGAGGGTCACTTGAGCCCAGGAGGTCAAGGCTGCAGTGGACTATGATCATGCCACTGCACTCCAGCCTGGGTGACAGAGCAAGACTCTGTCATTTACAAAAAAGAAAGAAAGAAAAATAAGGCTGCTGGGATTTTGATTGGAAGTGTGTAGGATATGTAAAAGAATATAGGAAAATGAACGTCTTTTTTTTTTTTTAATTTTTATTTGAGACGGAGTCTTGCTCTGTCACCCAGGCTGGAGTGCAGTGGCGCAATCTCGGCTCACTGCAAGCTCCGCCTCCTGGGTTCCCACTATTCTTCTGCCTCAGCCTCCCAAGTAGCTGGGACTACAGGCGCCCGCCACCATGCCCGGCTAATTTTTTGTATTTTTAGTAGAGACAGGGTTTCACCATGTTAGCCAGGATGGTCTCGATCTCCTGACCTCATGATCCACCTGCCTCGGCCTCCCAGAGTGCTGAGATTACAGGCGTGAGCCACTGTGCCCAGCCATGAACGTCTTATTAATGTGAGTTTTCTTATACATGAACATGAGATATATATATAGATAGACAGATAGATAGATACCACTATATATATATATCTCCATTTATAAAGATATTTAAAAATTTCAGCAATATTCTGTACTTTTTACTATAAAGATCATGCCCATCCTTTACTAAATTCATTCCTATATATTTTATATTTTTATGCTGTTGCTAAATGATTACTTAATTTTAATTTTCTTATTTTTTGCTCCTAGTATATAGAGATGCAATGGGTTTTTGTATATTGGCCTTCTATATTATGATATTGGTAAATCACTTTTTAATAATTGCCATTTTCTTGTAAATTCCCTAGGATTTTCTATACAAACAACTATGCTGTCTGTGAATAAATACAGCTTTATATTTTTCCTTCCAATATGTATTTCTTTGTTTGTCTTATTTCGTTGGGGAGGACCTCTAGTCAAATAGAATAAAAGTGTTGGGAGATGAGATCCTTGCCTTATTTCTGGTTTATAAGGGAAAACATTTAGACTTCCACCATTAAATTTGCAATTAGCTATCCCTGGTGCTCTTGTTGTCATATCAACTTGACACATTATAAATCCAATCTCCAGTCTTATCTTAAAATAGTCTTAAAATAATCTTCCCTTACAATAGTCAGTTGTCTCTCAAGAGAATTCAGAGAGAAAAAAATCCATGCATTTTAATATTTACGTTCTAATTTACCACTTCTGCTGCTCTCCACTCCTTCTTGCAGATCCAAGTTTCTGTTTCCTGTTAATATAAAGAATACCCTTTAGCAATTTTTATAGTACAGATATACTGGCTATGAATTCTGTGAGCTTTCATTGATCTGAAAATGTCTTTGTTTTCCTCTCATTTCTGAAGGCTATTTCCACTGGATATAAAATTTTGTTGTTAACAGTATTTTCTTTTTAAAATATCAAATATTTCAGATTTCTGGTTCTGAGGATATAGCAGAGGTGACGTGGGATTGAAAGTGTATTAGTCTGTTCTCACACTGCTAATAGAGACATACCCAAGACGGGTAATTTACAAAGGAAAGAGGTTTAATGGACTCATAGGTCTGTATGGCTGGGGAGGCCTCACAATCATGGTGGAAGGCAAACGAGTAGCAAAGGCACGTCTTACATGGATGATGGCAGGCAAAGAGAGAGTGAGAACCAAGTGAAAGGGGTTTCCCCTTATAAAACCATCAGATCTTGTGAGACTTATTCACTACCAGGAGAACAGTATGAGGAAACCACACCCATGATTCAAGTATCTCCCACCGGGTCCCTCCCACAACACATAGGAATTACGGGATCTATATTTCAAGATGAGATTTGGGTGGGGACACAGCCAAACCATATCGGGAGGGTTCTTTCTGGAAGCACTGCCCAAGGCAGGTCTGGTGGGGCTCTGAGTAGGGCACAGTGGGATATGATATTTACTTTCACGACAAGAAAGTCCTGTTGCTAGAATTGGGTCCAAATGAAGTACTAGAGAAGCAAAAACAACAATTGTTCAGCTCCATTTCCCCTAAGTCTGCAGGCTTCTCAGTAGTTGATGCCTCAGGCCACATCTGCAACATGAGTTACAGGGCATTTCGGGAAATGCAGGCGTGGGACGCCTGCTCAGAGGCCTCAGTGATGCTTGATAAGGAGAATTTAGATGACATGGGCTATAAATTGGAGAACGATGTCATCATGCATGCTCTCACTAAGCAGCTGCAGGCTGCGTCTGCTGAGGCCCCATCCACCATCTTCCCTTTGCTCTGGGAAGTGAACTGCCTTAGGACACACTGGAAGAAAGGATGCCTTTTACAGACACTGAGTGTCTACTATGAATAAATCCTCTGATGGCTATCTCAGGGTTGTTCTTTCTTTTTTCTTTTTTTAAATCAGGTTTTTCAGGATACAACTTACATACCATAAAATTCACCCATTTTAAGTGTATAATTCCATGATTTTTAGTTCATTTATACAACTGTGCAACCATTACCATGATATCATTTTAGAACATTTTCATCACCTCAAAAAGAAACCTCATGCCCAATGATAGTCATTCTCCATTCCCATCACTGCCCCTGGCAATGACTAATCTACTTTCTGTCTTTCTAGATTTGCCTCTTCTGGACAATTCATATAAATAGAATCATAAAATATGTAAAACAAAAACAAACTGGTCAGGCTCAGTGGTTCACCTGTAATCTAAAAGGGCCTATAATCTCAGCACCTTGGGAGGCTGAGGCAGGAGGATCACTTGAGGACAATAGTTTGAGACCAGCAGTTTGAGACCAGCCTGGGCAAGAGTGAGACTCTGTCTCTACAAAAAAAAAAAAAAAAATTAGCCAGGTGTGTTGGTAGGCACCTGTAGTCCTAGCTACTTAGGAGGCAGAGGCAAGAGGATTGCCTGAGCTCAGAAGTTTGAGGCTGCAGTGAGCCTTGTCACTGCACTCCAGCCTGGGTGACAGAGTGAGACTCTGTCTCCAAAAAAATTTAAAAGCAAAACAAAACAAAACAAAAAATACTGATTCAAAGATTTCATTTCATTGTTTCTGATCTCTACTATTTCTGATGAGATTCAGTGGTTTTTAATAACAGTGTTCCTCTGTATGTGCTTTTATTTCTAGCTGTTTTAAATATTTTCTCTTGGCCAGGCATGATGGCTCATGCTTGTAATCCCAGCATTTTGGAAGGCCAAGGTGGGAGGATTGCTTGAGGCCAGGAGCTCGAGACCAGCCTCAGAAACACAGTAAAACCTTGTCTCTACAAAAATATTTAAAATTAGCCAGGCATGGTGGCATGTGCCTTTAGTCCCAGCTACTTGGGAGGCTGGGGCAGGAGGATTGCTTGAGCCCAGGAGTTCAAGGCCACAGTGAGCTATGATCATGCCACTACACTCCAGCCTGGGCAAAATCTTGTCTCAAAAAAAAAAAATTAAAATAAAAAAAATCTTTATTCCTAGTTTTGAGCAGTTTGAGTAGTAGGTGCATAAGTGCAATTTTTGTTTGTATTTATCCTCAAAGTTTTTTTTTGAGTGTCCAATTTCATGTGTGTTAGAACATTCGATATTTTCCCATATGCCCATGAAGTTCTGTTTATTTTTCTACTGTATTTTTTCTTTATTCTTTAGTGTGGATATATTCTCTTGATTTGTCTTTAAGTTTATGACTTTTTTCATTTCCAATGTGCCATTAAATTCATTCAATAAACGTTTTAATTTATTTATTGTAATTTTCAATTTCAGAATTTCCATTTGTTCTTTTTTATAACTCCCAATTCTCTGCGGAGATTCCCTATTTTGTCACTCATTATGACGATATTTTCCTTTAGTTCTTTGAACATATTATCATATTTTAGTGTTTGTCTGCTAATATTTAGGTTACCTCTGGATTAGTTTCTATTGCCTAAATTTTTCTTGACAATGGGTCACATTTTTCTGGTTTATTTTTCCTATAGTTAGTAATTTTTTATTTGCTATTGTGTGTCAGTTCTCTAAGTGTGTCAATGACATGCTTTAGAAACTATGGAGTCTGTTATTTACCCGTGAAGAACATTAATTTTTGGTCCAGCATACACTTCAGTCACTAGCTGATCCCCTTGAACTTGTCTTGACTGTATTTTATGCTTTGTTATGGCAAATCTGTGAAAAACCCAGACCCTCTAACTTCATAGCACTCAATCTCCAAACTCAGATTTATTTCAGGGCTTGGTTTTAGTTAGTTAGTTTCTTTTTAGGGTGGATCTATAATAGGCTATACTCCAGGGTGTAGTCCTTACTCCTAAAGCACAGCTTCTGTGATGTCTCAGTCTGATGCCTGAGATATTAACAAGGTGTTAATGGCATCTCTCCATTCTGGCTGGTCTGGATCTCCAATATCCCCAGGGCTTCTTTATCTCTTATATTTGGTTCAATTCATAACTCCTTATCAGCCTCTCTGGTAATCCTACACGATCTTACCTTGTGCATGTGCATCGAAACCCTCATCTAAGACCCCATGCGTGACCCAAACCTACAACTGTAGGGCCCCTTCCCTGCACATCTCTCTCTTCTTCACAATGCCTTGCCCTTCAGATTCCAGTTGCTTCAGCTGCCCCAAACTCTGAATTCTTGACTCCCCAGCTCAGCAAGGGGTCATCTCCTAGTAGGCCACCTATAGGCACAAATCTCTGTCTTTCTGTGGTCAACTTTCATTCCTCCTCCCTGTCCTCTGCTATCCTGGATGGGCCAAGTTCACAAATTAGGTCATAAACCACCTGTACATACCAAATTATCATGGAGGTAAGCTCCTTGCTGATCAGAGTACTTCTTACTCCCATACACTCCCCTAATTCTGCTTCTCAACCGTCCATTTCCTCAACTCCCTGCTCATTCCTTTCTTCTTCAACACATGGTTTTCCTCACCTTACTTTCTTTCCTAGGATATTAAAATAGGATAAAATATGTCATTACTGTATTTTAAAAATTATTATTTTTAAAATTTCTTGTTTCTTGGGCCACATGAATATGTATCTCTATATCTCTGTGTAGATCAGTTTGTATATACATGAGCACATGGCGGGTGTTCCTGCATATGCTGGTAAGAGTGTATGTGGCATATTTTCCGTAGAATGAAGTTGGAAGAATAAGGCTGGAGGATATTCAGTGGGAGAGAACTACCTTTGCTAAGCAGTGACTCTGAGTCCAGGCATAAAATATACTCTTTATGTAGAAATCTGATTTAATCCTCATTATTCCCCTATGAAGTAAGGATTCTTACTTTCATTTTTCAGAAAGAAAACAGAGGCTTAATGAGGCAAAGGCAACATGTCCAAGACCACACAGCTGGTAAGCAACAGAGCAAGGATTCAAATTGTGAACCCAAAATATCTGAGACAGGTCTCAGTTAATTTAGAAAGTTTATTTTGTCAAGGTTAAGAATGCACCTGTGACATAGCCTCAGGAGGTCCTGATGACTTGTGCCCAAAGTGGTTGGATACAGCTGGCTTTTACACATTTTATGGAGACATAATTCATCAAACGATACCTGTAAGACGTACATTGGTTCTATCTGGAAGGGTAGAACAACTTGAAGGAGGGGCTTCCAGGTCATAGGTAGATTTAAACACTTTCTGATTGGCAATTGGTTGAAAGAGTTATTATCAGTAGAAAGGAATGTCTGGATTACAAGAAGGGGTTGTGGAGACCTAGTTTTTATCATGCAGATCAAGCCTCCAGGTAGCAGGCTTTAGACAGAATGGACCGTAAGTGTTTCTTATTAGACTTAAGATCTGTGTTGATGTTAATGCTGAGGGGTATAATGAGGCATGTCCAACCCCCACTTCCATCATGGCCTGACCAAGATTTTTATGTAATTCTGGAATGCCCTTGGCTGAGAGGAGTGATCCTTTCAGATAGTTGGGGGAGCTTTAGAATTTTATATATATTTTTTACAAAACCAACATCTCTCCAGCTCAAATCAGAACTCTTTCCACTCTATAATAGTCTCTCCCCAGAAAGAGTCAGTTAAGAAATGTGATCAAAAGGTATGTAGTTCCCTGACTTATGAAGTTGGAATTTTAAACCCTGTAAAATATTTGAAGATATTTATTCTGAGCCAAATATGAGTGACTATGGCCGGAGGCACAGTCTCAAGAGGTCCTAAGAACATGTGCCCAATGTTGTCAGGCTACAGTTTGGTTTCATACATTTTAGGAGGACTTAAGACATTAATCAATACATATAAGGTGTACATTGGTTTGATCCAGAAAGGCAGGACAACCTAAAGTTGGGGAGGGGTTTCAGGTCATAGGTGGATAAAGATTTTCTTTTCTTTTTCTTTTTTTTTTTTTTTTTGAGACAGAGTCTCTCTCTGTTCCCCAGGCTGGAGTGCAGTGGCATGATGTTGGCTCACTACAGCCTCTGCCTCCTGGGTTCAAGTGGTTCTCTGCCTCAGCCTCCCAACTTGCTGGGACTACAAGTGCACAGCACCATACCTGGCTAATTTTTGTATTTTTTTGTAGAGACAGGGTTTTGCCATGTTGCCTGAGCTGGTCTCGATCTCCTGGCCTCAAGTGATGCACGTGCCTTGGCCTCTCAAGGTGCTGGGATTACAGGCATGAGCCACCATACCCGGCCTAGATTAAGATTTTCTGATTGAAAGAGTTAAGTTATTATCTAAAGACCTGGAATCAATAGAAAGGAGTGTCTGGGTTAAGATAAGGGGTTGTGCAGGCCAACATTCTTATTATGTAGGTGAAGCTTCCAGGCAGCAGGCTTCAGAGAGAATAGATTGTAATTTTTTTTAATCAGGCTTAAAAAGATACCAGACACTTAGTTAATTCTCTCCTGGATCAGGGAAAGATCTGGAAAGGAAAGAAGATTCTCTACAGAATGTAGATTTTCCCCACCAGAGACAGCTTTGCAGGACCATTTCAAAATTCATAACAGATATATATTTGGGGTAAAATACATTGATTTCTTTCAGGACCTGCTGTCACATGATGTATCTTATTGCTACAAATAGTCTGTTCTATCAGTTTTGTTTTTTTTTTTTTTTTTGAGATAGGGTTCACTCCTGTTGCCCAGGCTGGAGGGCAATGACGTGATCTCAGCTCACCACAACCTTCACCTCCCAGGTTCAAGTGATTCTCCTGCCACAGCCTCCCGAGTATCTGGGATTACAGGCATGTGCCACCACACCCGGCTAATTTTGTATTTTTAGTAGAGACGGGGGTTTCTCCATGTTGGTCAGGCTGGTCTCGAACTCCCGACCTCAGGTGATCCACCCAAAGTGCTGGGATTACAGGTGTGAGACACCTTACATGGCCTGTTCTATCAGTTTTAAGATCTCTGTTTTAATGTTAATGCTGGTGGTTGTGCTTGAATTCCAAAGGGAGGAGGGTATAATGAGGTATGTCCAACTCCCCCTTCCCATCATGGCTGAACTGGTTTTTCAGGTTAATTTTGGAATGCCCTTGGCTGAGAGGAGGGGTCCATTCCTTTGTTTGGGGGGTTTGGAACTTTATTTTTGGTTTACAGAATGGACAGGAGATACATAGGGAAGTAGACTCATGATCTGGCGTTGTCTTATTGGAATTGCTGGATCTTAGGGGTCTTTTATGATAACCTCCTACCTGAAACCTGAGTGATCTGGGAGGCTTTGTGATCAGGCACTGGTGAATGATAAGGGTGGGAGAACTTTGTTGAGAGGATCAGAGATTTGAGTAATGAAGAAGTGCAGAGAGGGAATCATAGGACACACAAGGAAATGGGCCCAAGGTCTAGGAGAAAAAGGGATTGAGGATGAAGTCAGGAGGAAGAACAGAACCCTCACATGACAAAAGGGCTATTTGTGCACTGAAATTTACAGGAATTGCCAGAGGTAGGATTAATGCAGCAGACGGAGGGACTTCCCAAAAGAGACAGCGGTTCACTGGGTGCAAGCAGCCTGCCCTTGGCTCCACAGGGGCTGCCAACGTGAACTATAATCAGGATGAAACAAGCAGTCAGGCTGGAAACGTTAGCATGTTAGGAAAGTATATTGAAATGAACATGATGTCATGACAAGCACAAAAAGAAGGGAATCAGTTTGAAAAAGAGAAGAAAGTAAAAGGAAGTAAGAATCTCTCTGAGATTCTGTCACTCTGGCCAAGGAAGTAAGACTGGGGTTGGGGTGGGGTCCAGACGCATGATCCTTAGAAAGCTGTGCTTTCTAATGAGGACTGATGAATTCCTAGGCTTTCCCCAAACTGGATTAAATGTAAATACTCCTTGCTTTGGAAAGGCAGCCTGCCTTCTTTACTGTTTTATATTTTAAAATATAAATGATTGCTTAAATTTCACAAAATTCAAAAGGGGCAGAAGAGTATACAGGGAAAAGTTGCTCTCCCTTCTATATCTGATCTTCAGTTCCCTTTTCCAAAGGCAGATGCTATTACCAGGCTTTTACGGATCTTTTCAAAGGTAGTCTCAGCATTTAAAAACATCTATGCATATGGCCTGGCGTGGTGGCTTATGCCTGTAATCCCAGCACATTGGGTGTCTAAGGAGGGAGGATCACTTCATGCTGGAAGGTTGAGACTAGCCTGAGCAATATACAGAGACCTCCTCTCCAAAAAAAATTAAAAAATTAGCCAGGCATGGTGGTGTGTGCCTATAGCCAGGCAGAGGTGGGAGGATCCCTTGAGCCCAGGAATTTGAGGCTACAGTGAGCTATGATCTTGCCACTGCACTACAGCCTGGGTGACAGAACGAGACCCTGTCTTATAAAAAAAAAATTTAAAAACTGTATATATTTATACTTTCACACAAATGATAGCTCTTTTGCACATTGCTTTTTAAAACTTTTTAACTTTTTAAATGTATTTTTGAAATTATTCCTTATCAGTACATAAAGAGCTGTCTTATTACTTTTTAACAGTCACATAATTTTCCATCTTAGAAATGTATCATAATTTAGGTAGCCTCCTGTTAATGGAAATTTAGGTTAATTTACAATCTTTTGCTATTACAGACTGCTTCAATAAATATCCTTGAACATACATCACGTCATGTGTGTGAGAGAAAGAGGGAGACAGAGAGGCAGAGAGATACAGAAGGAGAGAATGAGAGAGAGAAGACGTGAAGATGCAGAGTCAAGGGCACGAGCGTTTTGAGATGTGGAGAATATTTGCCCCCTTCTTTAAATGTGCGCTGGCTGCTCATGTGCTGACTAGGTGGGGCTGGCCTGTGGACTCCCTGACTGATGGGAGGAAACTGTCAGAGATACCAAGATATACGCTGTTTGTCTCAGTTCTTGCGACAACACGGTGAGGCATGGAGGTGAGTAATTCCTGTATTTTATCCCAGAGTGTTAAGATCAGAAGGGGCTAGAAATTCCAAAGTAACACAGTGACTTCTGATCAGTCTCTTGGGTACTCTAATACTGGAAAAGGTAGCCTCTCTGAATAACAGATACAGATATTTGGTCTCTAGAAGTAAGTCGTTTAAAAAAATCTTTATTGTATTTATTTATTTTGGTAGAGATGAGGTCTTGCTATGTTGTCCAGGCTGGTCTTGAATTCCTGGCCTCAAGAAATCCTCCTGGGTCAACTTCCCAAAGTGCTAAGATTACCAGCTTGAGCCACCGTGCCCAGCCTAGAAGGAAGTTGTGCTCATGATAAATACATAAACCGCCTTTCTGGCCCACACTGGTCTTTAGGATGGGCCCAGGATCCTCTGCTAGGTCCGGCCCAGCCTAAGCATAGCTGAGAGAGCACCGGGCCTCCCATCCCACTAGGTTCTGTGAGGACCTGGGGCCCTGCAAGGACCCAGCTGGGCCATCCCCAAACACACGGTTCCCAGCTTCTAGAAAAATTAGGTGTTTTCTCGATGCTCACACACCCACATCCAAACACAACAGCACTTGTGTCTTCGAAGAGAGGGCCTTGGTAATCCTGTCCTCCCACCCAGATCTGCTCTCTGTGCTGTGGGGAGGTTATGAGATATGAGTGGGTCACCGCTCAGTGCATTCCCAGCATCGCGTTGGGTCAGTGGCTTAGCTTGGAACCGGCTCAGGATAATCATGCTTTTCATCAGCCGCTCCCGTTTCCCTTCCTCGTTCCTCTTCCTTGTGAACTTCCACCCCCAGCCTGGCATAAAGCCCATTCACTCTCAGCATTCTAGGTTCTGGGGAAACAAAAGTAATTCCCACTGTCTCCACAAGCCCGCCCTTCCGTCGGAACTGGGGGTCCTTAGACCCTGGACCCAGAGAGTGGCTCCATTTCCTGTGGACACTTCCGGAACTGGTTTATCAAATCTCACTTCTTCGGATGCTTTTGGGCTGCCTGGACACACACACTCCTCCCAGACTCCGCTTTGGATTTTTGGGCCTGTTCTGATTGACTTGCTGTGGTCACTAACATTTTCAGGATGTTTCCCATGGAATTCCAGGTTCTAAGGAGGTGCCTTGGGGGCTGCTGCAGAGAGCCTCTTTAAACACAGAGCTCCCCAGCCCCTTCTTATAAAACACTGTGAAATATATCATACTTTTAAAAAAGAACAAAAACATACGCATGTATGTACAGTTGAAAAATAATTATAAAGCCAATACCTGTGTAACCTTCACCCAGGTCAAGAAATAAAATATTGTCAGAACCCTAAAAGCCCCGTGTGGCCCTCCCTAACCTACTTTAGATGTTTAAAGTTGCAGCTAAGAGCTCCCTTCCTAAGCAAGTCTGAAAAATGCTGGGTTAAGGGATTCCTTCCTGAATGCCCCTATAGCCATATTCACTATTGAATCTTGTACATTCCTGTTTTCTCTCCAGGTCTCAGAAGCTCTGAAACTTTGCTCTCTCCCTACCCCTGACTTCTACCTCCCAGGCTCAAGCAATCCTCTCACCTCAGCCTCCCGAGTAGCTGGGACTATAGGCACGTGCCACCATGCCTAGCTAACTTTTTTATTGTTTGTAGAGACAGAATCTCACTGTGTTGCCCAGGCTGGTCTTGAACTCCTGCACTCAAGCGATCCTCCTACCTCAGCCTCCCAAAGTACTGGGATTACAGGTGTGAATCACTGCACCTGGCTGGTTTTTTTTTTTTGCCAATATCAAGGACTTCCAGTTTTTTTCTTTATATTTATCTGTTGCTTTGTATTCACTTTCCCCCTCCTTCCCCATCATAAGTCATCACTGACCATCTATCATGAATACAACAAATCATTCCCTCCTGAAGATGGAAATAATTGTAGAGTACAAACCATACACAGGCCACTAATTACAGGGACAGACTGGTTACAGAATCCTGTTCTGTTTATCATTTTTCATTAGAATACTCAAAATGCAGGAGACATTTAATAAATATTTTTGAATAGTTGAAAGTTTCTTGGAACAGCTCCTACTATTCCGGTCCAGAATGTTCTTCCTCTTGGTGACTAAAGAAGCCATCAGATTCCTAGTTCTTCCTTGCTTTTCATTTTCTTTTTTGAGGTGGAGTTTCACTCTTGTCGCCCAGGCTAGAGTGCAGTGGTGCGATCTCAGCTCACTGCAACCTCCGCCTCCCGGGTTCAAGCAATTCTCCCACCTCAGCCTCCTGAGCAGCTGGGATTACAGGTGCCTGCCACCACACCCAGCTAATTTTTGTATTTTTAGTAGAAACGGGTTTCGCCATGTTAGCCAGGCTGGTCTCGAACTCCTGACCTCAGGAGATCCACCTGCCTTGGCCTCCCAAAGTGCTGGGATTACAGGCATTGGCCACCGTGCCTGGCCTGCTTTTTTTTTTTCTAAGTTAAGCATCCTCTGCCCCTCTTGGGCCAGACACCAGAGAGTTAGTCCCTCTGTACCTTTTACTATTTAGGTTTCTTTATTGAAATTTATAAGACCTCCAGTTCAGTGTTGAATAAGTGATAAATGCAGGCAGACTTTTGTCTTGTTCTTGATTCTAAAGACAATGCATTCTCTTCCTGCCTTCTGTCCTCCCTTTTTCTCTCTGCCTTTCTCTGTCTTTCTCACTCTCATTCTCTCTGTCTCTCTCCTAGCTCTCTTTCTTATTCTCTATTTTTATCATTCCCTCTACCCAGGGTCTTTTATTAATGAATATCCTGCAAGATTGAGGAAGGAGACTGGTTAGAGCAGGGGAAGTGTGGCTGTATTCAGAAACTCTAATATTGGCATCAGGCTCTGTGTCTCTACTTTCTTATGGTGGCTTCTTTCTGAGGTAGGGTCTTCTCTCCTATTCAGACAAATGGCCACAACAACTCCAGGCTTTCAGTCTTCTAAATTAGCAACCCAGAGAAGAGAAAGTGCCTCTTTTCTAATACTTCCAGCAAAATTCTGGGAGTGGACACTCTTTGGCTAATTGGTTCAACCTGGGTAAAAAGCCTGTTCCTGCAATCAAGGTGGTATTATCATTGGACAGACCTGAGTCACCTGCCCACCCCTGGGGGAAAGTGGTTGCTGAGATCAGCCCCATTTGAACCATATGAAGTTATTAAAGGTGTTTATCCAAAATAAAATAGGATTGTTGTTCACAATGGGGCCTGTCGAGGGGTGGGTGGGGAGCGGGAGAGCCTCAGGAAGAACAGCTGATGAACGCTGGGCTTAATACTTAGTGATGGGTTGATCTGTTCAGCAAACCACCATGGCACACGTTTACCTACGTAACAAACCTGCACATCCTGCACATGTACCCTGAACTTAAAATAAAAGTTGAAGATAAACAGAAAATAGGGGTGTTGTTACCTAAGAAGAGGGTGTGGATACTCGTAAACTAACACAACAGCTACCTGCTATAGGCAGCATCTGAGCTGGGTTTGCAGGATGGACAGGATTTAAGCCCAGAGCAATAAAGAACAAGGGAGAAATAAATGGTACATGCAGAAGCCAGGGAGGTGCGGTGTAGATGGTTGAACCAGCAGCCTGGCCCCCCAGGAGGCCCCATGATAGTGAACAGGGAAGCCTTGTGTCCTCCTTGTTTCTTACTAAAATACTTCTTTGTAGTATTATTATTTTTTGTCTTTAAAGTTTACATATATATGTATGTATGTATTTTTTTTTTTAAGAGACAGAGTCTCACTCTGTTGCTGAGGCTGGAGTGCAGTGGCACAATTATAGCTCACTGCAGCCTCGACCTCCCAGGCTCAAACGGTCCTCCCACTTCAGCCTCCTAAGTAGCTGGGACAACTACAGCTGTGCGCCACCACACCTGGCTAATTTTTTCCTTTTTTGTAGAGAAGGGGCCTCCCTATGTTGCCCTGGCTAGTCTCTAACTCCTGGGGTCAAGGAATCCTCCCACCTCAGCCTCTCAAAGCACTGGGGTTACAGGCATGAGCCACCACGCCCAGCAACAATAATTTCTTAACATAATCTAATAATAAAACCTGCATTCAAATTTCTATGATTTTCTTAAAAAAGCTTTTATTTATAATTTGCTTTGTTTAATTAAGATTCAAACACAGTCCGCACATTGCATTTGGTTGATGTATCTCTTCAGTCCTCTTTTTTCAACAAACTTTTATTTGAGGATTAACTTTAAGTGTCTTTTAATCTTTAACATCCTCTGTACACATTTCCCCCCCACCTCATGTGTTTATTTGTTGGAGAAACTGGATTTTACTGGGTTTGACTGGGCAGCACCTCCCCAGTCATAAAAATGGTGTTGTTTAACATGTTTCTTTCTTTGGAGCTCTTGCCTCTAAACTGAAGATAGGTCTAGAGGCTTGATTACACGTAGGGTGATTTTCTTTTGTTTTCTTTCTTTTTTTGACAAATCAACTTCATAGGTGGTGTTGTGTACTTTCCACTGCATCATAACGGGGGCAGGTCATGTCTGGTTCTCTTAAATAGAATACTTCCACTGCTTCAGCTTTCTGAAAGATGTGGGCATTTTGGGTACATACTATTTATTAGATCTAAAAGTTCCCTTTTATTCCTAGTTTGATAAGACTTTTCAAAAACTGTAAATGCATGCTCAATTTACTAAATGCCCTTTCTGCATCTATTTAGGTATTTTCTTTTCTGCTTTGGGTAACAGGATTTTCTGTTCTTATAAATTAAGTTAGAGGATGAGTTCTATTTTTTCAGTTCTCAGGAAGAGTTTGTGTTGGATTGGAGTTTTGACTTCTTTGAGTGTTTTGGTAGGATTTGCTTGTAGGTCTTTCTATGTGGACCTGTTGCTTTCCTTGTGGGAATATTTAAACCACTGATTCAATTTCTTGAATGGTTTCAGACCTATTCAGGTTTTCTACTTATTAAGTCAGTTTTGGTGAGTTATGTTTTCCTATGAATTTGTTTGTTTCATCTAAGTTTTCAAAATTATTGGTGTCAAATTTTCATAATATTTCCTTTTAATGTCACCTTTTCCATTGCTAATATTCTGTACTTATGACTTTTTTCATTTTCTTGATCAATATTGCATAGGGTTTGTTGTTGTTACCTGAAGAAGAGGGTGTGGAACTTTTGGCTTTCCAGGTCCTCTCCATTCTAAACTTTCTTTTTTCCATTTCACTGATTTCTACCCTTTATTATTTCCTTTCTACTTTCTTTGTGTGTGTTCTGGTACACTTCTTTAAACTTTTTTTTTACATTAATTAAAATTTTTTTTAGAGAAGTGTCTCACTATGTTGCCCAGGCTGGAGTGTAGTGACTATTCACAGATGCAATCAGAACTCCCTGCAGCCTCAAATTCCTGAGCTTAAGCAGATCCTCCTGCTTCAGCCTCTTGAGTAGCTGGGACTATAAGTGATATTGCATCCGGCCAAACTTCTTAAGTTGAACACTGAATTCATTTAATTCATTTATTTTAGCTTTTCTTCTTTTCCTTTTCCTTTTTTTTTTTTTTGACACAGCCTTGCTCTGTTGCCCAGGCTGGAGGGCAGTGGCACAATCATAGCTCACTGTAACCTTGAACTCCTCCCTCAGCCTCCCAAGTAGCTGGGACTATAGGTATGTACCACAATGCCTAGCAAATTATTATTATTTTTTGTAGAGATGGGATCTCCCTATGTTACCCAGGCTGGTCTAGAACTCTGGCCTCAAGTGATCCTCCTGCCTTAGCCTTCCAGAGTGCTGGGATTACAGGCGTGGGCCACAGCACCCAGACTTCTGTTTCTAATATGGATGTTCAAGGCTATTAATTTTCTCTCCAGTTGCTGCCTCAGCCACATTCCTCTACTTATTTTCATTATAAAATAGTTTGAAAATGTTTTCTATATTTATTTAAACTAATTTTTATTGCTTCTTTTTTGGCTCATGAGCATTTGGAAGTGAATTTCTATTTTTATGACTTTTTTTAAAGTTGAGTTTTACTTTATATTTAATGAAATGCACAGATCATGTGTGTTGTTTGATATGTTTTACCAAATGTAGATACCTGTCTAAATCACCCACCTGTTAACATAGAGACCATTTTCATGACAGCAAAAACATATGTTTTTTTCTATCAGCTCTTGCTCTTCCCTGCACAACGTGAGGCAAGGACTATTTTTATTTTTAGCATCACAGAGTAGCTTTGCCTTTTATAAAATTTAACATAAATGGAATCATACTATACGATTCTCTTTGTGTCTAGCTTCTTTTCTTCATTACATAGTTTTTGAGTTTTTTTCATGTCATTCCTTATATTTTATTGTCGTTCTCCTCTTTCCTGTTTTTCTTCTTCTTCCTTCTCTTCCCTGTTCTCCTCCTCCTCTTTCTTCATAGTGTCACATTTCATGAAAATACCACAATTTACTTACCCATTCTCCTGTTGATGGATATATGGGCTGTTTCCAGTTTGGGGCAAATATGAGTAAAGTTGGTATGAGTGTTTTTGTACAAGTGTTTTTGTAGACTATGTTTTTCTTTCTCTTGGGCAAATACCTAGGAGTGGAAATGCTGAGTCATCTGGTAGATGGGTGTTTACCTTCATAAGAAGCCAAACAGTTTTCCAAAGAGGTTCTACCATTTCATACTCCTACCAGGAAAATCCTAATATTTGACTTTTTATGTCTGTTTAAGTTTATTCTACTGAGTAAAATATTATATTCTAGTTGTTTTTAAATTAGTTTTATGATTCTATAATGTATAGTTTATATACAAAAAAGGCACACATATTATTGGGCATAATTTGGCAAGTCTTGACAAATGCACACACCTGTGTGTGTAACCACCACCCCTAATCAAGATATAGAACATTTCTCTCACCTCAGAAGATTTCCTTATGCTTCTTTACAGTCAATTACACCACTTCTGCCCTAGGTTACAATCTCATTTCTACCACGCTATATTGGTTTTGCCTCTTCTAGAATTTTACATAAATGGAATTACACATGATGTACCCTTTTTTTGTATGGCTTCTCTCAGTCAGCACATTTTGTTTTTTGAGATTCATCCATATTTTTGTGTCTAATGTTACTTATTCCTTTTGACTGTGGGTATGCCGCAACTTGTTTATCCATTCTCCTGATGATCGACATTTGTTTTTTGTGTGTTTTTTTTGTTTTTTGTTTTTTTAGTTTCTGGCTAATTATAAACAAATCTATGAATATTCTTGTACAATAATTTTTTGGATCTATGTTTTTATTTCTCTTGGGTAAATTCCTAGGAGTAGAATGGCTAGACTATTTGAGAGGTGTTTGTTTAACTTTTTAAGAAATGACCAAACTGTTTTTCAAAGTAGTTATCTATCAATACCTGTGAAAAGAAGGGAACAGGAAAACTAAAGAAAAAAACAAAGTGGTTACATAATTTTACATTCCCTATAACAATGTATGAGAGTTTCAGTTGCTTTACATCCTTGCCAACACTTGGTATGGTTTTCTTAATTTTAACTATTCTATTATGAGTGTAGTGGTTTTAATTTGCATTTCCTTGGTCACCTGATAGTTGTAAATGCTGACCATCTTTACACATGTTACATATTCTTCTGTGAAGTATCTGTTTAAACATTTCACCTTTTTTTGTGGACTATCTTCTTATTACTGAGATGCAAGAGATATTTACATATTCTATTTATAAATTATTTGTCAAATATTTTCTCCGAATGTGTAACATACCTTATCATTTACTTAAATAGACCTATTAATAAGCAGATTTTAATTTGGATAAAATCCAGCTTATCAATTTTTTATGGTTAATGTTTTTCTTGTTTTAGCTAAGAAAACTTTGTCATTCCAAGTTCATGATAGTATTTTCCTTTATCTAGAGGCTCTGTAATTTTTACTTTTATATTTAGGTCTTGATCCATCTCAAATTAATTTTTGTGTATATGATGAGGTAAACATCAAGATATATTTTTTTCCCATATGGATATCCAATTGTTCCAGCACCATTTTTTAAGAATTTCTTCCCCATTCATTTCTTCTGGTGCCTTTGTAAAAATGCAATTGACTATTATTAAATTCATCTCTGACTCTGTTCTATTCCATTTGACTATCTGCCTGTCTTTACATCAATACCACACTGTCTTGATTATAATATCTTTATAGTAACAAGCAATGTAAGTCCTCCAAATTGGTTCTTTTTTTTTCAAGATATTCTTGTTTTATTTTGCATTACTATTTTATGTCCTTTGCATTTTCATGTACATTTTATCGTCAGCTTCTCAATTTCTACCAAAAAACCAAAAATCAAAACAATACATGCTGGAATTTTGTTTGGGATTACATTGACTATAGATCAATTTGGGTACAGAGATATATCATCCATGAACATGGTATATATCGCCATTTAGTCTGGCTTTTAAAAATTTCTTTCAGCAATGCTTTTTAACTTTATATGTAGAGATTTGTTTACTTTATTTTTTAAGACAGAATCTCAGCCTGTTGCCCAGGCTGGAGTGAAGTGGCATGATTTTGGCTTACTGGAGCCTTGACATTTTGGGCTCAAGCAATCCTCTTGTCTCAGCCTCCAGAGTAGCTGGGGCTACAGGTGCATGCCACCACACCTGGCTATTATTTTTTTTTTAAGAGATGAAGTCTCGCTTCTGTTGCCCAGGCAGGTTGTAAACTCTTGGCCTCAAGTGAGCCTCCTGCCTCAGCTTTCCAAAATGTTGGGATTATGCGAGTAAGCCACTGCACCCAGTCCATATGTAGAGATATTAAACAAATTTTGTCAAATTTGTTACCAAGTATTTTATGTTCTTTGCTGATCATGTAAGTGATAGTTCTTGAATTTCGTTTTTTAAATTTTTTTGTAGCTAGTATATAGAGATACAATTGACTTTTGTATATTGACCTTGTAGGCTTTGATCAAAGTTTATATTTTATTAAAAGCGAGTTTTTATGTAACTTCCTTAGGAATTTATTTATTTGTAAGTAGAGATTATTTTACTTCTTCTTTTCCATTTTTTATAAGTTATCTTTACTTTACTTGTCTTATTTCACAGGATAGGGCCTCCAGTACAATGTTGGCTGTAAGTTGTAAGAGTCAATACTCTTGCCTTGTTCTTGATTTTGGAGAGAAAGCATTTGGTCTTTCACCTTTAAGTGTGATGTTAGTTAAAGGATTTTCTTAAAAGGGTTTTGTCTAAGTTTAAAGTTTCCTTTGATTCCTAGTCTGCTGAGAATTTTAATTATAAAATGTTAAATTTTAACAATTATTTTTTCTGCAGTTATTGAGATGATCAAATTATTTTTCTCCTTAACTCTGTACATATGACAAACTATATTGATTGATTTTCAAAATATTAAACTAGCCTAGCATTCTTGTGGTAAGCCCCACTTAGCCATGGTACATTATCTTCTTTATGATGACTAAATTTGATTTGCTGGCTGCTAATTCAATTTGTTAAGAATTTTTGCATTTATATTCCTGAGGATTATTTGTCTACGATTTTATTTTCTTGTACCTTACTGGTTTCCTACTCTTTTGAAAGAGTTTGTCTAATGTTGGCATTATGTATTTCTTAAATGTTTGAAATAAATCAGTAATAAAACCAACTGGACTTGGAGTTTTCTTTAGGAAAAAATTTTAAACTATGAATTCAATTTTTAAAATATTAGTGGAGATTTTCTTTTTGTATTAGTTTCTGTGATTTTTATCTTTCAAAGAATTTGCCCATCTCATCTAGGTTATTGAGTTTGGTGGTATAACCTTGTTCAAAATGTTTCTTTGTTACCCTTCACTGTCTGTTGATTCTATAGTGATGTTCCCTTTTTCATTACTATTGTTGTTTCTTCCCTTTTTGTCTTGATCACTTTATCTAGGGGTTTCTTATTTTATTTATCTTTTCAAAGAAGTAACTTTTGGTCATGTTGGTTTTCCTTTATTTTCTTTTTTCTATTTTATTGATTCTGGCTTTAATATTGTTTTCTACCTTCAATTTATTTTGGGTTTAAATTTCTTTTCTTTTTCTATCTTATTAAAGTGAAAACATATATCAGTAAGTTTTAAATCTTTATTTTCTTATATACTCATTTAAAGCTCTAAATTTCCTAAGCATTGCTTTATCTGCATCCAACATATTTTGGTATGTTATGTTTGCAATACTATCCAGTTCAAAATATTTTCTAATTTTCTCTGATTTTTTTTCTTTCTGATCTATGGTTATTTAGAGGTTTTTATCTTTAATTGCTAAGAATGTGTGGATTAAAAAAAAGGAAGACTTCCTGAATTTGCATGTCAACCTTGTACAAGGGTCAGGCTAATCTCTGTATCGTTCCAATATTAGTCTACGTGCTGCTGTAACAGGTACTTGTGGATTTGACGTGTATCTCTCATTTACTGATTTCTAATTTACTTCCATGTAGAGAGAGTACTGTCTGTGTAATTTAAGTCTTTTTCAAATGCATTGAGACTTACCTTATGGCTCAGCACATGGTCTATTTTGGTTAATATCTGATGTGCCCTTGAAAATAATGTATGTTCTGGAGTTGTTGGTTATTGTGTTCTGTAAATGCCAATAATGTTAAGTTAGTTGACCTAATTCATATCTTCTCAAATCTAATAGATTTTTTTAGCCTACTTGACCTATCACTTCCTGAGAGAGTAAATTTTTTTGTTGCTGTTGTTGATACAGGTTGCTCTAAAAACTATAATATACATTCTTAATTTATCATAGCCTACCTTGCATTAATATTTTTGACTTATGAGAAGTGAATATGATACAAGAATATTCCACTGATCCACTTCCCTTCCATTGTGCTACTGTTACTGCTCATTTTACTTTTGTATGTCGTAAACCCCACAGTGATGATTTCCCCTTTAACAAAACATGTTTTAGAGAAATTAAGAAATAAAAAAGTGTCTTTATTCTCACCACTACATGCCTGGCTAATTTTTTGTATTTTAGTAGAGACTTACTTACTTAGTAAGTAAGTAAGTATATTGTGGTATTTTCATTAAATGTGACACTATGAAGAAAGAGGAGGAGGAGAACAAGGAAGAGGAGGAAGAAGAAGAAAAACAGGAAGGAGGAGAACGACAATAAAATATAAGCAACAACATGAAGAAAACTCAAAAACAATGTAATTAAGAAAAGAAGCTAGACACAAAGAGAATCATACAGTATGATTCCATTTATATTGCCCAAGGTGGTCTCGAACTCCTGAGCTCAGGTGATCTGCCCGCCTCAGCCTCCCAAAGTGCTGGGATTACAGGCGTGAGCCACCACACCTGGCCTACATTGATTTTTGAGTATTAAAACAACTACAAGGTTTATACTGAGATAAACCCCACTTATATTATCCATCTTAAATATTGCTGCATTTGATTGGCTAAAATTTTGTTTAAAGCTTTTACTTCTATATTTATGAAGGATACCAGTTTATAATTTCCTTTTCTTGTAATGGCTTTATTTTCTTGCAGTTTGTATCAGGTTTTGCTATTAGGGCAATGCTAGACTCAGAAGAAGTTTGGAAGTGTTTCCTCCTCTTCTATTTTCTGGAAGACTTTGTGTAGAATTTGTATTATTTGTTCCTTAAATGTTTGGCAGAATTCATCAGTGAGCCTATTTGGGTGTGGAGTTGTTTTGTGGGAAGGCTTTTAACTATAAAGTTCATTGCTTTCATAGTTATATTAATAGCAATGGAGCTATACTCATTATTTCTTCTTGAGTGAGCTGTGGTTGTTTGTATTCTTTAAGAACTTTGTCCACTTTCATGTAAGTTGTCAACTTTATTGACATAAAGTTGTTCATAATATTCTGTTACTATCCTTTTAATGTCTGTAGGATTTGTGGTGATGGTCTCACTCTTGGTAATCTCTGTCTTCCCTCTTTTATTTCTGATTAGTCTGACTAAAGACTTACTCATTTGTTGATCCCAGTGAATCAGTATTTGATTTCATGAATTTTTCTCTATATTTTTCTATTTGCATTTTCTTTAAATTCTTATCTTTATTGTATCTTTTCTTCTGTTTATTTTGGGTTTAATTTGCCCTTCTTGTATTAAACTTTAAGGTTAAAGTTTAGGTCATTGATTTGAGAACTTTCTTGTTTTCTAATACAAATGTTTAATGTTATAATTTTCCCTCCATACACTGCTTTAGCGGTATCACACAAATTTCATATGTTATGTTTTCATTTTCATGAAGTTCAAAATATTTTCTAATTTCACTTGTGATTTTTTTATTTGACTCATGAGCAACTAGAAGTGTGTTATTTCATTTCCAGTTATTTGAAGACAGTAGATATCTTTCTGTGCTTATTTCTAATTAAATGCCATGGGGTCACAGAACATATTTCCTGTGATTTGAATTCTTTTACATTTGTTGAGGCTTGTTTCATGGCTCACATCATGTTCTACCTTGATAAATATTTTATCTGCCCTTGAAAAGAATGATCTTCACCCACAGCTGGTGCAGTGTTTTTCTCATATTATTAGGTCAAATTGGCCCACAGTAATGTTCAAGTCTTCTATATCCTTACTGATTTTCTGTTTACTTATTCTATCAATTATTGAGAGAGAGATGCTGCTTTTTTAGCTTTGTTACTGTAGTCTAGAATAGCTGCTACTCTAGAACTACAGTGGTTTTACTTTTAAGCTATCGATTTTCTGGTATCTCAACTGAATGCATGGTGTTGTTTAGTAAGGCTGGTCAGACCTCCAAAATTCCCCACCACTGTATACCCTTCAGCATCTCTAGTCAGCTCACAGATTCCCCATAGATTCGAGCTGATCAGTCACTCAAGGGGAAGTATGTGCAGATATCTGAGCTCCTTCTGTGCACAGCTCCCTCCTGCTCAGTACCCCATCCAATTCCAGCTGCCTTGGCAGCCGCAAACTCCAGTCACCGTTTCTTCTTCCCATAAGACTATGGCTCTGTTTGGGCTCCACTTCTCTGTGTGGTAGTTTGGAAAGTGGCCCCGGACAGGAAGCTAAGGTGAATCTGGAAGTTGCCTTTTCTGTAGGTAGTGCAGTATGGGGAAGCTAGTTGCAACTCAAGAACTATTTGTTGAATGAGTGAAGGAATTCAGTGGGATCCGCAAACTGCCTATTAAGGTTTTAAATGTGTCTACATCTCGAAGAAGGGAAGCCTGTGAAGCTGAAATGATGACAATATTGGATGATGGGGAACAAGCAAGTCCCAAGTTGTAAACTTGGGGAACATCCTCGTCTGGGAGTTCAGAAGGAGAAGAAACCATCATATTACAAATCTGGGTAAAATCACGTGGATATTCCCTTTCTCCCTTTCCCTATAGGGAGCTGTGTTTTATCAGAAGGCAGAGTGTTGGACGCAACAGAGTTGGGTTTGAGCAGTGGTGTCCAAATATTTTAATCACATCCCCCTTAGTAAAATAAACATTTAAATCATCTTCCTAATATAGGTAAATTTATTTATTTATAAATTATTTTCATGTACCACAATTGGCTAGTGTCTCAAGGCATAATATGTGCTTAAGGTGATGCTTACCATTAAGGATAGTAAACAAATTCATTTTCAAATTATATTCTTGGTCATCCTGGGCTTTATGGCTGGCTTCATATCATATCCGATTATGTGAAAACAAAGTGTGACCTAGAATAGATGAAACACATTGAGATGTTCTAATATTTAATAGTTTGTTCCTCACTTCAGGGGATTTCGTTGGACACCTATGTTGGAGACTTTGGGCTTAGGGAAAAGGCCTCAGGGAAGTCGGGGGCCTGGCTGAGGTCAGCACCTGGCTTCCTTTGAGAAGTTGCCAACTCTCCCAGCCAGAAGCACACTCCTGCTGCCATCTCCTGCACTGCTCTCACTGGTGGTGTTAGTAACGAGGCAGCTGGAACCGGGAAACCCAGCAGCCCTCAGTGTGAAGCCTTGTCACAGCTTTGTCACTAGCTGGCTCTGGGAACTTGAGCAAGTTGATTCTGTGGAACTCAGCAATCTCAGATGCAAACACAGGTCTTATCTAATTTCCAATGCCACCTTTCTGTAAGAAGCAGCTCAGTATAGCAGCTTCTAAAAATCCTGGGTTTGAAACCACTTAACATCTATGTGGCCTTGAGCGAGTTAGCTTTTCTGAGCCTTGTTTTCTGATCTATAAAATGCAAACACACTTTGCTTGTGAAGATTAATTGAAATTATATACATAAATCAAAAAACAATATTTTTCTATATCTCCTACACCTGTGGCTCTCAAGTTTTATCTGGGGCGTCAGAATCCCTGGGAAACTGGGGGAAGTACACGTTCCTCCCCCACCTCCCCACACCCCGTCCCGCCCCATTCCTCCCATCCCACCGCGTCCCTGATTCTGAATCAGAGTTTCTGGGGGGGAGGCCCACAATCTGCATTTATTTATTTATTCATTTATTTAGAGATGGAGTCTCACTGTGTCACCCAGGGAGGAGTGCAGTGGTACAATCTCAGCTCACTGCAACCTCCACTTCCCAGGTTCAAGCAACACTCCTGCCTCAGCTTCCCAAGTAGCTGGGATTACAGGTGCACACCACCCTGCCCAGTTAATTTTTGTATTTTCAGTAGAGACGGGGTTTCACCATATTGGCCAGGCTGGTCTTGAACTCCTGACCTCAAGTGATCCACCTGCCTTGGCCTCCCAAAGTCCTGGCACTACACCAGCCTGTGTATACCGCCTGCCACACCAAGCACAGAGTCTTGCACTTGGAAGTGTTCAAAAGAAAACAAAAGGGCAAGACAGAAGAAGGCAAGCAAAACAAAGGGCCTGTGCTCCTGCAGGTCAAACAATCCCCAGCCAGGCTGCTCAGCACACCACCCACAGGTCAAGGCTTGCCAGCCCAGCCTAGCCCAGCCCCACTGGAAAGTTCACTGTGGTCAGACCATGTTTTTCAGCTCTCTGCTCTCCTCTCCCGCGGCTCTGTTTTGACAGGTGTATCCAGGGCTGGCGCAACAGAAGTTGTCAGCTCAGCCCTGGCTAGAGACGAGTTGGAGGGACGGCAGAAGGCTTGCCCAGCCCCCTGTCCTGCCTGGGTTGGAGAGGTGGTGAGGTCGCCAGGGTGAAAGGAGTGGGCTGGCCTGGGGTTTTTAGAGGCACTCAGAGGACATGAGCCAGGTCTGTGGCTTCCAGCAAGCCCCTGCTCTTCTTAGAAGGAGGCCCAGGCAGCCTGGCACGGTGGCTCACGCCTGTAATCCCAGCACTTTGGAAGGCTGAGGTGGATGGATCATGAGGTCAAGAGATCGAGACCATCCTGGCCAACATGGTGAAACCCCATCTCTACTAAAAATACAAAAATTAGCTGGGCATGGTGGTGCACGCCTGTAGTCCCAGCTACTCGGGAGGCTGAGGCAGGAGAATCACTTGAACCCAGGAGGCGGAGGTTGCAGTGAGCCAAGATCACGCCACTGCACTCCAGCCTGGTGACAGAGCAAGACTCCATCTCAAAAAAAAAAAAAAAAAAAAAAGAGAGAGAAAAGAAAGAGGCCCAGGAGTGACTTCAGGGCTTTGCAAGTCTGGTGGGGATTAAAATCACCCCAGTGGTGAAGGCTGGGCTTCTAATCTGGAGACTGAAATTCCAATGGCTGTTACCACTCAATGTGGGTTCAGACTTCATCGCCTTGGCCCTGGAAAGTTCCAGAAAATAACCGAGCAGGGCAGGAGAAGGAGCACTTGGTTAGAATTGCAGGACAGAGGAACACAGCATGTCAGACTCAATGGAGGCAAGACCAGTCCACTCCCTCTGTTTTCTGATGACGAAACTGAAGGTCAGAGAGGGCCAGTGCTAGGCCTAAGGTCCCACAGTGATGAAGGGCCAGCAGGGCAGAAGCACAACCTGCCCCGTTTCCATGGCCACCGAGGCACCTCCATCATGGAACTCACTCAATCACCCACTCTGAGGTGGGTTTCATCCATTCACAAAATTTATGAATATAGGGATTCTCAGCATTTGCTTCAAGCTTTGCAGTTCTAACTGTCTGTCCCCTTAAACCCCAGGTTCCGCTGTTTGGATTTCAGTAGTACCTAGAGCTGTCCAGATACTCCAAAGGGCCACATTAATACTAAGAGCAGTTTGATGACTTACGACAGGGAACAGGATTGGGGCGGGAACACTTCCCAAGAAATATGTGGTAGGAGGCTTCCTGAGGACCCTCACCAATAGGAAAGTAGCCTGAGAACTGGATCTACCACTAGCCAGAGACACCAGACTGGAGTTCCAGCCCCAGATGTGCAGCAAACCCCTCAACTGCTCTCAGTCCTTGGTTTGTCCCATGAGAAGTAAGAGACTTGAGCCTCAGACTCCCCCAGGTCCCTCCCAGCTCTCACAGTTCAGGGAGCGTGAAATGAGACATGCAGGGGCTGGTGTGCTGGCTACTCACCTGCAGAGGAGCACAGAGCACACCCACTGTGGCCCAGGAGGCTCTTCACCCATATAATAAGTCCCACCGTGACAATGGCTGATGTTTATGGTGTGTTGAACATTGTCAGGTGCTGTGGACATCTCAGATGTCAGTGGGGAGGAGGGACCTCATGCTACTCACTATAGAGGAAGCGGTGAGGTCCATGTGAGGCAGCCATGTTTGGCCCCATCCTCACCCCCTGCCCTTTTGCTCACTTCCTCAACTAAGCACCAACCCACCAAAAAAACTCCAAAAAAACCCAAAAAACAGGGCTCCAGGCTTGCACTAGGTCACATTTTGCCAGTGAGTGAGGCTGCTGTGCCGACTCACAGAGGATCCGGCTGTCCTCTTCCGTAATCCGCAGACCCTGCCAAGCCAGGCCCCTTGGGGCAGGTCTGGCCTGGTCTCTGCCTCCTTTCCTGTTCTATCTCCTTGTCTTGGAGACAAAAGCCAGAAGCAGGAGGTATCACTCACATGTCCAGGCCTGCCCTGTTTTCCAATCTTGTTTTAGCCAAAGAGCTCCAGGGCCAGGCTGCAAGATGCATTGGGCTTAGCATTTCCCCCTCTGTTCCTGCTCTCTCTGAGTAATTCCCTCAGACGCTCTTGGTCCCTGGCCGAACTCAGTGTTTCTAAAATGAGGTTAGACCCAACTCCAGTGAGATTGAATTTTTGGGGGACCCTCGTCACTGGTTCTCCTTCAGAGGCCCACCTGGAGTGCAGCCCTGAAGGCATCATGCCCCCAAGTCAGGCAGAAAGGACTCAAAGACACCTCACTCCTGGAAATAGCTCTTTACTGAGTCAGTAATACTATGCAGAATGGTATTATCATATGTGGACAGGAGAGTTACATGGCCGTGGGGTGTGCAGTGCAAACCAGTTGCACATCCAGGACAGTCAGGAGGGTGCGGAAAGGCTTTGAGCAGGGAAGGGCTGCTCTCTGGGTCCGTGTTGGGAAGGAGACAACTCTATGCCCTAACCTTGCGGGCGGTGGAGGGGGTGGTGCCTGAATCTGTTTGAACATGAAGGCAAAGCAGCTTTAGAGTGTAGCCAACAGGAGACCTCCACCCTGTGGGGTGATTTCCCAGCGCCCCTCTCTGCCAGTGTGTGCAGGAAGTTGGTGGGTGCCAAGGAGTGATGACAGAGGGGGCCTCTGTGAGTGTCCAGGCCCTTCCCACTCCTAGTCCAGCTGGCTGCCCATGCAAAGAGGGCTCGGGCCATTGTGGGTCCCGGTGGGACAAGGTCGGCATGCAGCTGTGATCAGGAGAGCCGTGTGCGGGAGGCGAGAGCTGCCCTGTTGCAAGGGGTTGGCCCTTCTGCAGCCTAATCCTCCCCACCACTCCAGAGGAGCCCCCTTGGGGAATGGGGCAGGCCAGCCTCAGGGAGAGCAAGGGAGGCAGCTGTGCAGAGAGAACCTTCTGGCCTGCCTCTGTCTCCCATCTCCACTCAGGCCCAATGTTCCAGGGCCTGCAGAGTGCCCCCATGCAGATGAAACTCCTGCTTGGATTCCTTCCAGGCTGCTCCTGAAGGGCAGAGGCAAGGATGAATTGAGGAATTTTCTGGACACGTGAAGAAATAAATGTTGAACTTCTCAGGGGGCACTGTGTGCAAGGCCAGAGAATGTCAGCCTCGTGGCCCCACTGTGCTGTGACAGACAGGGACAGCTCCCGGGTATGCTGGTCCCCTGCTTATGGGGAGGGTCTTGTGGTTGCCAGGTCCACTTTGCCTCTGGAGTTTTGGCAGTAACGCCCCACCCGCAAAGGTTTCCTTGGGGCTTTTCAACCCCAGGGAGCCCTGGGAAACTGCTGGCCAGCATGGGTGCCCAGAGACAGATGTGAGACCTTCCTCCCGAGGTAGCTGCCTCCCTGGCAGGCTCAGTCACAGGAGAGGGGGTCTTCCTCTGCCCTCTCCTCCTGCCCAGCCAGGGAAACCCAGTTGGCCCACCTGGCCAGCAGAAAAATCTGTGTATGTGCATGTGTATATATGTGTTTGTGTGCATGGATATGTGTGCAGTGCATGTGTGTGTGCGTACATGTGTGTGCCTGTGCATATATGTGTGCATGTGTGTGTGCATGTGTATGTGTGCATGCATGTGTGCCTGTGTATGTGTGCACGTGTATGTGTGCATGTGTGTGTGCGTGCATGTGTGTGTGCATGCATGTATGCCTGTGTATGTGTGCATGCATGTGTATGTGTGCATGTGCGTGTATGTGTGCATGTGTGTGCATGCATGTGTGTGCATGTGCACATGTATGTGTGAGGAGGGGCTGCTTTCCTATGGCACAGTCACTATGGGGGAGCCCAAAGCTGCAGGGTCAGCCCTGGGGAGCCCCCTCATTGGAATCAGAGGACCACAGCTGTCTGTAGGTGAGGCTTTCTGGGGCCTGGATCTGCTCTGCGCCCCTCCGGCATTCTGTGTGACAGTGGCTCTGCCACAGCCCTCCTCAGTAGAAGCTCTGGCTTCCTGGTGGACCTGGAGGCCCCGGGAGACCAGGGGGACCCTGGATCCCTGGTTCACCCTTAGGCCCCATGGCCCCCCGCTGGCCTGGTGACCCTGTCTTCCCTGCAATTCCCGGTTTTCCCTGAGGCCCTGAGGGCCCTGGAGACCCCGGGGGCCCTTCTGGCCCTGGGGGCCCTATGTCCCCTTTTGGGCCTGGCTGTCCTCTCGGCCCTCCAGTTCCAAAGCTGCCCTTTGAGCCTTTGAGGCCTGGGAACCCTCGAGGGCCAACAGGGCCCCTTTCTCCCACAGGCCCGGCCTCTCCAGGTTGCCCCTGAGGACCCTGGGGTCCCAGGGGGCCCAAGCTGCCGGGGTCTCCTTTCGGGCCTCTGCCGCCAACAGGCCCTTTCACGCCCATATCTCCTTTGAATCCTCTTGGTCCTGGAGGGCCGGGGGCACCTGAGGTTGGAGAGAAGATGGGAGAGGTCAGTCTGTCAGGGGCTCCCCACCCGAGGCTCGCCCATGAGCAGAGCGGGCACGGCGACAGCCCGAGGGTTGAACAAGTCCAGCGGACACTCATTTCTCACTGCAAGGCTTGCCGATAGCTCCACACACACACTGAGGTTAGGGAACAAGGGGCTGGCCAGCTTCGAGAAGCTCCGCACACACACTGAGATTAGGGAACAAGGGGCTGGCCAGCTTCGAGAAGGGGCCAAGGTTGTCCAGGATTGCCTGTCCTGCTCTGAGGCCAGTCTGACCTCCTGTACCTTCTCATGCATGGTCTTTGACCACTGTATTCACCCCCACCCCACCCCCATGACTTCTCAGTCATTTGGGAACAGGGTTCAAGTCAGGTGACATGGAGGAGAAAACTAAGAAAGTGGGGCATGAGAAATAGGTGTGTCCCAGTATGAGTAAGTGGGCACAGTGACAGCCCAGAGAAAGGTCAGTACCTCCAGGAAGCCCACCCTGATCACCCAGCCTCTTCACTGAGCTCTTAAGGCTACTACGTTGTGAGTCTTTTCATTGACACATACAAAGAGAAGTCACCTCACAGTGAAAGCAAACACTGGGTACTCTCTGGTGGGCCCTGCTAGACTGTGCAGCCCTAGGAAGATGGCAGGAGCCACGGCTCACATCCCAGCCCTGGACACAGAGCCTGGAATGCAGTTAGGAAAACTCAGTATGTGCTTGAAGGGGGTGATTCACCAAGCAGCCATGGACCCTCCTGTGAGTCTGGCTCTGCATGAGGGCCTGCGGGAGTTGCCAAGATGAAGATACGGCCCTTCCTTAAGGAGCCCTGTCTAGTGCCGAGGACAGGGGACTGATGACCTCATGTCCTTCTGGCTATGTGGGTCTGAGAGTCTCCACCCCTCATAGCTGTGCCAACCCTGAGGACACAAGGCAGAAAGTGGGCCTCTCGGGGGAAGGGATTCTGCATGCTGGGAGCTGGGAGCCCTCCACTGCCGTACCCAGTTCTGCGGCACAGGCCCCTTCATCCTGGCTGATGCTATCTGAGCCCTCTGCTGTGCCCCTCTTTGTTTTCTTCCCAGAGTGTTTCTAAGTGGAGCAGAGTCAGTGAATACATCCTTTATTATGACCTAAACTGGAAACCAGAGCCCAGACAGAGCCAGCCCCACCAGAGCCAATAAAAACCTTCCAGTCGGTTCCCTGCCACCACCTGCCCTTGCCCACCTCCCGCCACGGGGATGTGGCCCTGCATGGCTCACGTGGCCTGCCAGCAGCAAGGCTGAGATTCCATTGTTGAGTTAGCCAGGGATGAAAGGTGGCCAGCAGCAGTGGCAGCAGCCTGGCCTCAGAGAAGCCGGGAGGCAGGAGATGCCCTTGGCCTGCAGGAGCCCCTGGCAGCTCAGCAGCCAGAGTGCCAGGGGCCCAGGCTGATGCCTGTGCAGGAGCCACCTCCCCACCCTGGCAGGACCTGCAGGGAACCAGCACAGCCATAGCGTCTGTCTTCACCCTACCTCTGCTCCTGGCGCCTGGGCCAGCTGCGGTTTGGAAAAGCAGAGAGCCATACAGAGGCGGAGACGCCCCACGAAGCTGTTGGCGGTGCGGCAATGCTGGCAACCCTGTTCCAAAACTCATATTTCATCCACAAAATTGCGTGCTCACTCAGCTTCCAAGGGCCCTGCAGCTCCATGACCCCTTCTCCTGCCACTCCCTCCTCCCTGTCTGGGTGGGCATTCGCCTCCTCCTTCTGTCCCGACTCCTCCTGGGCTCACTTCTCCCCCAGGGCTTGTCCCCAGCTCCCTGGTACTCCACTCTCTCCACTCTCGCCTTCTGGGTGGACAAGTTCACAATCCCCATCTCCAGCCTTGACTCAGGAAAAGCCTGAGAAGACTCGCTGGGACAAGGATGCCCTGCCCTGCTCCTACACACAGCTGGGGCCCTCTCACCTTCTTCTGGAACTCCATTCCTTTCTATGCCACCATCTTTGGTGGACAACCTCTCCTCCCTGGTCTCTAAGAACACAGCAGCCAGCTGTGAGGATTTCTTTCTTTTTCCGAGACAGGGTCTTCCTCTGTTGTGGCTGGAATGCAGTGGCACAATCATAGCTCACTGCAGCCTTGAACTCCTGGGCCCAAATGATCCTCCAACAGGCGCATGCCACCATGCCAGCTGATTTTTTTATTTTTATTTTTTGGCAGAGATGGGGTTTCACTATGTTGCCCAGGCTGGTCTCAAACTCCTGGGCTCAAGTGATTCTTCTGCCTTGGCCTCCCAAAGTTTTGGGATTGCAGGCATGAGCCATCCCACCTGGCCTATATCTGTGATTTCTTTTTTTTTTTTTTTTGAGACGGAGTCTCGCTCTGTCGCCCAGGCCGGACTGCGGACTGCAGTGGCGCAATCTCGGCTCACTGCAAGCTCCGCTTCCCGGGTTCACGCCATTCTCCTGCCTCAGCCTCCCGAGTAGCTGGGACTACAGGCGCCCGCCACCGCGCCCGGCTAATTTTTTGTATTTTTAGTAGAGACGGGGTTTCACCTTGTTAGCCAGGATGGTCTCGATCTCCTGACCTCATGATCCACCCGCCTCGGCCTCCCAAAGTGCTGGGATTACAGGCGTGAGCCACCGCGCCCGGCTATCTGTGATTTCTAAGGGATTCTGTGCCAGCAGCAAAGGAGAAAAAACTCTCCCTCCTCCCGACCAGCCCCTTCCAGCTCCTCTTTCCCGGAAAGCTCTGGGGAGTCTTTCCCTAGGTGTGGAGGCCCAAGCGCCCACATGCTCCTGGTGGATGTTTATGCAGAAGCCTCAGTCATATCATTCCCTTCATTGCCCAGGAGCTGCAGCCTAGCGTGAGTGGAGGGAGGATGCAGGGAGAAGGGTTCCCTCCCTCTCTATATCCACCCCTAAGCCACAGCTGCCGCTTCTCACCCCATCTCTGAGAACCCAGATGGGAGTGGGAGGTGTCCCAGGCAGCGGCCGGGAGAAGATAGAGTGGACGATGTTATCGGGGGCCTGTCTACATCTTGTGGGTCTCCGCGTGGGCTACTGACAGGTGCCTGTGGTGCCGACAGAAGCCTCCCTCGCTGCCCGTGTCACGGCTGGCGGATGGAGCTGCTCGGTGCTGGCGTGCCATAGTCAGCCCTGCTCACTCTCTGCCTGCTCCATGCCTTCTTGAATCTCCCACAGGGTGGAGAAGGGAGGGACATGAGAGCAGTGACATTTGCCAACTTCGTCGAGTGTCTGCTATGTCCCAGGCAGGAGGCTGTTGCTCCATTTTACAGATGACAATGCAGGTGCAGCGGGTGGCCACGTGCTCAAGATAACAGTGCTGGCGTCAGGATTCCAATCCAGACCCGAGAGGCTCTAAGACCCAATCTCCTTCCCCCATGCCGCTACCTTGGCTCCTGTGCCACTCCCAGCACTGCCTGGAGGAGGGAGAGGCTGCAATCCTAGGCACTGCCTGGAGGAAGGAGAGGCTGCAATCCTAGGTGCTGCCTGGAGGAGGAAGACCCCAGAGCCTTTTTCTAAAGAGTGCTTTGGGGTCCCCACTGAGTGAGAAGGGGACTCAGAAGGCTGCCTTCCTTAGGTGAGCAGGGCACCACCTGCCCTCCAGGCCAGGCATGAGTCATGCGGGCAGAGGACTGACAGCAGGCGTGACCTGGTCTGGCTAGGGAGGAAGTCAACAACTGTAGTTTAGTAGTTAGTGTGGGGGCAAGGAATGTGGACAAAGGCTGACCAAGGCCCCTCCAGGCCGGGGTGCCACTGACCCTGCCAATAACAAGGCAGGGGTGAGGGGCAGAGGAGAGAAGGGCTAGAGAAGGGCTAGTGGCTGCTCTGAGCTGAGGGAAGGCACTTCAGGCCACCAAGGAAGATGGGCAACAGTGGCCGAGGTGCGTGGGAAGGAGAGGGACCGGCACACCCTGGAGTCCGGTGGAGGGGGGCGGCCATGATTACTCAGGAAGCCACAGGCTGTAATCAGGCTTTCCAGGCTCATTAGGGTCCAGCCACAGCTGACCTCACGTCTGGGACCATGGAGTGGCTGGCTCTGTGGTCTGAGCTTGGATAGGGAGGAGGGGGTGGGGTGAGCAGAGTGCCCAGTGTCTCGGGCATCAGCACTGCCCACCCATGGGAGGGGCAGTGCATGGCCCAGGAGGAGCCCATGGTACATCTTATGGTCAAAGGCAACTGGCCAGCTTACAAGGACAGAAGAAAATAAAACAAAGGGGTGCCTCTGGAGGGACTGGCCTGGTGCCGTGGGAGGCACATTGGCGTGGACATCAGGCACCCAGTGTTTGAGACCCAGCTGTCATATTAGCAAAGCGCGTGGCTGGGGCTCAGGCTCCCCTCTGCTCCATGAGAATATTGGCCTGGCTCAGGGACTCTCAAACTTGCTTGTTGCCAACTGAGGGCTGTTAAAAACATGCCCATGGGCTTCGACTTCTGCTTACGATGGACTAGTTTATGACAGATTCAACCTCCCACGGAGAACAAACAGAGCTGTTAGAGAAAGACCAAAACATCTTTCTGGAGGCTTTGGAGGGATACCAAGGGCCAAGATCCCAGAGAAGAGAAGACTCATTGAAGTCAGCCTGACATCTTTTCCCCTCCAGGCATTTGTGGATTTGTTATTGGTTTGTGCAAAGAGGCTTAGAAACCAACAAAGGGCTGCAGCTATTAGGCTGAGAAGCTGAGTGGAGTTTTCAGCAGCATCACAGGGCTGAGAGAACAAAAACTGGGTCAGGGCCACCAAACCCTCTTCACTGCCACCTCCGCAGGTAACTCGTTGGGCCTGAACAGCAGAATGACATGACAGTCTCTGCTTTTTCGTCCTTCACAGGTAAACTCCTGAACACTTCAGTGTGGAAGTAGGATGGAGGGTGGTGCTTATAGAACAACACATTTGCAGATTGAATCCCTTTGTATCTTGCCCATCTTGGGCTTCTACCTTTTGTTCACACTTTCATTTATTTATTCACCGAGCAAACATTTCTTGTACTTTCCAAGAGCCAAGCACTCTGCCGGGTCCTCGATGAGTAACACAAGGAGCCTAGGTCTCCAAGCAATTTAGCATAATAATAATCCCTTATGCAGAGCACCCTTTCATATTTTACAAGAACTTGTTCACACCCATTGTGAACACTGATCCTCACAATTACCCTATGGGATACAGGCAGGAAAGGCATTAATATTTCTATTCGCAGATGAAGAAACTGAGTTCAAAGCTTGGCTGGGTGTGATGGCTCTTGCCTGTAATCCCAGCACTTTGGGAGGCCGAAGGTGGGTGGATTGCTTGAGCCCGAGTTTGAGACCAGTCTGGGCAACAAAGTGAGACCCTGTCTCTACAAAAAAGAAAGAAAGAAAGTAGCCAAAAGCCCCGCCCCAGGTCATTTAGCTAATACGTTATGATGGTTTTAGTCTACAATTCCCAAATGATAGTCCTAGCATGGACACAGTCTAGCACAGACACAGTCTAGCACAGACACTGAAATTACCCTGCAGAGTAGGAAGAGATAAATATTTTATGAGAGACACAAACACTATGAAAGTACCACAGTCTTTCTGTTGAGTAAATGGGGGCTTAGAATTAATTAGAGCTGGAATAGTTCTCAGAGATCAGCTGGTCTTACCACTTCATTTACAGCTGAATGAAGCAGAGCCCTGGAGGGATGAAGTGATTCTGCCTAAAGATCCAGAGCACATCAGAAGCCAGGCTTCTTGCCTGTGCAGTCTCAGTTCCAACCCTTCCATCAGGACTTGGCACCTTCCACATGGCTCCAGCCGCTGCAATCCCTCCCTTTATTCCAGATAGCCGCTCAGTTCCGGCCACGTGGAGACCGCATTGCCAGCTCCTGTGTCACAGCCTGTCTGTGCCTGTCTCTGGATGAATGAATGAGTGACCAGGTCCCCAGAGAAAGGGATGTGCACTGTGTCCCTGAAATTTGCTTTCAATTGTGAGAGATTTTACATGTGGTGACTTTAACAACCAGGAGAGAGGCTGGCCAGTAGACACAATTTAAACAAATGTGCAGACGTTGAACCAAGACTCAGGTGTAGCTCAAACAGATGCCCCGTTTTGCTCTCCACGCATGACTAGGACTCCTAGTCATGGAACTCCACACATGAAAACTCCACGCATGACTAGGACTCCTAGTCATGGAACTCCACACATGAAAACTCCACGCATGACTAGGACAGCAGCAAGTGTAAATTTCAAGAGTACTATTGGTTATATTAGAACGGTTCCCCTGTCAACACTTTTGGCGCCATCTCCCTCTTCCCCACTCCCTGCCCCACACCCTATAGCTTAGCAGGACCTGAGCAGAAATGTCTTGTTGGCATCTACAAACTCATTCTCTGGGCATCTCCTTTCCTGGGTGGGCACTGAATTGTGTGCATTTCAGAGCATTGGAGAGGGGTCAGGATTTTAAATCAGAGTGACCCTGTGCTTATTCCTTTAAACTCCCTCCCCCATCCTCAGATTACTTTTCTATAAATAGAGTCACCAACATCTGCCTTGTTTACCATGCAAGGGTTGTCGTGAGGCTGAAATAAAACAAAATGTGTAAATGGGCATTGTAATCAGGAAAGCTTTAAATTGCCTTTGTTCTTAGCTTGAACTCAATGAAACCACACACTTGCCAGGGGCTGAACCATAAGAACTATTTACTAATGCCCTTCCCTGGAACATTGTGCCCTAGAGGTCGTGCACATACGTATTTTAGGTGAAATACTGTGGGAAGATTTCCGTTACCATGTCAGGGGACAGGAAATAAATTCGATGAAAATTCGAGAGCCTTCCACCTCAGTGAAATTTCCAGAGGTCAAGTGGAATGGTTATGTGGAGACAGATATCCCTTCTAAGGTGAAGGATTAGTTGTTTCATCAGGCCCCTCCTAAAACCCAAAAGAAGGCACAATGCCTTGTGGGCTGATTTGGACTTTGGAGGTAACATATTCATCATTAGAGTGCGTATTTCTAGTCATTTGCCAAGTGACCTGAAAAGCTTCTTGTTTGAGTGGGGCCCAGAACAGGGGAAGGCTCTGCCACAGGTCCAGGCTGCCATGCAAGCTGCTTTGCTGCCTGGGCCATAGGACCCAGCAGATCCAGTGGTGCTTGAGGTGTCAGTGGCGGGTAGGGATGTTGTGTGGAGCCCTTGGCAGGCCCCTGTAGGTGAATCAGTACAATCCCTTAGGATTTTGAAGCAGCCCTCCCATTCTCCATAGATAACCACTCTCCTTTTGGGAAACAGCTTTTGACCTTCTACTGGGCCTTGGTGGAGACTAAACACTTAACCATGGGCAACCAAGTGACCAGTGTTCTGAGCCACCAATCATGAACTGGGTGGTAGCTGATCCACTAATCCATAAAGTTGCGTGTGCAGAGCAATACTCCATCATCAGATGGAAGTGGTGTACATGTGATCTGGCCTGAGCAGGCGCTGAAGGCACACATAAGTTACATAAAGAAGTGGCCCAGATGCCCAGGGGTCCCGCTCCTGCTACCCTATCTTCTCTCTCCCAGCCTGCACCTGTGGCCTCATGGGGAGTTCTAAATGATCAGTTGATGGAGGAAGAGAAGATTCAGTCCTGGTTTACAGATGGTTCTGCAGGACATGTAGGTACCACCTGAAAGTGGGCAACTGCAGTCCTGCAGCCCCTTCCTGAGACGTCCCTGAAGGACAGTGGGAAAGATAAAGGCTCCCAGTGGGTAGATCTTTGGGCTGTGCACCTGATCGTTCATTTTGCTTGGAAGGAGAAATGGTCAGATGTGTGACTATGTACTGATCCATGGGCTGTGGCCAATTGTTTGGCTGGATGGTCAGGGATGTGGAAGGAACATGACTGAAAAACTGGTGGCAATAAAATTTAGGGAAGAGGTCTGTGGACGGGCCTCTCCAAATAGGCAAAAATACTGAAGATATTTGCATCCTATGTGAATCCTCACCAAAGGGTGACCCCAGCAGGGGAGGATTTAATAATCAGGTGGATAGCATGACCTGTTCTGTAGATACTAGTCAGCCTCTTTCTCCAGCCACCACTGTCATTGCCCAATGGGCTCATGAACAAAGAGTGCATGGTGGCAGGTATGGAGGTTACCCATGGGCTTAACAACATGGACTTCCCATTCACCAAGGCTGACCCAGCTATAGCCACTGCTAATGCCCAATCTGCTGTGGCAGAAACCAACACTGAGTCTCTGACATGGCACCATCCCCCAGGGTAATCTGCCAGCTACCTGGTGGCAGGTTGATTACACTGGATCATTTCCATCATGGAAAGGGCAATATTTTTACCAGAATAGACGCTTGCCCTGGATATAGATTTGCCTTCCCTGTACACAATGCTTCTTTCAAAACTACCCTCCGTAGACTCACAGAATGCCTTATCCACAGTCATGCTATTCACACAGCATTGCTCCTGACTGAGGAACTCACTTCACAGCAGACGAAGTAGGGCAATGTGGCATGGAATTCACTGGTCTTACCATGTTCCCATCATCCTGAGGCAGCTGGCTTGATAAAACAGTGGAATGGCCTTTTGAAGACTCAGTTACAGCACCAGCTAGGTGGCAGTACCTTGCGGGGCTTAGGAGTGGTTCTCCAGGAGGCTGTATATGCTCTGAATCAGCATTCAATACATAGTGGTGTTTCTCCCAAAGTCAGACTCACAGGTCCAGAAATGAAGGGGAGGTAATGGCAGTGGCACTTTTATTCTTATACTGGTGACCCACTAGAAAATTTTTACTTCCTGTTCCTATGACCTTATGTTCTGCTGGGATAGAGGTCTAGTTCCAAAGGGAGGAATGCTGCTACCAGGAGACACAACTGTGATTCCATTGAACAGGAAGTTAAGACTGCCACCTGGCCACTTTGAGCTCCTTATGCCTCTGAATCAACAAGCAAAATAGAGAGTTCCTATGCTTGTGTGGGTGACTGATCCTGACTGCCAAGGGGAAATTGGACTGCTACTCCACAATGGAAGTAAGGAAGAGGATGTCTGGAATATAGGAGATCCCACAGGGTGTCCCATAGTATTACATGTCCTGTGAGTAAGGTGAATGGAATATTCAACAACCCCACCCAGGTAGAAATACTATAGCCCAGACCCTTCAGGAGGGAAGGTTTAGATCACCCCAGCAGGTAAAGAGCCAGGACCAGATGAGGGGCCTGCTGAAGACAAAGGGAATACAGAATGGGGAGTGGAAGAAGGTGGTGATGAATACCAGCTACAACCACGTGACCAATGACAGCAACAAGGACTGTCATGGTTATGGTATGTCCTCCTTATATTTTACTGTATTTCTCCATTCAGACATTCTGAATGTAATCAATCCTCCTTATTTTTTTAATGAATATATCTGTGTGTGTGTATAGCCAACAATTTTGTTTTCTGTCTTCTCTTATTCCCTTATTGTGTAACATAACATGTATCTCCTCTATAGCACAAATATTGTTAACTTTACATCATAGTATTTAAGTTACAGGGTATAAGCAAAAGAATAAAATTCACTCAAGGACTTTAACTCCTCTTCAGGGGAAAGTGTGTGTGTGTTTTTGGTTGTACTCAGGAGAGTTGCATCACATTAGGTGGAATTATGACCTTACTGTTGTCTTTATTTGGAGATTAAGTATGGTTTAAGGAGATGTGTACAGGTGCCAAGTAGACAAGGGGTGGGCTTGTGATGGTTAATTTTATGTGTCACCTTGACTAGATCAGATATTGGTCAAATATAATTCTGGGGCCTTCTGTGAGGGTGCTTTAGGATAAGATTAACATTTAAATAGGTAGCCTGGGTCAAGCAGATTGCCCTCCCTGGCGTGAGCAGGCTCATCTAATCAGTTGAAGGCCTGAATGGAAAAAAGAGCTGAGCCTCCCCCAAGTAAGAGGGAATTCTTCCTGCCTGATGGTCTTCAAACTGGGATATCAGCTCTGCGGATTTTGGACTTGCCAGCCTTTCTAATTACAGGAGCCAATTCCTTATAATATCCATCTATCCATCTATCTCTATCATTATCTATCTATCTATCTATCTATCTATCTATCTATCTATCTAGCTAGCTAGCTATCTTCTATCTATATCTATTTTCTATCTATCTCATCCCTATCATCTCTGTTTCTATCACCTCTCTCTCTCTCCATTATTGATTCTGTTTCTCTGGATCTATCTATCTATCTATCTATCTATCTATCTATCTATCTATCATCTATCACTCTACACTATTGATTCTGTTTCTCTAGATCTATCTATCTATCTATCTATCTATCTATCTATCTATCATCTATCTCTATGCTATTGATTGCTTCTCTGGATCTATCTATCATCTATCTATCTATTATCTATCTATCTATCTATCTATCTATCTCATCTCTATCTCTTTATCTCTATCCTATCTATCTATCTATCCATTTCTATCATCCCTATCATCTATCTCTATACACTATTGATTCTGTTTCTCTGGATCAATCAATCAATCAATCATCTATATATCCATCTATCTATACACTATTTATTCTGTTTCTCTGGATCTATCTACCTATCTATCTATCATCTCTATACACTATTGATTCTGTTTCTCTGGGTCTATCTCTCTATATATATATACACTATTGATTCTATTTCTGTGGATCTCTCTCTGTCATACACTATTGATTCTGTTTCTGTGGATCTCTCTGTCTCTCTCTCTCTCTCATACACTATTGATTCTGTTTCTCTGGAGAACCCTGATAAATAAGGAAGACATGAGGGGGATGAGAGGAGAAGAGTTTTTCAGAGTGACAGCCTCCAGGGGCAGAGGGTTGGGTGGTTGGGAGCATTAATGAGGGGGTGGGAAGGGAGTAAAAAAGAGGAGACAGTTTTCAAAAGACAAGATCTGCTTATTTCTCTATTAGGACTTGGTTAAATAAATCTAAATACAAAAATCCAGATTTGTATAATAGGCAAAGTTAGAAGCCATAATACCTTTACAAAAGAGGTTTGCAAGGATGTTCTTTTCCTTTTTTCTTTTCTCTCTCTCTCTCTTTTTTTTTTTTTTTTTTTTTTTTTTTTTAGATAAGGACTTACTCTGTCTCCCAGGCTGCAGTGCAGTGGTGCAATCATAGCTCACTGTAGCCTCGAACTCCTGGGCTCAAGTGATCCTTCTGCCTCAGCTTCCCAAGCAGCTAGGAGTATAGGTACACACCACCATGCCTGGCTAATGCAAGGACATTTCTTAAAGCTGCCGACTGCTGTAGGCATTTGCTATAGGATTGTGTTAGCCCACTAGTACTTTGCCTAAAACCAGGTACTTCTGTGTCCAGCAAGATCACCAAGCCTCAGTGGAAGCTTTGTAGCAGCCCTACCTGGACCCAGCTCTTACCTCGTAGGATGGTGACATTGCGAAGGATTTCTCCATGCTGTGTGTCCACTGCCTTCATCTCCTCCACGATCATGGAGAGGTTCCGGACGTTGAGGTCCAGCCGGGCACTGAGCAGGCTGAAGCGCTCCCGGAGCAGGTCTGTGGTGCCCAGCATGATGGAGACAGACTTGTTCAGGTAGTAGAGCTCCTCGGCATGGGTGTGGAAGCCCAGCGTGCAGGAGAGCCGCACGTCATCCAGGTACTTGAGCATGCTGTGCACGTGGTTGTCGGTGGCATTGATGTTGGTGAAGATGGTGCCAATTTCAATCTCGTGAGAAGCCATGCGTCCTTCCAGAGACTCAAACCTCTCCACAGTGCGGTTCTGGGCGTAGTGGGTATGGTACTGAAGATCATGCATGTTCTCTTCGTGGTCATCCAGGAAGGACGAGATGTTATCCAGCTGCAGCTGCAAGCCCATGACCTGGAGTACCAGGTCGTGCATGCTCTCTGAGTTCTGGCTGATGCGCTGTGAGGAGGCCCCCAGGGTGGCCTGGATGTTCTTGACCGCCTCTCCAGTCTTGGTGGAGGTGGTGCGCAGGCCGCTGAAGAGCCGTGTGTAGTTCTGCCAGTCGGTGACAATCTTCTGGAGGGTCAGGGTCTCCTCGTCTGTCTTCCGCTGGATCCCGTGGATCCACTCGGAAGTCTGCCCCACGGTGAAGTTGATCTGGTGCACTGCAGCCTTGACATCGTAGCACTCCTGGGTGAGGTCCTTCAGAGAGAGGTCCAGGCCAGCTGTGGTGGCCTGCCAGCCTCTCACCTGGGCCAGGAAGAGCCCCAGAGACTGGTTAACCTGGTGGATGGAGAAGGAGCAACTGCCCATCTCCTGGGAGATTTGTCTGCTGGTGGTGGAGAGCACCTCCTGGGCCTGTAAGGTCTGGTCCAGCTGCACCTCCTGGGCCAGAAGCAGCTTCTGAATTCCCTCCAGCTCCTCCTGCAGTTTTCGGATCTCTGGCCCCAGCTGCCCAGCTTCATGGCAGAAAGAGCAGTTGTTCAGGGCTTTCGGATCTTTAGGGGAAAGGGATAACAGTTTGAGTTGCTGAAGGGCCAGGGTACGACGCTTCCTCTTTAAATTAAATATTTCAGAGCATAAGAAATTGGTTAGTAGCTTCCCAAACCAACTTCCTTCCAGAAGTCCTGTTATGAATTCCTTCTTGAAAAAGCCTTGCCACCTCTATGGAATCTCATTTTTACCGACTTTCTTGACTCTGATCTGAAATGTAGCATTTAGGATGTTTCCTCCTTCTCACCACCAAATTCTCAAGAATGTATCTTCATAATTTTTCTTAGGTGGCCAGGAACTTCCCATTTAAACTTTATTTAAAAATTTCTCCCAGTATTTTTATATCTGTTATCTTATTCAATCCTCTCAAAATAATACATTCAATACAATCAAGAGGAACGAGGTGCAGAGAAGTGGCTTGGTAAATAGCCACGTATATTGGTGCCAGACCAGAACCTTCTATTTGCGTCAGATAAGACCACTCTAAACCCTTCTATCATTGCTCCTTCTGTCTCATTCTCTCTTAGATTGTTCCAGGTTAAAGCAGGGGATAAAGAACATCAAGAATTGTGGCATGACCTAAGCAAATTAACAGAAGAACAGAAAACCAAAGACCACATGCTCTCACTTATAAGTGGGAGCAAGACTGAATACATGTAGATGCTGGGTGCAGTGGCTCACGCCTGTAATCCCAGCACTTTGGGAGGCAGAGGCGGGCGGATCACGAGGTCAGGAGATCGAGACCATCCTGGCTAACACAGTGAAACCCCATCTCTACTAAAAATACAAAAAATTAGCCGGGCATGCTGGCTGCCGCCTGTAGTCCCAGATACTTGGGAGGCTGAGGCAGGAGAATGGCACGAACCCAGGAGGTGGAGCTTGCAGTGAGCCGAGATCACACCACTGCACTCCAGCCTGGGTGACAGAGTGAGACTCCGTCTCAAAAAAAAAAAAAAAAAAGGTTGAATACATGTAGACATAAAGATGGCAACAATAGACTTCAGTGCATACTAGATGGGAGAGGAGGGAGGGGGTTATGGGCTGAAAAACCACCTATTGGGTACCTGGGCTCACTACCTGGGTGACAGGATCATTTCTACCCCCCCAAACCTCAGTGTCACGCAATATAACCAAGTAACAAACCTGCACATGTGTCCCTTAATCTATAACAACAAAAGTTAAAATTATGGAAATAGATAAATAGATGGCACATATTAAAAAAAAAGAAAAAAGAAAAGAATCGTGGCACAGCTTAAGGCAATGATGAGGAAAGGGTTGACCTGGCAGGAGGTTTTGCAAGGTCTTGAAACTCTCATCATTTCAGATGCATGAGGCTATTTTGGGAATGGACTATCTTTGGCTTCCTTCTCTGCCTGTAGACTCTGGCTAGATCTGTGGTCCACCCAGAATCCCCTGCTCCAGTCCTGGGAGTATCCCAGGGTAGCAGCCCTCCTCTAATGGATGGAGATCCGGCTGGGGAGGGAGCAGGGAGCTGGGGATAGCCTCTGTGCCTAGAAGGCTGGTGAAGGTTGCTTGGTGCTGGGGCACTGTAGCGTGGGGAGGGCACCCCTGCCCCACCCTGAAGATCACTGCATCACAGTCATCAGCCCATCTACTTACCCAGGCCCTGGAGATTTTTCTGCATTAACACAAGCTTCTTGTCATAAATAGACTGGGTCAAGGAGATGTCTTCGGAGAGAGAGTCCACTTTTCTGAAAACTGTAGGGAAAACAGATGAGAAGCTGGGGCAGGGTCTAAGCTCAGAGAAACAGCAGTCATTCCTTGAGAAGGCATCTTTATCAGCTCCTCTGCAACCAAAACCTTTCACCCTTCTTCTCTCAGGCTTCTTCATGGCGGTTAGGGAAGATACTTCTTATGGCCAGAGTTTGCCACAAGGCCCTTTAGAAACAGAATAACTCACCCCACACCCCACATGTTAGAAATAGGACCTGATCACAGAATGGAACAGGGAAAATTCAGAAAAAAAATTAAAAAAAAATTATTCTTATTCCTACCACCCAAAGGTTGCTGCCATCAGTGTCTTCATGGATTTCTTCTAGTCTTGTCTACATTGATAACCATTCTTCAGCTACATAGATATATACAGTGTTCCCCTCTTACCTGCAGGGGATACATTCCAAGACCCCCAGTGGATGCCTGAAACCTCAGTGTATGGAACCCTAAATATGCTATGTGTTTTCCTATACATACGTACTTAAGATAAAGTTTAATGTATAAATTAGGCCTAGTAAGAGACTAACAACAGCTAATAATAAAATAGAACTATTAGAACAGTATGCTATAATAAAAGTTATGTAAATATGGTCTCTTTGTATCTGAGAATATCTTATTGTACCATACTCATCCTTCTTCTTGTGCTGACATGAGATGACACCATGCCTACGTGACGAGATGCAGTGGGGTGAATGACATAGGCATTGTGACTTAGTATTGGGCTACTACTGACCTTGACCATATGTCAGAAGGGGGATCATCAAGCCATGATGTTGCCGATTGACCTAGGGTAACTGAAACTGCGGATAAACGGGGACTACTGTACTTTCTTAGGCAACAAAAGCAAAACTGGGATGTTCTGAACATCTCATCTGTTTTCTTTGATGCTGCTTTATCAGTATCATGTCACGGACATTTTTCCATCCAGGGTTAAATCACTTTAAAATCACTACTTTTGGTATCTGCATGGCACTCTATATAAATAATACAGCAATTATGTAAGAATCTCCTACTGTTGAGGACACTTAAAGTACCTCTTCTTCTGAGCTCATAAATAAAACTTGATATATAAATATAAGTAATGCTTAATTCTAGAAATAATCCTTATATATGATGGTTATGTGTATATGATAATTCTCTTGGGATAAATTGCTTAAAATAGAATTATGGGACCTAGGGTATTAACATTTTTGAAGTCCTTGATACAAGCTGCCAAACTGCTGCCCAGAAAAGATTACACCACTTTATACCCCACGGGCAGCCTTGCACTCTACTAAGGGGGCCATGTTGGCCAGTGGTTAGAGCACGTCTTGGCAGCAGCAGGACGCCTGGCTTTTTCCAGCGGGTGCCTGAATGGGCCTGGTAGTGAGGGAGGGCATGGGTTGTTCTGAGGTTCAGCAAGATGCTTCCCACAGATCCTCTTAAGGTCAAGTACAAGGGGAAAGAATTAGCACCACCAAGAGCACTGAGTAACACAGCTTCTAGTCCTAGTTTACATCACATTTGTTGGGTGACTTTGGGCAAGTCAGTTACCCTTTCTTGAGCTCAGTTCAATCATATGTAAAATGAAAATGTGGAGCTCGATGACTCTAAGGCTCTCATCAGCACCAAAATTCTATGCTTTCAAATTATTTGGAATCTCCAGGCTCCAGTTAATATTGTACATCTCAGAGCTGTCAGTAGATTTACTTAATTAGTAACAGCAACATGTTGAGAGAGTTTGGGAATAAGCACATGCTGTTACATGAGACAAGCACTGTACAGTTTACAATAGTTATGATTCCATTTGAGCCTCCCTACAATTAAGATTTCATGCATAGATGAACAAAGACACAAAGAGACTGAGTGACTTTGATTCCTATTCCTATGCTTCATTAATTCTACTTCCAAGCCAACAGCCGAGGCTCACTCCACTCCATATAATTCATTCACCTGTTCATTTCTTTTTTCTTTTTTTCTTTTTCTTTTTTTTTTTTTGTGAGACAGTCTTGCTCTGTCACCCAGGCTGGAGTGCAGCAGTGTGATCATGGTTCACTGCAGCCTCAATCTTCTGGGCTCAAGTGATCATCCCACTTCAGCCTCGTAAGTAGCCAGGACTACTGGCATGTGCCGCCAGGACTACTGGCATGTGCCACCATGCCCAGTTAATTTTCAATTTTTTTTTTAATTGAAATGAGTTGGGGTCTCACTATGTTTCCCAGGCTGGCCTCAAACTCCTGAGCTCAAGTGATCCTTCCACCTTGGCCTCCCAAGGTGTTGGGGTTACAGACATGAGCCACTGCACCTGGCCTTGCTTATTTCTTCATTGTGCATCTCAGGCTTAATAATTATATATTTGCTTTTTAAGCCATTTTTCCTCACTTTTTAGACATGATTTTTCTTCATCCTTATAAAATTATGTTTTATGTAGACAATATGGCAAATAGTACATATACATCACTTATAAATAAATAGGTATATTTTGGGGCTGTGACGCTAACAATTTTTTCTTTTCTAACATTTAATTTAAAAATTTTTCAAACAAAAGAATAGAAGGACTTGTACAGTGAAGACCTATATGCCTATTGCCTAGATTCTACAAGTAGCATTTTTCTGTATTTATTTTATATTCATCCATCTCTTTCACCCATTCATCAATCCATGTAAATTTTTGAATGCATTTTAAATGAATTTTTTACTGATGGGATGCACGGTCAAAAAAGTTTAGGGATCACTGCTCTAGACCAGGGGTGTTGCAAATTATGGCCTGCAGGTGAAATCCAGCCTAATGCCTGATTTACAGGAGTTGCCACCCCCATTCATTTACAGACTGCTTGTGGCTGCTTTTGCTCTGTGACGAGTTTGGTTGTGACAAAGATTGTATGTAACCTGAAAAGCCTAAAATATTTACTATGTAGCCTTTTACAGAAAAAAATGGCCATAATCAGCTCTAGATTATAAGCTCCATGAAGGCAGGGTCTGTGTTTTACTAAGCAGTATACTGCCCAGTATAGAATATAGTTCTTGGTCCCCAGTATGCTCTTGATTTAGAAAAAAAAACTTGATTAAAATGAATAGAGTTGGTTTGTAATGTCTGCTGACTGATTTTCCCAACCCTCTGGACTTTGGTCACAGTTCTGGTTGTAAAGCATTGACCAGTCTATCCACAGACTCACACATACACCATACACACACACACACACACACACACACACACGCTTTACAAATCTATAATCATTCTTTCAACAAATATTATTGGGCACCTGCCATTTAGGCCAAGATGGTGCCAACACTGTTCTAGGGACTTGGGATACCCAAGCTGGAGGCAAAAACAAAAAAGGAAACCCAAAGGTCTCCCGTGGTTCACAAACACACACTCCTCACCCAGGTTGTTCTGATCCTCTGTCCATTCACTCTGGATCTTGGTGCAAATCCTGTCCCCTTCCCAGGTCTGTACCCTCCCGTGAGGAATGGGGCCAGCCTCCCGCTCCAGCCTGCCAGGCTGACTCATGGATGTTATGCACATGACAGCGTCTCACATTCTGTCATCCTCTCTGAAACTCTTCGGTGCCTGCGCTCTTCTCTGGGCCTGATCCTGTGGCTCTTGGAGCTTTGATAATGGCCCCAGGTGCCTTGAGTGCTGTGAGCAGAGGCCCTAAAAGGGGTGACCAGAAATCTTGACAAGTTCTCTGACAGCAAGTTTGTGGCCTCTGATAGGCAGACCGTGGCTCCTTTCCTCCTCTGGCCTGGGATTTTTGCCACTTTCTGAAATGCCAAACCTTGTGAATTGATTTAGCAGACACAGGTGGTGATGGGCTTGGGAAGTTCTGAAATCCTTGGTTCTTAAATCTAGCTGCGGACTGGAATCCCCTGAAGGGATTTACAAATGACTAAGGCCTGGGTCCTACCCAGAGATGATGATTTAATTCATCTGGAGTGAGTGGAGGGGGTACTCTGGCACTAGTATTTTTAAATGCTTTCCAAGGGATTCCAGTATCCCCTGACAAGAGGGAAGAACCATGCCCCTTGATGGTGAAATGTAATTGACACAACTCAGTGTTCCCAGTGCCTGGCACAGAGCAGGCTCCCGGCTTTTGTTGGATTAATTAATGCCTTCGGATTACTGGAAGACGACTTGTGTCTATTCAAATCATTAGTATGCTGGCCTCTTGCCTTCAAGCTAAGAAGGCTGGTTACCGAATATCTCCAGCCAGGGCCAGGACGAGGGGCCTCTCCTTAGGGATGTGCTCAGGCTCAGGGTCTGCATGAGAGCAGGGGGCCCCCCTCGGAGCCTCGACTGCCTCTCCCTACTCCTGGCCTTGTTTCTAAAATCCAGTAGATTGGAACAAACAAGCCTACCAGAGCCCGGATTTTCAAAGTTTGAAGCTAAGAGTGGAATGGGATTGCACTCTTAGCACTCTTAGTGGAATGGGATTACAAACATCAAATTTGTTGTAACAAGTTTACCACAATCTGTCAGCATCTGGAAGGCAGAAGTGACTTGCCTCTGGCTGTGTGCTGTGACCTAGGTCAACTACTACAAACCCTAATGTGTATGAGAAGAACCAAACCTCAGATCCCTGGGTCTCACCTGCAGGACCCCCCAGATTCCTTGGTCTCAGCAGGTCTGGCTGAGGGAGACCCAGGAATTTGCATTTTAACAAATACTGGAGGTGAAATTGCTGCAGGTAGGCATCCAGCCTCACTTTTAGAAACACACAGACCATAAAAGGGGGCTTAGAAGTCACTCAATCCAGTGATCTCAACCCTGGGTGAACAACAGAATCATCAGGAGAGTTGAAAGATACCGAATTAATTCCACGATCGGGGTGGGGCCTAGACATCGACATTCTTTAAAGCTCCAAGATGGCTGTAACATGGAGCTGAAACTGAGAAGCACTGACCTGGTCGTATCATCTCATTACACCAATGGGAAAGAAGGGGTCCCCAGAGGCAGGTGCCTTCCTTAAGGCCACAGATCTTGTCAGTTGCCAGTGTCTGCAGTTTGCATTAGGCATAGAGATCCCCTAGCCAGGAAGATGCTGGCTCTGGGCCCTGGGATACAGATGTCAAGTGTTTGTCTTTGCAGGGGAACTTTTGGTGCTGGATCCCTGATCAGACACCCCCCTGCAGCCCGGGGTGGGAAAGCCCCGGACTCACCCAGAGAGGCCAACACAGCCACGGCCACCAGGAGCAGGGCCAGGAAGAGGTAAAGAATCCGCACCGATGTGTGCAAAGATAGGTTCTTCTGGCAGCGGCTGCAGCGGGGCCCTGGCCGGCCTGTGGGGGACACAAGGAGGACAATGGCTTAGGCCAGGGGCCCAGGTTGGAGCTGAAGGGTCAGTTCCATGTTCCTGCTCTGGTCTGTCTCATCACATTCAAACCAGGCTCAGAAGGGGAGCTGTTCTCGACCCTCATTCTCTACCTGTCCTACCTCCTTTCTCTAGGTGCTGGTGCTTTCTGGAATGCAGGAGACCGAGTCAGGACTTCAAAGAACAGCCCCCAGCACTACCATCATCCTCTCTCCATGGTGTCTTCATTCGGCCCATGGGGAGGGGAAACACCTCTTCCCTCTCCATTGGTCCTACTGAGGACCCACAGGATGAGCAGCCAGCCTGAGGCCCCACTGAGTGACCAACTTGTCTGGGCTTGCCCAGGATCTTCTGGGTTTTAGCACTGAAAGTCTCCCATCACAGGAGCTCCTCAGCATGGTGCCAATCATCCTGGTTTGCTAAGATTGTCTGGGTTTTAAAACTGAAAGCCTGCCGGGTACAGTAGCTCATGCCTGTAATCCCAGCACTTGAGGAGGCTGAGGCAGGGGGATCACTTGAGCCCAGGAGTTTGAGGCCAGCCAAGGCAACATAGCAAGATCCCATCTCTATTTTAAAAAAGAAAAAAGAAAATGAAAAGCCCCACACCCTGGGAATCCCCTCAGTCCCTGGCAAACCAGAATGTTGGTTACCAGTCCCCAAACTTTTCAGGGAACCAGAAGTTCTCCTGGAAACCAAACAAATAGTCATGGTCCACCAGTTGAATTGTTGGCATGGAGGAAAGAGGGAACCAGATGGTCCTGAATACACAGACAGGTGGCCAACACCCAGTGGGAATGCAGTGATGGCCCAGCTGCGAATTCCTAAGGTGAACTCACCTTTAGCCACACATTCTGACTACTAGGACGTTTAAAAATCCTGATGCCCAGATCACACTCCAGGCCAAATAGGAATTTCCAAGGGTTGGTCTCATGCATCCATGGGTGATTGCAATGAAGAGCCAAGGTTGAGAACAACTGCTCTACTCTACACCAAAGTCACTGAGACCCCATTCCAAACAGCAGTTCAGGTGGCATGGGACACAATGAAGGGGACAGTTCCAGGCCAGCTAGAAGACAGGCCCCAGGGACAGGGTATGTAGCTCTGGGAGATGGCAGAAGTCCCTGATGGGTCTCGGGAGGACCCCAGGAGACAGGTGGCACTTGTGTCAAGCTTTGATTTCAGGCCAAGCACAGTGGCTCACACCTGTAACCCCAGCAATTTGGGAGGCTGAGGCGGGCAGATCACTTGAGGCCAGGAGTTTGAGACCAGCCTGGGCAACATAGCAAGACTCTTGTATCTACAAAAAATAAAAAAAATTATCCAGGCATGGTGGTGCGTGCCAACAGTCACAGCTACTTGGGAAGCTGAGGTGGAAGGATCACTCGAGCCCAGGAATTTGAGGCTGCAGTGATCTGTGGTTGCACCACTCATACTAGCCTGGACGACACAGCAAAACCATGTCTTTAAGAAAAAAAAACATTAAACTCCTTTGACTTCACTGGTACTGCACGCCCAGGGCCGTGAACTCTGCCCTTTCACCATCCAGGAAGCAGTGGGGAAAGGACACCCAGGCTTTTGAAACCACCTAAAGAGACAAATCTCTCACTGGCCTGGGGATGGAGACAGGGATCTCTCAGCCCAGAGCGGAGATCAGGGGCAGCCCCAGAGTCCTTACCCTTCTGGGTGCATGGGAAGGTCGGCATGTCCTCGTCGTCACCCGCCAGGTCCTCTTCTGTAACGCACAAGGCATCTCCATCGCCGCCGGCCGACCTCACTATAATGAAGCCAGTGCCGTCAGACCCAAAGCCATCCCAGGCCTCTCCAGCAGCCCCTTTTATTTACCTGTCCCCATATCCCATGCCCACCTCTACCCCTGAGCCAGCTCACTGAGCTCCAGGTGGCCTGATGTAAGCTGCAAAAAGGGAGCGGACATAAGAATCAAGTGGCTGAGGAGCTGGGATGTCCCACCCCTCTGGGTGAGGAGAGCTCCCCATTTTCCACACGCTGGGAAAGACACATGGGCCACCTCAGTGCCTGCTCTCTCTGGAGCTTGCTGAAACCCATGAAGGTGGAGTAAGGAGAAATAAGAGCTGGCTGCTTGCTCTGGCTTAGCGTCCTTCTATTCCCCAATACTTGGTCACCGAAGCAGAATTCCTCTTCTCCAGGGACAAGGCTGAATCTGGCCACAGCATAGTCCCCACCAAGACTCTGCCTCCAGCATAGCCAGGAGGAGGCCAGAGGGAGGAGGAGATGACAGGATGGGCGCAGATCCCTGCTTCACACAATCTCACCTAGGACCCATCAGGGTGTCAAAGGGCCTTGGGCGGAGCAGGTCTCCTTTCAGAGTTTGATTCGGTGCTTATTCTCTGGGACAATATGGTCCCTAACTAAAACCTAGATGATGTATCCCTCACTCAGAAGATTCCTCTAGTTCCCCAGACACCCTTCACCTCCCACTCCCTGTAAGTAAGACCTGGCCTTTTCTTCCCTTTCTCCTTCCTTCCATCCTTCCTTCCCTACTTTCCTCCCTCCTTTCCTTACCTCTTTCCTTCCCTTTCTCCTTTCCTTTCCTTTCCTTCATTCCTTCCTTCCTTTCCTTCCTTCCCTACTTTCCTCCCTCCTTTCCTTCTCTCTCCCTCCCTCCCTCCTTTCTCTCTTTCTCTCTCCTCCCTCTCCCTCTCTCTTTATCTCTTTCTTTGCCGTTTTGTTGGGTCCTTAAGGATTCCCTGCTTTCTTTCACCTTTAGCTATGCACTTAGCAGTATGTCTGTAGTTTATTTAATGTCTACATTTTATAGCCCGAGAATATTTTAAGCTGGTAATGCTAGAAGTAGAAGCTTCAAGTTTTCCTTTTTTCCTTTTTTTTTTCTTTTGAGACAAAGTCTCACTGTGTCGCCCAGGCTGGATTGCAGTGGTGCTATCTCGGCTCACTGCAAGCTCTGCCACCTGGGTTCACGCCATTCTCCTGCCTCAGCCTCCCGAGTAGCTGGGACTACAGGTGCCCGCCACCACGCCCGGCTAATTTTTTGTATTTTTAGTAGAAACGAGGTTTCACCATGTTAGCCAGGATGGTCTCCATCTCCTGACCGTGATCCACCCACCTTGGCCTCCCAAAGTGCTGGGATTACAGGCGTGAGCCACTGCGCCCTGCCTCCTTTTTGTTTTTAATGCAATAAAGTGCTGGGTTTTGCCTCAAGGCAATCTTCACAACATCTTATAAACTTTACAGTCCAGAGAGTCACATTTATAGACAAAAAGACTGAGGTTCAGGGAAGTGAAGAATGTTGCTTAGCAGCCCACAGAATAGAAGTGGTGAAGCCAAGATGTGAACTCAGAAATCTTTTCTACCATACCTACAACCACCTTGAGGTAATGAGCAAAGGTTCCACAAAGTGCTAAGAAACCTTGCTTCTGCAACTACAAGGTCAGCGGGTAGACAAGAAGAGGGTGGTACATGAATGAGCTGCGGAGCCTCGGGGGCTCCTGACCATGATTGATGGGCATCTTGAGCCGCATCCTAGACCTGTGAGTACCTGAGGCCCAAATGCCATGCCACGGCCATTGTGATCAACATAGGAGCTGAGATGCAGTTGGCAAGGCGCTGTTGGTAAGCAAAGGCAGCTCTGAATGGACTCAGTAGGGAGGGGACTGAGGGTGACCCCAAATTAAAAATGCCACCATCAAGACCACGAGTGCCCTCTGCTCGGCCTTCACGCATGGCTTAAACGTCACTTCCCCAGCAGTCTTTCTTGAGCTCTCAGACTAGCGTAAGGCCCTGTTGCCCACACCTCACATGCTCTGTGCTCTCCCTAGGAGAATGCTCCTCTCCTGTCCATGCGGCAGCTCTCTTCCCCAGCGCTTCAGTTCCAAGGGCAGGGACTATCTGTCATGTTCACTGCTTTATCCAACATCCCTAGCACAGTGGCCGGCACAGAGAGCCGGCACAGAGAAAGGCTCAACAAACACAATTTCAAATAAACCAATGAAGGATTTGGTATTAGGCTTCCCAGCAGTTCTATGCCTGCCTGTGGAGCTCTCTGGGGAGCTTTCAAGGGTCCACCCCCAGAGATTGAATTAATCTGGGGCGACAAAGGAGACCTGGGGTTTAGGACTTTGAAAGCGCTCTCACATCTGTTATCCCATTTGATCCCTACAACTAGTCTGAGAGACAGAGAGAGAACATTTTCTCCTGATTTGATAGGTGAGGAAACTAAACTTTGTGTATGTGTGCACATGTGTGTGAGGGTGTGTCCGATGCATGTGTGAGTATACATGCATGCCTGCGTGTGTGCCTGTGCTTGCACATGTGTGCACGTGCATTTTTGCCCATGAGTGTGCATGTGTGTGTACCTGTGTATGTGTGGTGTGAGGTTGTTAATGCCTGGCTCAAGTCATAGAGCTGGGCAGTGGCAAAGCTTCCGGAATCCTGGTTTTCCTCTCCACAATAGGAGATTCCAGGTAGGTTTGCTTTCCGGGGCAATAGTGTGTGTGTGCGGGGGGGGGGCGGGGGCGGTCAGGGGTGCGGGCAAGTGCTTTGGAGGGTAAAGCGGGAACAGCAAGGAAGCATGAGAAGTTTGTTTTCATGCATATCCTAAGAAGCACTTTCAGCTCTCCTTGGGCAGCTGTCCCATCGTCAATCTGCCAACAGTTTACAAGGAAGCCTGGCCTGGGCAGTCACCAGGATTATGATCTCTTTCCCATAAATGAATGGCTGGGGCAAGGCAGGGGAATTCCTTGGTACCTTCTGTTTCTGTCTGACCAAAACCTCACCCTAGTAGCCATGGCCTCTCACCTCCAGAGACCCCAGTCAGAACCACGTTGTGGGCTGTGGGCTGTATTCACCACTGCCCCGGGGCTACCGTGGGGAGGTATTCCTTCCAACCCTTAGAGCAGAGCTGCCTCCTTGGCCGGGTTCCTCGTTTCTCTCCATCCTTGATGAGCTCCTCTGCCCTCCCCCGTGACTGGGCCTCCTCCCTGTTCTGGCTCTAGGGCCCATTTCATCACTTCACTGTTTATAGCCTTTGCAGGGAATCTGGGATGACTTAAATCAAGCAAGGCTGACACCAGCCTTCAGCAAACACCCTCTCAAAAAACACAGAGCTTTGTTATAACCAGCTTTCCCAATGGACAGCCCCCCAGATTAGCAACTGTTAGCCAGTGGAAATTGCTAACGAGGCTTTCCAGTAACGCACCGAGTGACCCATGGGAAGGGAAGTGGCGGCTGCCAGCGAAGATCTTGGATCTCTCTAGACTAGGGGGACCACGGGTGTTTGGCCATCTTCCCTCCACTGACATCTCAGCTCCATAACTCACAGCCCTCCCCAATCCCCAAAGAGGTCTTCTCTCTCTAATCCCTTGGATTTCCTGTCTTCCAGCACTAAGCCCCGGACTGTGGGGACCCCTGACTCACCTATGTCTGGAATGCTGTAGTAACTCACCACTGTAGCCTCGTTCACTTAATGAGAACATAATCCAAAGCATTTGTGAGGCTCTTATAAGCCGAGCCCTTTGCAAGCACAAGCTCATTATGTTCATGTTATACCAAGATTGTTCTGATCAGAATATGTATGGATGAATAAACAGTCACCAAGAATGAAAAAGCCCTGGCTGAGGCCCCAGAGTAGTGATTGATCAGAGGATGACTGATTAGGCAGGCATCCGTAGTGCCTCCTTGAACTAGGCCAAGCAGGGTTAATAGAGATGGGAAAAGAATTTCCTTCCCCTCTCCGTCTTCTATGCCTATTCTCCTGCCATTAAGGGCAAACTGACTTAGAGTTAGGTGCACCAGCTCTCCAAAGGGGTTTCAGGGATAGAGAACCACAGCCTGAGAGGGTGGGAAGGGAATTTGCAAATTCACCTCCATCATGTCACAAAGGCTCAGAGAGGTTAAGTGGCCTGGAAGCTGGTTAGTGGCTCCTAAATATCCAAGAATCTGAGGCAGAATCCAAACACGCATTTGAGTGTCTGCAGAGTTGCACATGCCCATCTCAGAAACGCCTCAGAACTGGGACAAGACCTTTCCATATAAGCCTGATATCTGTTGACAGGTCACGCTCCTAGCAGTTTGCTACATCCCTGTGGTCAGGAAAGCTCCCCTCAACTGCTTTCAGCACAGGGTTGATCACATAGTGGATGTTCCATAAAGATGTGTTTTCTGGCCCTCGGCGAAGGCCTATGTCTTCAGTTAACTGTTATCCTCTGCTATTTTAATCAGGAGCTCATGTGTATTTAAAAAATGAAGATTGATGACTTAAAATAGGGTTGGAATCTGGTTTATTCTTAGGATTCTCCATGGCTAGGGAGTGTTGGGGACGATGGATGCATTTGGAGTGCAAAGGCTTAATTTATATACCTTTCGAAATTTATAAAATTTTGCAGCGAAGGCGAAATTTATATACCAAGGGCTGGTGTTTGAACTGCAAAGGAATGAGCTGGTGGAGGACTGGGTAGGAGCAAAATGTTGGCTCTACTTCCCCTCCCCTTCGCAGAACAGAACAAGGGACATCATATTCTTCTCCTGAAGCTCCAAGGGTTCTTGTTTGGGGGGGTCGTGTTTTTCCATTGTTGTCCCAGTTAATTGCTTTTCAATACCACCTGTATGTAATATGTCTATAGCTCTCTAAAGTAAGGCGCTGGTTCTTGTCTGTGTCATGTATAAAGAAATGTAGGACTCTTGACATGCTGAAAATCGAGGAGTGCCTGAGTGTGAAGCATGCTGGGTGTCTGGAAGGGGTAATGAAATCATCATGTTATGATAGGCTCTAGGTGTCTAGAGAGAGACTCCGTTTATAGGAAGGCAGAAATAGCACTGGTTGCCTTCTGTCTCTCTTCTCTCTCTCTCTCTCTCTCTCTCTCCCCTTCTTTTCTTCATTTTGTGGATTCCAGGAGCAAGGTTATTTTGGCAGGAGCGGATGGGCTTGGAAGAGGACACTGGAGAAGATAAGGTGATGCTGGGACCTAAAAACCTATGGGAAAACTCCTCTCTGGGAACAAACTTGGGACAGCATGGGAATCATGAAAGAACGAACATCTAAGACTCCATGAGCCAGTTTCTGCCTGCTCTGATCCCAAGGCCCCAAGGGACCACAGCTGCTATGAGGGAGGGCCATGGTCCCTGTCATAAAGAAGCCAGCCCCATGGATTTCCTAGTGAAAGGCACAGCCAGGCCCCAATCTTCTTGCAGTGATTACTACCCAAATCGCAGGCAAGGTGCTTAGAAAAAAAAGTTAAATAGCCTGGGAAGGCCAAGGCCAAGGCCAAGGCTGCAAACCCAGACCCATAAAATAGTGGTGACCACTAGAAATTTGAAAGGGCCTCTCTTCCTGTCATCCCTTAGGTCACAATATCCATCTCAAACTCCAGAAAGGACAGCCACAAGAGGAGAAATTCCTTTTTTTTTTTTAAGTCTGCTCTCACAGAGCCACGTAGCAAGTTTGATGGAGGGTGCATGCCTTGGCACATTGCTAAGCACGGCCACTGACTCCACTGGGGTTGAGCTTGGTTCAGCTCTCCCTTTGGGGGTAGAAAATAGCCCGGACCTGTTAACCAACTGCTAACTCAACTGTGGTCACCAATGCCGGCTTTCTTTTGGTTGACCAAAAATGTGTCCTTGGTTCCCTCTTTCGCCTTTCTGGGACTGCATTCTTCCATCTGAGTCAACAAGGGGGAGAGATTCGAGGAACTGAATAAAAGGTCTTTCTTTGGGCACTTCAAGGAACATATTTTGATAATTATCTTCTGCAGGGTTCACAGAGTGGGTTTTCAAAACAGCCAATTGGATCGGTAAAAATAAAGATTTCAGAGTCTTCTCTGGAGCCAATGCTATATTTAAAGTGCAGAATAGCTATTAGTTTAAGGTTGGAGAACGCTATAAGTAAGGTTGCAAAATTGTTTTCATTAGAGCCCTTCCGCCACTACCCCCTCTCCACAGGCTTCCTTTGTGGGTTTGTCTGTAATCGGTTGGGAATCCGCCTGCCCGCTCAGGTCTCAAGACACAGGTCCTTTCCCTTCAAATCTTCTTGCTCAACAAGTTGTCCTTTTCTGCTTCCGTGGCTCTGCCAGTTTCTCTCCTCCAGCACTCGCCCCTTTTTTGGTCCCCATCCTCAAGCTCCTGCATCCCTAAAGCCACATCTGCTGCTCTGAGACAGGCTTCCCTCCCGGTTCCTGCTACCTCCACCTGAATCCCTTTGGCTGCCTCCCACCCTGTTCTTGGTAACCACAGAGGTTGTGGGTAAATCCCTGCTTTATCCTAAATCCCCTTTATCCTAAACAACTTTCTTGCCCTCAACTTTTCTAACTTGGACCCTATTCCAGGTGGTGCAATTCTTCATTAGATGAGCACGGCCCACTCTGCACAGACATTCAGCATCCTGGCCTTGCCCGCTAAAGGCCAATAGCAATCCCTGGTCATTGTGACAACCCCGAATGCCCACCCATTTCTAAATACCTGCTCGCAGGCTGGTGCTGCCTCTAGTTGAGACAAGAACCTAGGCTACTCACTCAATGCAACAGACTCCCCCCATTACTTACACACTGATCTCCTCTCTGTCCACAGCACCAACCCCCCCGACTCCCCTGAACCCCATGAATTCAGAGGGATGGGAGGGGTGGGAATCACTGGCTTTCTTTTCTTTTCTTTTTTTGTTTCTTTTTATAGACAAGGTCTTGCTCTATTGGCCAGGCTGGAGTGCTGTGGTGCGATCATGGCTCAGTGCCGCCTAGACCTCCCGGGTTCAAACGATCCTCCCACCTCAGCCTCCTAAGTAGCTGAGGCTACAGGTGTGTGCCATCACACCCAGCTAATCTTGCTTATTTTTTGTAGAGACAAGATCTCACTATGTTGCCCAGGCTGGTCTCAAATTCCTGGCCTGAAGTGATCCTCCTCCCTGGGTCTCCCAAAGTGCTGGGATTACTGGCATGAGCCACCATGCCTGGCCAGGAATCACCAGTTCTCTTGATCCCCGTTGTCACCCCTGATCCTGCAAATCCTACCCTGTCTCGCATGGGCACCCCACTTCCCTCCTCTGAGTTTCATGTTCCTTATGCGTAAATGGTGGGGAGATCGTCCGCTTCAATGAGCTGCTGTGAAAATCCAATGAGACGTATATGAAAAGTACCTGGTACATCGTAAATGCTTAATAAATAGTAGTAGCAGCCACTTTTATTAGGATTATTTTTCTATCCTATTCCAATTAATGCTGCCATTTATTGCCATCTCCCAACCCCCATCACTCCCAGGACCAATTTCCAACTTACAAGAAATCAGTGTTTCAAAACATATCCTATGGGACACTAGTCCCAAATTATTCTTTGTGAAAAAGGATTATTTGATCAAGTAAGTGTGGAAAACATGGCATACTCTATCGCCATCTTAGAGATTCACATTCACATAGTAAGCATTTTGAAAAGTCCTGCCAAAAAAAATAATAAGCCCATTTAAATCTGTGTTTAACTCCACGTTTCTCAGACTTATTTGGTCATGGAACTTCCTGCAGATCTTGAAAAATAAATGTATCTTTTAATTCTGGGACCTATGTTCAGAGGCAGAGGGACTCTGACTTTAGGGAACACTGTTCTGGACAATGACATCACCTGGATTGGATGAATTCTTCATTCTGTCTCCTGCCATCAACTTGAATGGAAGCAGCTTTTCTGTTGAAACTCAGGGCTCTGGACATGGGATTTACTGTCTCATCTCTACACATCCTGCCTGCCCTCTGGAGCTTAAGGCTTATTGCTGTTCCATCTGCTTGATCTCAAGCCCCTTGCCTTCTTCATCCCCAATGCACTCAGCCTTTCCTCGCTCTCCTTCCTCCAAGTTCTCATTCGCCCTGACCTCCAAGCCCAGCCCAGTCCCCAAGGGTTGAGTTCTGCCCCATGGAGCCTGTAGTTCTCTCTCCTGGCCATGGTCCCTTCCATCCTCAGCCTGCTTTCTTCGAATTGCACTAGAGAAGCCTGGAGCTGCAGGAGAGTGTCAGAGGGGGGCATGCATTTGGCTTCAGCCAAGTCCTGCCATCTGGATCCTCACTTCCCATTCCTGGGTTCCTCCTCAGGTCAGCCCACCTCATTCCCCAAAGATGAGCTCACCCCCTCCTTTTCTGAAAGGATCAAGACCATGAGGTTCCAACTTCTTTCTTTATCATCCACTAACTCTGTCCAGATGCCTACACTTCAAACCCAGTCTGGGGGAGGGATGGGGAAAGAGGCCTTCTCGTGCATTCTGAGTAGCCTGGCACCCTCTGTCAATACTGCAAGGGCGAGTGCCCTTTGACTCAGTAATCCTCCTTCTAGGAACTTCATGTTAAGAGAATAATTACACAATTAGGCCAAGGTGTATGTGTAAAGGTGATCACTGCATGCTATGATAAATCTGAGGGAAAATGCAAATAGCTAAAATGCCCATCTCCAGGGGATTGGTTACATAAATGCTCGTAGAGTCTTACTATGGGATGTTATGAAACCATTTTTTAAAAATACTGCAAGCTGGGTGCAGTGGCTCACGCCTGTAATCCCAGCATTTTGGGAGGCTAAGGCAGGAGGATCACTTGAGCCCAAGAGTTTGAGATCAGCCTGGGGAACAGGGTGAAACCTCATCTCTACAAAAAATACAAAAATTAGCTGGGCATGGTGGCATGCATCTGTAGTCCCAGTTACTTGGGAGGCTGAGGTAGGACAATTGCTTGAGCCTAAGAGGTTGAGGCTGCAGTGAGCCATGATAGTGCCACTACCCTCCAGCTTGGGCAACAGAGCAAGACTCTGTCTCAAGCAAAGAAACAAACAAACAAAAACAAAAGCAACAACTAAAAACCAGCACTAAGAACAAAAACGCTAAGTAATCGGGAGGCTGAGGAGGGAGGATTGCTTGAGGTCGGGAGCTTGAGACCAGCCTGGGCAACATAGCGAGACTTCATCTCTACAAATAATACAAAAATTAGCTGGGCATGGTGGCACCTGCTTATAGTCCCAGCTACTTGGGAGGCTGGGAGGATCCTTGAGCCCAGGAGGTCAAGGCTGCAGTAACCTACAATGGTACCACTGCACTCCAGCCTGGGCACAGAGTGAGACTATGTCTCAAAGTAAAATAAAATAAAAATAAAAATAACATGGATAGTGTAATCTTATCTACATGAAAAAAATCTGTGCAAACATACACAGAATGATTTCTGAAGAATGTTCATCTACATTTTGTCATTTATTATCTCTACAGGGCAGGAGTTCACGTGAGTGAATGTTTTTCCTTTTTGGAATTTTTTGATTTTTAAAAAAATAATAAATGTGTTATAAAAAGGTTAAATGCAGCTGCTCGTAATGCAGAGTCTATGTCTGTAACCATCTTTTCTCCTTCCCTTGCCTCCCGATAAAGAGATTCTTTCTTCTCAAAGCAAGTCTCCCTCAATTCCACCGCTCTGTCCCCAAGTCCCCCCATGCCTCTTCTGTCCCTCCCCCTCCCAATGAGCACGGGCCATCCCTGCCTTGAAATCCTTTGAGCTGGGCCCTGCCTCCCACTCTAAGGACACAGCTCCTCCTGCGCCTTTGCTTCTGATCCACTCAGCCCCTCTGGCCCTTGCAACCTGGCCTTCTCTGATCCATGAATCCTGAGCTAACTCTGCTGATCAGCAGTCAACGCGGTGGGTCATTTCCTCCCCCTTGGAACTTTCTCCTCTCAATTTCCATGACATTACCATCATGGTTCTCTGCCTGTGTCCTGGACTGCTCCTCTTGGCTCCTTTACAAGCTCATTTTCTTCCTCCCACTCTCTAAAAGTAGAGGTTTCTCAACATGGGCTAAGGCCACGAGAGAATATCTCCAGGGGCAAGTGGCAAATAGGCCTTCTCCTGACAAACCCTCCCAGGTCTCTCCAATGTCAACCAGACACAACCGCGTGTCCTTTATGGAGCACTCAGGTCCTTTCTGGCTTAGGGCTCCCTCAACTGCAGGCCATCTCTCTCCCCCACCACCAAACACTCTTCCCCCAGGACCTGCTGTCCAACTTTTCCCAGCACTCCTTCCTGCCCTCTTCACTGACCCCATCCAACTCCTCCCCACCCTTCAGCTCCTCCCTGAAGCCTTTCTGAACTGCCCAACTTGAAATGCTCCCTTTCTCTCCCGGGATTCCCATCCAATCTCCCGTATATGCCGTGCATTTGTTCTTTTGTGGCATCTGCCTGGATGATTCGGTTCTCGTCTCAGGTGTGCACGTCTTATTTCTGCTGGGAGGGCAGAAAGCACCCAGGCTTGCCTTCCAACTAGCGTGCTTCCTCCCTAAAAACAGGAACTCCATACATGTTGGCTGACTGAAAAGTGTGGGCTGGGGCAACAACTCAGAATAACCCATTTTTTAGCTTGGGTTCAGGTGAAGGGGAAGGTGTCTCATCTGAACCATGAAGAAGGTGCCTGCAGGTCTCCACCTGGAGACACTGAGGACACCGATGGAAATACAGCTGTGAAGCCCAGAGAGGCAAATCTGGTGCCGTCAGATTTGCCAGCTCCCACATGTCACATCTTCGAGGCTGGGAGAGATTGTTCAGGGAACGGGTGCCAGCAAGAACCAGGAGCCTGTCTGTGGCTGAAACCGAGGACGCATTTCGAAGAACAGCAGCAAAGAAGGAAAGCCAGGAAAAGAGCCCAGCCCACCCCCAAACTCTCTCGCTGGGAACTCCCTTAAGACACTTATCACTGTTAGTCTTTTTTTGAGTGACTTGGGCACAAATCCTATGTGTCCTAGTAAAGAGTAAGCTCCCTGAGAGAAAGGGCAGCATCTGAGCTCTTTGTAGCTTCCTCAGTCCTTAGACATATATAGACATACAGAGCCGGGCACCTGGCAGTCGCCCCATCGCTGTTTGTTGAATACAGGCATCTTTCTGCATGTTTACGGAATGCCTGCGTGAGGTTCTGACGATACCATGGTACAGTACAGATGTGCACACTGAACAGACTTAGTGGACACCCCCTAAGTGCCAGAAACAGACAGAGACCCCACTGTCATGAAACTTACACTCTGATGCCATCCCATGGGATCATCTGGTCCACCTGGATGAGGGGACTGACCCCAGGGAGTACCAGGGACTTCATCCCAGTGATAAAGCTGGCCTATGACAGGGCTGGGCCTGACCTTGGGACTCAGTGCTCTACACACACACACACACACACACACACACACACAATCACTAAATTATACATGATCAAACATGGGCAGTGCATGTATGAGAGCCATGCCCAGCTATGCCACCCTGTACATCAATTCTAACACCCAGAACAGCTGCCTGTCCTTCACGGAAACTGCCAAGCTATCCATCAACCTAGCCTACTGAGAAACAGAAGGCTTTTTCCTCGCTCTCGATGAGCCTTGGGACCTGAGTCTTCAGTTATTAGGCTTACCCCCAGCTAGAGGGCAAAGTGACTGTTTTGGCTGGGGGTGGGAGTGGGGCCGATGTTTGAGGATTTGGAGCCGAACTCCAACATCTGAGCCGCTGGGCTCCCTGGACCCCTCAGTTAGGCTGTCTGGTGGCTCTTTTCACCTTCACCACATCAGCTCCTTTTCTTCTAGCCCTGGCTCCTTCCCGTGCCCCTGGGGAATGAGGTCAGGCTTTCTGGGGCCCCCAGCCTGGCCGCTCATGAGTGGAGATCCTCTCCTCTCGGCCAGAGGAGCGGTGCAGGGCGGATTCCTCCTGGGATTGCATCGCTGTGTTTTCACAGCCCCTCCTCTCCCCACTTCCACCCTTTGCCTAAATGAAGTGGGCACTGCTCTCTGATTCTGGAAGGAGGGGTTGTTTCTCCCACGCCTGAGGAACAGAGGGCTGCCCCCTGCCCTGGCCACCGCAGTCAAGCAGAAGTCTCTCGGGGCAAAGAGGCCACAAGGTGGGCCCGCTTCCAGCCACCTCACCACTGAGTCACTTCCGCTCCCCAAGTGGTGCTCAGGCGCAGAGCTCTTGGGCCTCAGGGACCACCCAGGAGGACAACGGGGCCGAAGAGGGCAGATGATGGGGCCGGGACTAAAGCCCATGTCTTCGACTCTCAAATCAGTCTTCACGGTGCACCAGCCTGTGTCTTGGGCATCTTGGGGGTGGGTCACTCTTACTGGAAGTGTGGAAACAACCCCACAGGTGGCTGCTAATGGCTTGGACAAGCCAGTGGGAAGCTCCAAGGTGGGCCTATCACCAAGGGGCTGGTGGCACCTGAGTGTCCCCTTAGGGCTGCGTGTGAGAGGGGCCAGGTGCCAGCTTGGATCAAAAGAGGCAGCGGCCTGGGAGGCCCTGTCAGCTGGCCGTGGGGCAGGAGGGGCCTCGGGTGGAAATGGCTTGGCTGGCAGAGTGGGCCCTGGCACTCGGCCACCGGTGGGCTGGGCAGCCCGACTAGCGTGTTTTCTTGATCACCTTCCCCACCATCACCGGTTCTCCATACAACATCACATCACATCACGTGTTTGTTTTGAGCAGGGCATGATCCTTTGCCAACAGATGTAATTCGAAGTTTGGTGTGGCCTCTGGAGGAGCACGGGAAGGGTTCTCTGGAAGGGGCTGCCTGCCCTACTCTGCCGGGCACTTTACTTTTTCCACTCGAGTGAGAAAAATCCTGGTTCTTTACACCCCACAGATCCCGGAAGCCAATTATTTGCTGTCTGCCCTGCCATTTCCATCTCTGGTAGAGGGGCGGCTCTTCCCGGCTGCCAGGGAGGGAAGTGCTGGAAGTCAGCCCCCAGCCCCGCAGCCCATGCAGCCCCTGTGATGTTATGGGAGATCACTGAGGGGTTTCCGGAGGCTGGAGGAAAAACACACCAGCGCCGCCCTCAGGGCCTCCGTAGACAGGAATCCCGCTCGGCACATGAAGAGGCTGTGGGATCCAAGGGAAAGGAGGAGAGAGGCAGGGCTTGGCTTCCTGTATAGGAACCCACAGCACAAGGAGAGCCTGGAACCCTGCAACGTGGTGTCAGCGGGTCCTCCTCAGGCACCTCTTTTTAAATATTCATTCACACCAGCTCTTTTCTTCTCTATTTCACAGGATTTTGGCCCTGCCTCTTTTTTTAAATAAATTCTATTTTTTTAGAGACAGGGTCTCACTCTGTTGCCCAGGCTGGAATGCAGTGGTGCAATCATGGCTCATTACACTTCAAACTCCCAGGCTCAAGCGATCCTCCCTCCTCGGGCTCCGGAGTAGCTAGAATTACAGGTATCTGCCACCACACCCTGCTGGTGCTTGTCTGGAATTGGGGTGGAGCCACTCTGAGAATGTGAAACATCTCACCACCATCATCAAGGTCCAGGGCAGTGTGGCCCCGTGTAAGATGTGGTCCAAGACCTTTCTGGAGGCTTCCAGTAATGGTCTGCCCTGGGCCAGCTGACTGCAGAGGGTTCAGCTGCAAAGGTGTCTCAGTGAGGAGCAGGACTTGGGGCGAGGCTCCCCTCACTGCCTGCCAGGTGCTCCCTAGGGCTGATTATAACTTGCTTGGCTCATCCCGCAGAGCCTAGGACTTGGGGAGGCCAACGGGAAGCACAGAAAGAAGGTGCCAGAGGCAGAGGGAAGGAAGCCACAAAGAGGCAAGGTGGATTCTAGACTAGAAGTCAGGAGTCCTGGGGTCTAGTCACCCTGACTAACTGTGATTTGTAACAACTCACTTCTGTCCACAGGACCAGCTACATAATTTGTGGGGCCCAGTGTAAAAGGAAAGTGTGTGTGTTTGTGTGTTGGTGGGAGGGGATGACTTGTTAAAAAATTATAAGAATTTCAGGCCTCATGGTGGATCAAGGCTGTAATCCCAGCACTTTAGGAGGCTGAGGTGGGAGGATCGTTTGAGGCCAGGAGTTATAGACCAACCTGGGCAATATAATAAGGCCCCATATCTATCAAAAAAAAAAAAAATCCATGCATGGTGGTGCACACCTGTAGTCCTAGTAGTACCAGCTACATGAGAGGCTGAAGTGGGAGGATCACTTGAGCCCAGAAGTTTGAGGCTGCAGTGAGCTATGATCATGCCATTGCACTCCAGCATGGGCAACAGATTGAGTCCCTATCTCTAAAATAAAACAAAATAAAATACATTTTTAAAAAGTTCAAGATAGCACCTGCAGAGCATTAAACCAAGTGTGGGACCTTGTAGGATGGCACTGGTTGCAGAAGCCATGAAGCCAGCCCTACCTGCTTGGGCCTCAGTTTCCCTAACTATGCAATGCGGAGGCTGCATCCAGTCAGAAGTTTGTCGGTGGAGCCCTTTCTTCCAATGAACCCTCAGGCCATTCTTTGTATGAGAGACAAACAGAGCTGCTCTGGTTGAAGTAGGCTGAGAGCTCTGGCCCCACCTCTTCCACCTCCATACCTGTCAGTGGCACCTGAGAGTGTGGTTGAGAGCCCTGTAGATGATCTCAAAGGCCCTTTTCAGTTTCTACTTTCCATAAGCAGATGAGGTGGTGAGGTTCTCACTGCTAGGAACACAAGCATCTGCTGGGGGTGTTACAGGAGGATTACTGAAAGACACCCGAAATGGCGTTCAAAACCTCGGAGGTTCCCTGCCTCATGAGATAACTCCAAAGCCTGCTTCTCCTGTAGCCTCAAAATGACCTTGAAGACCAAGTAGGGGCCTAAAGACACCCAGGCCCTGGAAATGGCCACTTGGGATCATGTCTGGTTCTTATTTCCATCCCAAGAACTGGCTGCAAGGGCCACCCTGCTGCTGGCTCACCACCCTGGGGAGAGGTCAGTCCTGGCCCATGGGGCTTCCCCGGCGGCTTCCTCCCAAGGAGGTCAGAGGGTGGGTCAGGCAGGGTTCAGGGGTTGGGAAGGGCAGGGCCTGGGCTGAGGGGCTCTGACACTGCAGGTCTCTTTTGGGGAAGGGCTGGAGGTCCTGGGGGAGAATCCTAGGCCTGGCCCCCGGTTGAAAGGCTCGGTGGGGGATGCAGGGGCCTCTCTGATGGGTCCCCAGGGTCGAAATTTACACTGCTGGAAAGTTGGGCTGGTGATGCCTTTCTGCGTCTACTGGTTAAAGGGATCAGAAACTTCTCTGGATTTTAAAATTATTTGTGAGGTTAGAGCAACGGCCGATGAGAACAGGACTGCAAGGGGGGGTGTGTGAGTGTCCCCATCCTCCCTCTCCTCTTTGCTTCCTCTGGTCTTCAGGGATCCGTCCTGTCTCGCAGGATGCCCAAAAAGGCAGGGGAAAAGCCAGAGGCGCCCTGCCCTCCTCTCAGCCTCGCCTGCAGAAAAGGCGCCCCCCAGGCCCTGGGTGGAGCGGGGGTGCAGGCGGCCCCCCTCGGAGCTGCCCCCGACAGGCCGCCCTTACCTTTCATGGTCTCTTCCTCTGGGGCCTCAGGAGGGCCCCGCTGCAGGCGGCTGGAGCTGTAGTGGAGCCGGGCGGCCGGCGGATCCTCCAGGGCGCGGATCGCCGTCCTAGGCGCCGCCCGCGGCCGTGGGGCTCCGGCCGGGACTCATGCTCCGGCGCGCGGGCTGCGGAGGCGGCGGGAGGAGTGGAGGGTCCCGCGGGGTCGCAGCCTGGGGAAGCCCCGCCGGGCGCCTAGCGCCGCGCCCCGCCGCCCAGAGCGCGCATCCCGCCGCCGCCCGCGCTTCCCGCTGGGGCCCCGCGAGGTCTGCCGCCGCCCCTCGCCCCGCGCACCCTTCCTCCCTCCCTCCTTCCCGCCTTCTCCTCTCCCTCTCCCTCCTTTCCTCCCTCGCTCGCAAGCCTCCCTCCCTCCTCGTCACTTCTTGGGCCCCGGCCCAGATCAACTTCCTTGGTATTTTCAAAACTGCCGCGGCCGGCCTCTTTGTGCCGCCGCGGGGGCCCCGCGCCCCGCCTACCTCGCCCGTGCGCCCCCGCAGCCCCACAGCCCAGCCTCGAACCCGGGCTCCCGCGGCGTCCTCCCTGCCCGCGCTGCGGCCGCAATGGGGGGGCTCACCGGGAGAGCTCCTTGATCTTAGTCCATTTCACTATCGGGACCGCCAAGTGGCTGGGGCAGGGGTGGGGACCCCAGATTTTAGCCCTGCACGTTTTTCTCGCCCATCTTATGATGTCGAGGGCCTGGGAGAAGGACGTCCGGGAGAAGGACGTCCGCACATTTTAGTACTGAAAGTCCCGTGTCCAGGGCAGACGTGGAAGGTTGGCCACCCTGTGAGCACCCTGGCTCTGCCCCTGGCGAGCTGAGTGACTTTGGGCATCCAGTTCTCATCTCCAAGCCTCTTCTTTCTACATGAGAGAATTGGGCCTGGAGTGCGCCACATTCTGTGATTTATTTTTCATTTTTATTTTTTTGAGGCTCTAGCCATCTAAGCTGGAGTGCAGTGGTGCAATCTCCGCTCACTGCAACCTCCGCCTCCTGGGTTCAAATGATTCTCCTGCCTCAGCCTCCCGAGTAGCTGGGATTACAGGTATGCACCATCCCGTCCGGTAATTTTTTTTTGTATTTTTAGTAGAGACTAAAAATGTTGGGGAGGCTGGTCTGGAACTCCCGACCTCAGGTGGTCCACCCACCTCAGCCTCCCAAAGTGCTGGGATTATAGGCCTGAGCCACTGCACCTGGCCATCAAATTCTGTGATTTTGTTGGTGGAGGGGTCTCTGGGGTAAACAGTGACAGCCAAGGAAAGTGAATGCAGGCAGGGAGTTGAGACTGGTCATAAGCGCCACTCAGGATTCTCACGTGTCATTTTTCATTGATTGAACAAACATTTACCGAGCTCCCAGCTGCCGGCCAGGTCTAGGTCCGCTGTCCAATCTGCCCACCCTGCAAGCTGCCCCTGCAGGTAATCAATCAGGTGACACGGGTTTTAGAAAAGAGAAAAAAGACTTATTGGCAAGGGCACCAAGAGAGGAGGTGGGAGAACAGCTCTCAAATCCACCTCCCAGAAGATCAGGCTTAAGGATATTTATGGGTTAGGGAAGTAGAGTGGTCTAAGCCATGGGGAAAGGCAATTGGCAGTGGGGACAAATGAAGAAACAGGTTCATTCCATGCCAATGTAGTCTGAGCTAATGGTATTTCATAGGACATATATGCAGAAAATGGCAGGGTTAGCATGATCCAAGGGTGGAGTTTTTTGGCTCTCCGACATTGAAAGCCCACCTCTTGGGGCACTTGCCCAGTTGAAGGGCCAATGGTCTCACCAGTTTGAGATGGACAGGAGCTAGCCCAAGTTCCTAAAAAACAACTGAAGAGATCATTACCATGGTGGCCTATGAATGTTACCTATAAAGTAGTGAATGAAGGTTAAGTTTCAGTGTTCAGTGGTGTAGCCTTCAGCTTCATGGAAAAAAGAAAACAAAAACAAAAACAAAAACAAAAAAAACTCACCAGAAAAACAAAAAGCAAGCAAGCAACCAAAAGCAAACAGGGCAGCCAGACTATACCAAAATGGTTTCGCTACAAGGGACCAGGCTCTGCCCCAAGCTCCAGAAGTGTGAGGAACATGTCACATGGCCAGTCTGGTTAGGAAAGCCAGTAATTAAACAAGCAGCAGTGCAGAAGTGGGATGAATGTTATGAGAAGAAAAGTGCAGGGAGAAACGGGACCACAAAGTGGCACAGGCCAGCCTGGTCTCTTCTGATGCCACAGTCAGCACCATCTCCCCATCCCCAAGCCCTATTTAATGCTGAAGTAAAGTAGGTGAGACCCGAGGGGAAGAGAAAGTGTCTCCTAAGCCTGGAGTAGAGAAGAGGACAAGGACAGCCACCCCTGTCTGTAGATCCCATCAGATCAGCAAGGGTGATGCTGTGTTCTCTCTAATCTCCATTTTGCCATGGCAAATTTACAGTTTGCGAAGTCCCTTCTCTCCATGATCTCAGCAGAACCTCACAACCACCTTGAGAGGGGGATCCCAGGGACTGTGCTGCCCATTTTACAGATGAGGAGACTGAGGTTTAGAGGGGGCATTGCCTGCCTGGTGACAGTCATGTGCTCCTGTCACCTGTATCTGGGTTCCGAGTTTGCCGCATGATCTGAGTCTCCCACAACTAGGGCATGGATCAGGAGAGCTGTTTTGTAAACCCCAGGGAGATAGTCACCTTGGAGGTTACCTGTATGCTAACTTATTTACCTTGGAGGTTACCTGTATGCTAACTTATTTACCTTGGAGGTTACCTGTATGCTAACTTATTTAATCTTCATGTCCGCTCTATGAAGTAAGCAGCATTATTGCCTTCATTTTTCAGATGAGGAAACTGAGGTATGGAGAGGGTAAATAATGTGCTTAGCACCACGGAGCTAGTAAGTGGAGACCTTGGAATATGAACCTAGGCAGGCTAAATCCAATGCCTGTGTGCTAAGACCTGGTCCGCCACACTGCCTCTCATAGAGGGTGCTCAAATATTTGTTGACAGAAAGTTCAAAAAATGTGGGAATGTAAAGTAGTATAGCCATTGTGGAAAACAGTATGGAGGTTCTTCAAAAAACTAAAAATAGACTACAGAATGATCCAGCAACCACTGCTGGGTACATATCCAAAGGAAGGGAAATCAGCATATCCAAGAGACGTCTGCACATTGCCATGTTTATTGCAGCACTATTCAGAATAGCAAAGATATGGAATCCACCTAAGTGTCCATCAGCAGATGAATGGATAAAGAAAATGTGGCGTGTATACACAATGGAAAACTATTTGGCCATAAAGAAGAATGTAACCCCGTCATTTGCAACAACATGGATGGAACTGGAGGTCATTATGTTAAGTGAAATTAGCCAGGTATAGAAAGACAAATACTGCATGATTTCACTCACATAAGGGAGCTACAAAAATGGACCTCATGGAGGTGGAGCATAAAATGGTGGTTACCAGAGGCTGGGAAGGAAGGTGGGTGGGGAGAGGAAGAGAATTTGGTTAATGGGTGCAGAAATACAGCTAAATAGAAGGAACAAGTATTCGATACCACAGTAGGGAAATTAGAGTTAATAACAATTAATTGTGTATTTAAAAAATAGCTGAAAGAGAAAAAATGGAGTGTTCCCAACACAAAGAAAAGACGATGGATGTCCCAGTTACCCTGGTTTGGCCATTACACATTGCATATATGCATCAAAATATCACATGTATCCCTAAAATATATACAATCATGACATATCAATAAGAAAAAAAGAAATAAAATTAGAGCTTACATCATTAAAAAAAAAAGAAATAACAAAAAATGACCCTCGTTTTTACCCATGCTTTCTTAGTTGGTGGGGAAAACGGCCTAACCCCTGCCCCTGTGGTGATAAAGGGTGTGGGCATCCTGGGCTGTTGCTATTATAACTCCAACGCATCAGCAAAGAGATGGTTGCAGATGGGCCCGGGGTGAGCAGAGGTGGTACCCAGCCCTGGAGAGGTACTGAAGATGAATCCCAGTTCCAAAATGACTCTGGGGAGAGAAGCCCCACCTTATGAGTGGCGGAAAAGAGCAGAAGAGTTGGACAGCAGAGGTCATAGTTCAGAGCCAAGAAAGGGGAAAGAGAAGGGTAAAGAAGGAGTCAGCCCCGTCTCAGATAAGAAAAGAGGAGATAGGATTTCCTAGAGGTGACCTCCGGCTTTGGGAGAAGATTTCAGCTGCAATTCAGGCAATTTCTACCAACAACCAGAGGGTTGAACCGGAGTCATCTGGAGTGACTTCCCCTGGGAGACTGGATTATGGGGCCATTGGGATGTGGTGCAAACTGGGACAGGTGGCACCAGATGGGGTGGGGTGGGGAAGGGGGACCTGCTTAATCTTGTTTTTAACTTGAGCTGAGTTAGGGTGGCTGATGGCTGCACAGAAGCCCTATCGACGTTGAAAGTCAAAGGAAATACCTAAAGAGGTGAGGCCATGTAGAAAAGAAGGAAGGGAATGACTGATGGCACAACTTTCCCTGTGTTAATGAAGGTAGAAAGTCCACGTCAGCGTTCTTGAGCAGTGTCTCATTTGCTCAGAATAATTGGCTCACCCCAGCCTCCTGCTCAAAAGCTGCAGTGGGTTTCCCTTTCTTTTTTCTAATTTAGGCAAAAGCCACCCCTCTTTCTCCTAAAGGTCAATTCCTCCGCCTGCAGCTCTGATCCTTGACTCCTCTCCAGCAAACAAGTTAAGCAGGATTTCCACTTTTCTTTCCACCTCATTCCTTGCTCTAATTAACTCTCCTGAGAACATAGTATCAGCCCTCAGTGCTCAGGGAAATTGATCTCTTCCTCATAATTGCCAAATATAATACCCTTCTCAAAAATCTGCAAATTCTTCAACCATTTTGTAGCATTTAACACCATTAGTCAGGGTTCTCCAAAGAAACAGAACCAATAGGACATATGTATATAGCTATGTATGTATCTCTTTATATATATATCCATATCCATAGATATAGGTGTATAGAGAAAGATTATATAGATAAAGATAGAAATAAATATTTTAAGAAATTGGCTCATGTAATTATGGAGGCTGGCAAGTCCAAAATTTGCAGGGCAGACTGACAGGCTGGAGACCCAGGAAAGAGGTGATGTTGCAGCTCAAGTTTAATGGCAGTCTGGAAGCAGAATTCTCTCTTTCTCAGGGGACCACACCTTTTTTCTCTTAAGACCCTCAACTGATTGGATGAGACCCACCACATTATGGAAGGTAATTCACTTTACTCAAAGTTTGCTGATGTAAATGTTAATCTCATCTAAAAAATACCTTCATCTTAGAAACATCTAGAATAGTGCTTGACCAAATATCTGGGGAATGTGGCCTAAGTTCACACATAAAATCACCCATCACAAACTCCATTGACAGCTCCTTCTTGATTCTTTTCTGGCTTATCTGATCCTACATACTTCTAGTCCTCCTTCTAAACTTCTTTGACTTTCGCTGTTAGCTTCTCTTATTGGTATATTTTTTCTTTCTCTCTCTCTTTCTTTCTTTCTTTCTCTCTCTCTCTCTTTCTTTCTCTCTCTCTCTTTCTTTCTTCTTTCCTTCCTTTCTGTTTTTTTTGTTGAGATGGAGTCTTGCTCTGTCACCCAGGCTGGAGTGCAGTGGTGCGATCTCGGTTCACTGCAAGCTCCGCCTCCTGGGTCCACGCCGTTCTCCTGCCTCAGCCTCCCGAGTAGCTGGGACTACAGGTGCCCACCACCACGCCCGGCTAATTTTTTTGTATTTTTAGTAGAGATAGGGTTTCACCTGTTAGCCAGGATGGTCTCGATCTCCTGACCTCGTGATCCGCCAGCCTCGGCCTCCCAAAGTGCTGAGATTACAGGCATGAGCCACCATGCCAAGCCTTCTTTTCTTTTCTTTTCTTTTGAGACAGGGTCTCACACTGTCACTCAGGCTGGAGTCTTGGCTCACTGCAACTTCTGCCTCCTGGGTTCAAGTGATTCACTTGCCTCAGCCTCCCAAGTAGTTGGGACTACAGGCGTGCACTACCATGCCCGGATAATTTTTGTATTTGTAGTAGAGATGGGGTTTCACCATGTTGGCCAAGCTGGTCTAGAACTCCTGACCTCAGGTGACCCGCCCGCCTTGGCCTCCCAAAGTGCTGGGATTACAGGCATGAGCCACCATGCCCAGCTGGTGTATTTTCTAAATACGGGCCTTCCCTACCCTTATGTTAGTCAGTGTAAGTAACAATCGCTGCTATAGCAACCATCCTGACACCCCATTATCTTTAATACAATGAAAGCTTATTCCTCATTCACATTGCAATTCAATATGGGTTAGGCAGTTCTCTTCCAAATGATGACTCAGGGACACAGGGTTCTTCCATCTTGTAATACCATTATCTGTAACAAATGGCCCCTAAGGTGGCTGCAAAATGGAAGAGAGAATGGAGGATCATGCATAGGAGAATTTTACGGGCTGGGCTGGAAGTGGGATACAACACTCTTACTGACATTCCATTGGCCAGAGCCCACTAAACTGGGCTCAACCTAACAGCAAGAGGGCTTTAAAATAGAGGCAGCCATATGCCCTGGAAGGAGAGAAGAAACACAGATCAGGGGGTACCGGCATTCTCCACATAGTTCGCCTTCCTGGTCTCCAAATACCTGTTTGCTCCGTTGTTTTCACACATAAAACACATTCACCCCTCACCATGGAGGGAACTCAAAGTCCCATCTGGTCATTGCACTGAGCTCAAAGTCCAGGTTCTCTGTGTGATCCTTATTCATCAGGTCAGCCTGTAGCTCCCATATAAAATGGGAGGAATATGGATCTGATAATCACAATCAAAATGCCCATTTAGAAAATGGAATAATGAAAGACACAGAGTTGCTACTGGTCTACAGAAATGTTGAGATCCCTCAGATGTTGTAAAGATCTCTAACCCTGGGGTGGGGAAAATTATTTGTTTAGGCCCTGATGCAGATCTCTGGAAGAATTCTCTTGTCCATGACACCTTAGACATGCCCTTTGGAAGGTGCTTCCTGGTGTACCACGCTCTTTGTGCACATCTAAAGTGGATGCTGGGGAATGAGCCATTCCTGAGGGCTGTTCATTTCTCACAGCCCACTTCTTCTTGGAGCAAGGTTGTTTTTTAGCTCCCTGAGTCAGGGTGACACAGGACTGGCGAGCCCCCAAACTGGGGCTTAGCCTGGGAGGGTTGTTGGCTTCACCTAGGAAAGAATCAAGGGAGAGCCGGTGGTGTTAGACAGCAACTTGTATTGAAGTGGCAGTGCACATTGGCAACAGAGGGATGGCTCCTTGCAGAGCAGGGCTACCCCATAGGCAGTGTGCCCAGGTTAGCAGCTCAGAGGCAGTTCTGCAGTCATATTTATACCCACTTTTAATTATATGCAAATTAAGGGGTGGTTTATACAGACATTTCTAGGAAAAGGATGGTGACTTCTGGGTTGCAGGTCGTTGCATGGAAAGGGGTGGTAACTTCTGGGTGTTGGCCTGACAGTGGTAAATTGACATGACATACTGACGGGCATGTCTTATGGAAAGTTCCTCCTGCCATGCCCCTGTTTTAGCTAGTCCTCAATTTGATCTGGTGTTCAAGCCCCATCTCTAAAGTCAAGTCCCACCTCCTACCTCAAAGGTACTGGTGAAGGTCTGGACCTGTAGGGGTTTTGGGCAATGATAGTCCCTCAACATTTAGCAAAATCTCATCTATTTGCTTCTAGTCCATTCCATGGGCCAGTGACCACACCCAGAGTTTTTTCCTAGCTGTAGTTTCCAAACCTACTGTTTTAATTTGTTTCCTCTCCCCCAGGCCTCTCTCCCTAAGGGCAGTCAGCTACCTTGATGCTACAAGGGTTGACTGGAAAAGCCACATCCTTAATCTAATCATCCCACCTGGCTAGGTCTAAGCGGGCCTTGGCTGCTGGAAAGTTTTGCAATTTACTTCTATTATCTGGGATCTAGAGGCAGTTGGTGTTTTCCTTCCCTTTAGGCTTAAATTTTCTGGACTTTGTTCCAATTTACTTCTCTTTGCAAAGCAGTCAATTATTTCACTTTTCTCTTCCTTGTGTTCCTTTGTTAAATACAGACACTAGCAGAGAACACACACCACTACTTTGCTTCTTTCTAACAGATGCCCCTAGCCATGCTGACTCAGTAGTAGATAGCATGGGGCCTGCTATCCTCAATATCATAGGCCCAGTTTACCAATTATCGTAAGACCAATTATCATCTTCAGCCTCCTAATGTCAGGATCCTCACTTGCTATGCAATATTTCCATATTTCCATTTTTAGTATGGCAGCATGTCATTTCAAGCTATCCATTTCTAGAGTTGTTAGAGCAAGTAGTACCATACATGGTCATGCCTGGCTCTGACAAATAACTGAGATTTTAGTGACAGCACAATAATCATTTACTTCTCATTCATATCACTATCCATGGCAAGTTGGTGTCTGTCTTATAAATGTTGACTCAAGGATCCAGTGTCCTTCCATCTTGTGATGCTGCCATCTTCAATATGTAGCCTACAAGATTTGCTAGAAAGGAGAGAGATAGGAGGAGTGTGCAGTGGAGAAAATCATGGGACAGGCCTGGAGGAGTCACACAATTGCTATCAGGTACGTTTGTTCCATTGACCTTAGCTCAGTCATATGGCTCCAACTAGAGGTTAAGGGGGCTGGGAAAAAAATCCCTTATCTCTGTTACCATGAAGAAAAGGGAAACAAAGATGTTGGTGAACAGTAACTCATTAACGAACCCCTCTCCAACCCAGACCTCTGCAGAATTTTTACCTTTTCTCCCTAATGAACTTTCTAATGTCATGAATTGGAGCTTCATGCAGTGTTGCTGCCTTGGTTTCTCCCACAAAAATCAATCCTTTGGAAGTTAAAGAGCAAAATATTTTTGAGAGGACACAGAGGACTAGTCAAGGGAATGTCATAACTGTGTTCCAGCAAAGTTGGCTATAAAGTGAAAACTTCAGTTTAGTTCTAATATTGACTTCAATTTACAATAAGAAATAGAATGCCCTGAAAAAAAAAAAAAGTCCTTCAACATACTCAATTGAAGACTTCTCCGGATAAGTGTTAAATTGATTTTTTAAAGGCCATTCTCTGAACTATGTGATATTTTCACAATTCAAGAGTCTCCTTTCTTTTTTTACTTCCTCCCAGAACTTCCCCTATGGTATCTCCCATGTCTATGGATTCTTGCCTCACTGTACATTTACCAATACTGGAATTTTTGAGTATTATAATGGCCAAGAGGTGTATTGCAATACCACTCTTAAACCAGTGGGTGATGCTATATAACATGGCCTCTTGTAGCCTGATAAATCTTCAAAGAGGGCTTAATAGGGTCAAGTTAATACCTATGAACCTTAGGTATTAATTAGGCTCATTAATTAGGTTCATGAACCTTATTTCATGAACTCTGTAAGGATACAGTTCTGAGAAAAGTAGCTTAATACAAAAGATATTTCAGAGCTTAACCCTTCCAGATTAATATAATAACATCTTAGCAAAGAAAAACTACCTAGGTTCTTCATCTGAATCAATTATAAATTCAGCATGAAAGTGGCTGACTTCATTCGGGGCTGGATATAGATGAAAAAAGAAAGAGGCTTGAGGATATGTAAGAAGGGCAAGCTTCTTTTAATTGAATGATCCACTGGAGAATGAAAAGGGATCCCTGCAGGAAGTCCTGCAATTTTAGGTTACTGCAAGTAGGACTGGAAACATCTCTGTCTTCAGGTGTTGAGGAATTAGACATATTAAAATAGGAGGATCAGAGCTGGAGGGATGGGACTGCTTTGGGGAAGGTATTCTCCAAAGCATTTGGTACACAGAAATGTCCTTATGGGAGCCCTGCAGCAGGTTGGGCTTTTAACATGATAACAAGGGTGCTGATGGACATTTCTATCCATGCTCTGGATGGAGACCCAGAAGTCCAGCTTACCTGTTTGTTTCTCACTCAAAACTGGAAGAACAAAATTCAGAGCAATCCTGACAGAGAGCTATAGTGCACTGATAAGATAAAATTCAAGAGAGATAAATTAAAACCCCACATTTAGTGTCACATCATTTTCACTAAAGGATGAAGCTTAGTAATTCAGAGAAGAAGATCTAGTTGATATTTGGTCATGCATGGCTCTTGTTCATTTATTAAATTAATGTATTTTGATTGTGTAGCCAGGTGCTATGAGCCAGAGATATGTTTCCTATCCACATGGATAGTATAGCTTTGATATGAATCAAAAATAAATAGGATCTTAGATTGCAATAATGGAAAAGTTATTTCAGGTAATTTAACAAGCATGTATTAAGCACCTACTGCATGCTAAACTGTGTCTTAAAGAATGGGAGGTGCTATGGTTTGAATATTTGTCCCCTCCAGAATTCACATTGAAACTTAATCCTCAATGTGGCAGTGTTGAGAGGTGGGACTTTTACCAAGTGACTGGGTCATGAGGTCTCTGCTCTCATAAATGGATTAATCCATTCATGGATTAATGGATTAGTGGGGTAATGGATGAATGAGTTATCATGGGAGTGGGACTGATGGCTTTATAAGAAGAGGAAGAGAAACCTGAGCTGGCACACTCAGCCCCCTCACCATGTGATGCCCTGCACTGCCTTGGGACTCTGCAGAGAGTCCCCACCAGCAAGAAGGCCCTCACCAGATGCAGCCCCTCAACCTTGGACTTCTCCTCTTCCATAATTGTAAAAAATAAATTCTCATTCTTTATTTATTACCCAGTTTGCTATATTCTATTATAAGCAACAAAAAACAGACTAAGACAGGAGCTGAATGCTGAATGACAGAAAAAGGTGTGAACAATCATCTGATAAATTTCAATATAAAATGCTTAATCAGGATTTCTTTAATTTTTCCATTGCCATGATGATGGAAAAGAAGTAGCAAACATATCTTTGAAGTCTTTCATTTTATTTTTTAAAACTATATAAGAGTTACACGCCATACCACAATGAAAAAATATATATTTTAATATTCAATAATAATGGTTTTACTGAATTGAGGGTAGGAGCTGATATTTTTAATTTGTATAAAAATGCATTTACAAATAAAAATAATAGTTTGAATTAACTCTAGACATATGTTATTGTCCTACACAGGAAGAAAGAATAGAAATGTGAATTCTTCTAAAACTAATATGTAAATTTAAAGCAATTATAATTGCAGTGCCATGTTTTTTCTTTTTTCTTTTAATTATTTTTTTCTTTTTAGAGACAGTGTCGCACTCTGTTGCCCAGGCTGGAGTGCAGTGGTGCTGTAATAGCTCACTGCAGGCTTAAATTCCTGGGGTCAAGAAATCCTCCTGCCTCAGCTTCTTAACTAGCTAGGACCACAGGCATACATCACCATGCCCGGCTCATTTTTTTTAATTTATTTTTTGTAGAGATGGGGTTATCGCTATGTTGCCCAGGCTGGTCTTGAACTCCTGATCTCAAGTGATCCTCTTGCCTCAGCCTCCCAGATTGCTGTGATTACAGGCATGAGCCAATGCACCAGGCCTAATGCCATGTTTTTTCAATGGGGCAAAATTAATTTAAAGTTTATCTAGAAGAATTAATGTCCAAGAAAAGTCAAGAAAATTTGAAAAGGAAGAGTGAAGAAGATTACTTTCTCAATATTAAATATTGTTTTTAAGCTATGTAGTTACGGCTGGGAGTGGTGGCTCATGCCTGTAATCCCAGCACTTTGGGAGCCTGAGGAGGGAGGATCTCTTGAGCCAGTTCAAGACCAGCCTGGTAACATACTGACATCCTGTCTCTAAAAAAATATATTTTTTTAATTAACTGGGCATGATGGCGTGCACCTATAGTCTCAGCTATTTGGGAGGCTGAGATGGGAGGATTGCTTGAGCTAGGGAGGTCGAAGCTGCAGTGAGCCATGATCATGACACTGCACTCCAGCCTGGGTGACAGAGTGAGACCCTGTCTCAAAAATAAATAAATAAAATAATATTTTTTAAAGCTATGTTATTAAAACAGTATATTATGCATGAAGAGAGGAATCAGAGGAATAAACTAGAAAGTCCTGATACAGATCCAAGTTTATTTGGGGAAATTTATATGTGAAAAAATGGTATTTCAACTCAGTGTGATTAGGGTGATTTATTTGATATATTGTGTTGACATAATTGGCTATACATCTGGAAGAAAATGAAATTAGATCCTACGTCATCCTTCTCTTACACACGCATACACACAGTCATACACACATACACCATAAACATATCAATTCCATCTTGATTACCTATCTAATAAGAAATTGACACAATAGAAAGTTAGAAGAAAATTAGAATAGCTATCTGTCTTCTAGCCAGAGGAAGACATTCTGAAACAAGACATGAGATTTAGAAACTATAAAGAAAAAGATAAACAAAAATCACTTGCATAAAAACTTCAAAAAGTCCTTGGTAATCAAAGATAAAAAAATGATAATCTGGTTGGAAAAAAACTGACAACACACAAAGGGTCACTTTCTCTATTTAAAGAGCACCTATAAATTGATAGAAAAAAAGATGAATAACTTGATAAAATGAGCAAACAATATGGATAGACAAGTGACAGAGGGGAAATTTTATTTAAAAATAAATAGTTGAAAACAAAAAATATACAAAGAGATTAAGGTGGTAAAAATGTCATTTTTCACCCACAAGATTGGCAAAAATTCAAAGGATCAACACCAGCCCGATGATCATATGGTAATGGACATTCTCAGACAGGGTGGAAGCCACAGACGCTTTTGGGGAAAGTCATCAGGCAAGATATATGAGCATTAGGAATACATGTTCTCTTTCATCCAGGCATCTCAGTGGGACAATCTACCTCATATAGAGCAATAAAGGCTCTAACAAATTAGGATGCATGCAGAAGGCTGTTTATTGTGGCACTGCTCAGAGTGACAGCAAAAACTTGGACAAGGGGAATGGCTGAAGAAAATATGTTCAGCCTCACCATGGAATATTATATAGCTATTAAAAAGTATGAGTTAGATCTATCTGTGCATTAGCTCAGAGAGATATCAATAATATTTTATTAAGTGGAAAAGAGTAGATAGCAGAGCAATATGTATCATATAATTTTGAATTTATTTTTTGGAAAAGATAAAAAGGCAAAATCCATTTTGTAGATATCAATATCTAGATAGATATATACATACACACATATATACACACACGCACACGCACACATATATTCTGAATATAAATACATGTATATGTATGTATATAAATAGACATCCACTTAACTTTAGAAGCCGGAGATTTAGTGAGGAATTGAAAATAAGACAGAGAGAAAGGAAGGGAAGGGAAGAGAAGGGAAGGGAGGAAGGAGGGAAGAAAGGAATGGAGGAAGGGAGAGCCAGAGGGAGGGAGGGAAGGGAAAAGGAAGTTTACTCACTAAACATTAACTTTCCCCCCTGAATCTCTGAGTAATACCAGAGCCAGTGGCCTCCTTGTCTCTGTGTACAGTACAACCTCCCCAGAAGTCAGCTCAAGCCAATCTGAGAAGCACAGTGTGGTATAATATAATACAAAAGGAAGCAGAGAGTGCCTTGGGAGCACAGGGAGTGACACCTCTCAAATCACAGGTAGTAAGTGCCCTGCCACACTCTCCCCTGGCCAGTCAAAGCAGTTCTCCTGTGTTTGGTGTAAAAGCCACACAGAGGGACAATGAAGAAATGTGGCATCCTTGGGGGCAGGGATGAGAAGAGTGAGGTTATCTGGAAACTCCACTCTATGCGAGGATGTTGAGGGACATTACACTGTAAGGAAATACATTTAAGCTGAGATACAATATTGGTTTTCAAATGTTTGAAGGGCTTTCTTGTGGGAGGGACCAACTTATCATGTATTGATTTAGAAATAAGATATGGGACAAAGAATTTATAAGGTGGTGGCCAGGCGCGGTGACTCACACCTGTAATCCTAGCATTTTGGGAGGCAGAGGCGGGCAGATCACTTGAGGTCAGGGGTTCAAGACAAGCCTGGCCAACATGGTGAAACACTGTCTCTACTAAAAATACAAAATTAGCCGGGTGTGGTGGTGCACACATGCAATCCCAGCTACTCAGGAGGCTAAGGCACAAGAGTCGCTTGAACCCAGGAGGAGGAGGTCACAGTAAGCCGAGATCATGCCACTGCACTCCAGGCTGGGCGACGGGATGAGCTCCGTATTAAAAAACAAAACAAAACCAAAAAAAAAAGAAGTTATAAGGAGGCAGACTTTAGCTCTGTGTAAACAAAACCCTGCCAAGATTCCTTTGCCCTCTTTTACATCTTCTATAAAATGAGAACAATATCAGATGCTCTAATAATGACAGAGAGGTGCAGTAAGGAACAGATGGGGTAAATTCAGAAGTGGTCCTCGACTTTAGGTGCTCATTAAAATGATTTGGAGAGTTTTAAAATCCTGATGCTCTGGCAGCACCCACAATTAATTCATTCATAACCTCTGGAGGTGGGACTCAGGCACTGATAATTTTTAAAGTTCCCAGGAGATTCCATTGTATATCCATTGTGTAGTTCCACTGAGAACCATTGATCTAAAATAAGTATTAATTGCCATCTGGGTAGTTGTGGAAAAAGTAGGTTTGACTTAAAGCAGATCTGGCACCATTTTTTGAAGGGCTCATTCACCTAATAATTGGAGCTAAAGGTCACAGTAAAGCAACTCTGGAGTGAAATACAGAACACATAGCCACTCAATAGCATGAGGGACAGTGAAGGTGGCATAAGCGACATTTGTTTACTTGTAGGCACATGCTAAACAGTTCAGGATTGGCTAGCCTCAGACCTTTACCCAAGAAGATCCTGAATGGGGAGATGAGACACACCCACTGATGGAGTGAATGTTTCTGGACTTTACGGAGGTCCGGAGAAAATCACTCAGAATACCTCTGTATCATCTATGGGCTGATTTCACTGGATATGATTTTATTAGCCACCATTTGATCATGGGCCTGTAATTGATTAAATAAATGTATATACCCATTAAATAATTACAGCTTGGAAAGTGATTCTTTTTTACTAAGAATCATTTGTGATCTTTTTACTAAGATCGTTTGTGTAATGATCGAATTAGGGTAATTAGCAAATCCATCCTTTTGTTTGTTTGTTTGTTTGTTTTTGGATGGAGTCTCACTCTGTTGCCAGGCTGGAGTGCAGTGGTGCGATCTCAGCTCACTGTAACCTCCAGCTCCCGGGTTCAAGCAATTCTCCTGCCTCAGCCTCCCGAGTAGCTGGGACTGCAGGCGCGTGCCACCATGCCCAGCTAATTTTTGTATTTTTAGTAGAGACAGGGTTTCACCATGTTGGCCAGGATGGTCTCTTGACCTAGTGATCTCCCCACCTCGGCCTCCTGAAGTGTTGGGATTATAGGCGTGAGCCACTGCACCCAGCCTTTCACTAAGTTAAAAAAAATTAAAACTGACACGAGAATGGTACATATTTGTGGGGTACAATGTGATGTTTTGATACGTGCACACATTGTGTAAGGATCAAATTAGGGTAATTACCAAATCCATCTCAAACATTTCTTTGTGGTGAGAACATTGTAAGTTCTCTCTTCTACCTATGTTGAAATATACATTATTCAAAAAATAAGAGGTGCTGGTGAGGTTGTGGATAAAAGGGAAGGCTTATATACACTGTTGGTGGGAGTGTAAATTAGTTCAACCATTTTGGAAAGCAGTGTGATGATTCCTGAAAGAGCTAAAAACAGAATTAACATTTCACCCAGCAATCTCATTACTGGGTATATATAGGAATATAAATTGCTCTGCCATAACGACACATGCACTCATATGTTCATTGCAGCACTATTCTCAATAGCAGAGGCATGGAATCAACCTAAATGCCCATCAGTGGCAGACTGGATAAGGAAAATATGGTATATATACACCATGGAATACTACGGTATACACCATGGAATACTATGCAGCCATAAAAAAGAACGAGATCATGTCTTTTGCAGGAACATGGATGGAGCTGGAGGCTATTATTCTAAGTGAAGTAACACAGGAACAGAAAACAAAATTCTGCATGTTTTCACTTATAAGTGGGAGCTGAATGATGAGAACACATGGACACATAGAGGGGAGCAATAGATACTGGGACCTAAAAAAAAAGTTAAACTCTACTATGCGATAGAATACCAGAACTTATCCCTCCCATCTGACTTTAACTGTGTACTGGTTGACCAATCTCTCACCATCCTCCCTCCCTGCTCCCCTTGGAGAGTGATTCTCTTATTTTTTTCATTTTTATTTTTGAGAGACAGGGTCTCACTTTATTGCCCAGGCTGGAGTGCAGTGGTGCGATCGTAGCTCACTGCAGCCTTGACCTCCTGGGCTCAAGCGATACTCCATCTCAGCTTCCTGAGTAGCTGAGATTGCGGGCATGCACTACCATGCTTGGCTAATTTTTTAATTTTTGTAGAAACTGGGTCTTGCTATGTTGCCCTGGCTGGTCTTGAACTCCTGGACTCAAGTGATCCTCCCACCTCAGCCTCCCAAAGTGCTAGGATTACAGGTGTGAGTCACCACGCCCATCTGAGAGTGATTCTTAATCACAGGCCACAGGATACTGCTCTTGCCCATTCCTAGTTTGTTCCAGCTGTATCAGACTGCTGGCTGAGCTGTCCTGCTTGTGGTGCTGAGCCAGACAAAGGCTGGTTGGGGATGTGTAATAAGGACACTGCGTAGCGAAGCAGCCCCAGAGACATTCAGGCAGCCAGAGATGGTGCACAAAGCATAGATAAACAGATAAATGCAAGGGTCTTTACTCATCCCTCCCTGGCCCTCCCCATGGCTCTGACTCTCCAAGAAAATAAATCAAGCTAATGCCCCAAACCCAGCTGTGTAAGTCCATAATGGGAGACAGAGGATCAAACAGCAGCACCTGCCAAGAAGATGATGCATTCTCTATGAATCAGCCCAGTGACTCAGCATCTGATAAAGCTTATTTGGAGTGTTTAGGGCAAGGGAAGGGGTGGTCCTGTTCTGCTTTGTGTGCTCAGGCCCTCCGGCATTGGCTGGTCCAAGGCTCCCCACTGGCATTGGCTAGTCCAGGGCTGGGCCAAGGGTTTCAAGAGAGATGAGGTCCAGAATGTCAAAGGGCTGGGGAAAAGTCTGCAAACCACGGCAAGGCAAGGAGCTGCAAGCCTGGAGGTCACTGGGAAAAGCAGACTACGTTGCCTTCAAATATCAGAAGGGGCACTATGGGAGAGATAGGCTGGATTTTCTCTGTGTGGCTCCAGAGGGCAGAACTGGGCTCCGGATTGGCCCATACACGAGCCAGACTGTGACTCAACCAAAGAAGGCCCTAACTTTATCAACAGCTTTACTAGACAAATGGTTGCATGGCAGGTAGTGAGCTCCCTGTTATTGGTGGCATTCAAACATGGGCAGGATGACCACCGGGTGCAGATGCTGGGGATGGGGTAGGAATCAAGCAGTGTGTGAGTCCTGAACCAATCAATGTCTATGATCTGCTTAGAATATGAAACATCTGGTGATGCATTTATGGCGCTTTCAAAATTTACACTTTTCTTTCCTCAAAGTTTGACCTTCTGAACCTTGTTTGCTTAGTAGTGGGAATAATCAAGTAATTATTCCCAAGGGATCACAGTCATGACTGTGAATCTGTGAATCATGCTATTTTCTCCCAAGTCCTTTCTTCCTCTCTTCCCTTCCCCTAATTCAGCTGGCTAAGGCGGATCTCACTGACTGACCTCCAAAGTCTAATTTTTAAAAATATAACTAGATTTATGCCTTCTGTTCCGGATGCTGAGGGAGCTACAGAACAGAAAAGTTACAAGGAGCGAGCTCAAAAACAATTCTTCTAACCTCAGGTATTGATAAGGAGCAGGCACTGATAAGGAGCAGGCACTGTCCACAGAAAATGTAGCTGTTACTGATAATTAGACATTTTTTTTTTAAGAAAAATAAAGTGTAGCCTCTTCTGGGACATTTTTTTCTTCTTCTGGGTTAATGGCCTTCTAATACTTGGCTTGGCTCTAGGTTAGGTTGCAGGGAGCCGTGGAGATGATCCATTCCCGATTCCTCATCGTCCAGATGGAAGAAACTGAGGCCCAAGGGCAAAGTGATTAGTCCGAGGTCACCCAGTGTCTAGGGGCACACCTAGGACTGTAATCAGACTTTCATGGACCTGGTCTGGGTTCTCCCACTTAGTCATGGGCCTTGAAGATTCCCCGAGGCTGCCTCCTGAAAAGGACTGGGGTCCTAGTGGCCCCTGGACGTTGGGCAAGCAAGGGACTGGGCCTCCATGTTGTGCCTCCATAGTCCTGATCCTGAACTGGAAAACTCAGCCCCTGACCACGCAGCTCTCCTTTAAGCCCCTTTGTTTCACATGGTTTTCAAAGTCTGCCACCCACAGTGGGGCTGCCTGTACCCGCCCTGTCCACCCATTGCCCCAGCTGTCAGCCCCTTGACTTCTCTCCTGGGGCTTAAACATCCCTGGCTCCAAAATGGGCAGCTCACTTTCTTCCCCAAGAAGTAGCTGCACCTCCAGGGTTCCTAGATTTGCCCCTCCTTGCCAGGGGGAGGGGTGGCTGCGACAGGAGATTCTCCCTGCTCTCAGCAGAAGGAACTCCAGCAGTTGGAGACCAGCAAACCCCTCTGGACACAGATCTGATTTCCTAACTGGGAAGGCTCAGGGCAAAATAAAAATTCAGGTCCACTGGTTCAAAAACTATGAAGAATTTCAAGACCGTCACAGTAGCCCATTAAACCAAACGTGGATCTGCAAGGGTCCCACAGCCATGAAGCCCACCCTGCTTGGTTGGGTTCCAAAAAGATGGGGACAGTGATTGCTTAAGCTCTGTGGATCAAGGACCCCGGAGAGGCCTTCTGGCTCTCCACATATCTGCTCTGATCACTCCTAAACACAATTCTGTTTCCTCCAGGCCTGGCGGGTCAGTCCAGGGACCCCCATCAGTGTGATGTTTCCAGGAGTAGGCGTTTCAATACTTCCTGTGCTCTCTTCTCCAGCACAAGGCCCCTCTCCATCCCACCCTCATTATGTCTGACTCTTTACTATTTAAATGGGTCAAGAGAAGTGGCGCTTGTGTAATGTGAAGGTTAAGGTCAGTAGGGCCAGGGAACTGTGAGATTGTGTCTTGGACTGGGACAGACAGCCGGGCTAACCGCGTGAGAGGGGCTCCCAGATGGGCACGCGAGTTCAGGCTCTTCCCTACTGGAAGCGCCGAGCGGCCGCACCTCAGGGTCTCTCCTGGAGCCAGCACAGCTATTCGTGGTGATGATGCGCCCCCCGGCGCCCCCAGCCCGGTGCTGCACCGGCCCCCACCTCCCGGCTTCCAGAAAGCTCCCCTTGCTTTCCGCGGCATTCTTTGGGCGTGAGTCATGCAGGTTTGCAGCCAGCCCCAAAGGGGGTGTGTGCGCGAGCAGAGCGCTATAAATACGGCGCCTCCCAGTGCCCACAACGCGGCGTCGCCAGGAGGAGCGCGCGGGCACAGGGTGCCGCTGACCGGTGAGATGTCCCCGTCTTCCCTACCCTTGAGCAGAGCCACACCAGGACGGATGGGCGGGCAGGGGATGGCAGCCAGGCAGAGAGGGATGACACAGCTCGCAGTCACAACCCCTGCGCTTTCGACGGAGCCCAGGAAGCCAGGGAGGGGAGGTGGCCGGAGCCCCATCACCAGGCAGCTGAGCCAGGGGCCCCGGCGCAACCGCCGCCTGAGAGCACGAGCTCCAACCACAATTCTGTGGTGGGGGGGTAAATAGAACAGATATAATGATCATCCTTTCGCAAAGATGGGGAAACTGAGACCTGGAGACCTGCCGCGTTGCGGGAGACCCAGGCTAGCAGGTGACAGAGCTGGCCTGCACCGAGCTCCTTCCTGCAGCATATCCTCTGCGAAGATGCGGATCTCTCAGTTGTGGCTTTCGGCTTGCATGCATGAGTCATCTAGTTTTCTTCTAAATTCTCTAGCTCTCTGGACACTGTTGCCTGTAAGTATGAGGCTGCGGATTTCAGTATATGCTGCAACCACCGAAATCCGACTTTTTCTGCCTCCTAATGCATCTGAGGTGCATCAGAGAAAAGTCACACAAGATCCACCAGGCCTCAGACCTCTGATTCCACAGTCTCATTTTACAGATGATAATCTGAGGCCTGGAGAGGTTTAGGACTGGTGCCAACACTAAACAGCAAATAAGTATCAGAATTGGGATTCGAGCCAAAGCCTCTTGACCTTCCAGAATTTCTGGACCTAGTTAAAAAAAATATGATTTTTATTATTATTTTTTAAACGGAGAGGTTAGGAATTTAAAGGAAAGTACAGATACTATATAAAAAAAGATGCCCATGAAAATGTTAAGTTATAATAATAGTGGAGCATTGGGCACAACTGAAATGGCCAATCTTGTGAGAATGGTAAAATAAACTTAGGTCCGTGAGTAAGTGGAGTATTACATAGCCATAAAAGTATGCCCTTAAAGAATATTTGAAGATGGTGAATGTGAAGAATCTTGTATAAACTGCATGGAAGACAGAAGGAAATATACCACAGTGCTAACCTTTGCCTCTGGGTGATATGAATTACCGGTGATTATTTTTCTTATTTTCCTTTTGGTTTAGTTTTCTCCATTTGAAGAAGCAGATAGGAGCCGGGGCTTTGGGATTGAAACCCTCACCATCTGTGTGCCCTCTTCACTGTCTTCCCATCCTCCCCACGGCTCCCTGTTCACAGTCATTGATTTTCTTTCTTTCTTTTCTCTCTTTTTTTTTTTTTTTCCTGAGACCAAGTCTCACTCTGTTGCCCAGGCTGGAGTAGAGTAGCGCCATCTCGGCTCACTGCAACCTCCGCCATCCGGGTTCAAGCAGTTCTCATGCCTCAGCCTCTGAGTAGCTGGGACTACAGGCGCATGCTGCTACATCCGGCTAATTTTTGTATTTTTAGTAGAGACATGGTTTCACCACCTTGGCCAGGCTGGTCTCGAACTCCTGATCTCAAGTAATCCGCCTGTCTTGGCCTCCCAAAGTGCTGGGGTGACAGGTGTGAATCAATGCGCCCTGCCAGGTCATTGATTTTCTTAAGCCTCCAGCCCTGCCCTGCTTGGAAACGTTTTGGGAAGCTGCTCAGTTCAAAGTTCCCAGGAGGGTGTGCCTGGAGGGGAGTTGCTCCCAAAGTCTGCCTGCTCCCCCCGCCCCCCCTGCCCCCCACCCCCCGCCATCTTCTCCTCCTCCTCTTCCCCTGAGCAGCCCCTTTGTCCACAGAACCGGCCTTTTCTGGTAGAAGGAGCAAGGCCAAGTGGTTTAAGCCTTCTTAGGGAGAATGAGGCTGTGTGGTAGTGCTGGGGACTCGAGGGCCTTGGCCTTGGCATGGCTCTTCCACCCAGGGCAGCTGGCAGCCAGGCTCCCAGGAGGCAGAGGAGATGAGGGGGGAGGTGAGTCCGAGCAAAGGAAAGGAGGTCGGCTGTGCAGTCACGGTTCTAGAACATTCCTTGGATCAGCAGCATCCATATCACCTGCAGACTGGCTGGAAAAGCAGTCTCAGAACCAACATTATAACCAGCCCTGCAGTGATTCATAAGTACTTTAAAAAGTGGTCAATCATTTCAGCAAAGCAGAGCCACACAGTCCGGGGGACCACAGGTGGCCTCTGTGTGCTTGTCTCGGTTTTCCTGCCCCTCTCCAGACATGTTGATTAGACACTGCCAATGCCCAGCCTCAGACCTCAGTCTAATTTGGAAGTAGTCAGAATTTACTATGATTACATAAGACCCTCGTGTTTACAGAACACATTCCCCTCTCTGAGGTCTGGATTAGATCCATTTTACAGATGAAGAAACTGAGGCTCAGATATTTAAGTGACTTGGAATCAAGGAAAGAATACTGGACTAGGGGTCGGGAGGGCTGGGCTCTCATCCCAGGGTTACCATGAGCATGCTGTGGACTCTAGGGAGTCCCATGCCCTCTCTGGGCTTCAGCCTCACCGCTAGGGTAGAGAGGTTGGGTGAGAGAACGACCTCCTTCCCAGGTCTGAGCTGGATGGTTCACCAGGGACCCCAGGCTCCCTGGAGCAGACTCTGTGCCCGCTGCTGAGTCTGGAATTCCTTTCCTGTATCTTGCCTTTGGCTGCCCCATTCTTCATGGCCCAGCACCCTGTCTTCTGGTCAGAACCTAGTTCTGAATGGGTTTTTCCAGAAGTTGTTGCTTTCAGGGGCCCCTGGCAGAGAGGTGTTTCTGGCTGGCTTTGTCTCTCTGGCATGACAAAGGCTCTGTTCCTGCTGGAGGCATTTCAGGGCTCAGTGGGCAGCTGGGGCAGAGCCCGTGAGACCACAGCCTTCCTGGTGAGCCCGGTCTCCGCCCCCTACCCCATCTCTGGGGAAGGCGCTGACCCCATCTCTTCTCCCACGCTGCTCCCTGGCTCTTTGCGCCTGATTACTTCTCATGAGAGGCACTCCTTGTTAATGTGCTACTGAGTGTCCAGATGGGCCTGCTGGGCTGAGCGGGCTTTGGATGTGAACCATTTCAGGAAGGGGAACCCCATCGTCCTGTTGGTTCTGTGATGGCAAATGGGTGAGCTCAGATAAGCAGTTCTTGGGAGGGGCATGGTGGGGGTGGAGTGCAGGGGGAGGGGTTTCTGTTTTATGCAACAGCCTCAGCTTCTGGGAAAGGGTCCATTGTGTAAGACCGGGGCTATGGCCTGTGCCCCGTGGCTCAGGGCAGCCAGCCCAGTGGTGGCAGGAACACTGGCAGGGCAGCCTGCTGTCGGCTTAGAGGGGATGGGCAGTGTGGAGGGCCTGGCAGAGCAAGAGGACTCATCCTTCCAAAGGGACTTTCTCTGGGAAGCCTGCTCCTCGGGCCACTGCGAACCCTCTCTACTCTCCGAAGGGAATTGTCCTTCCTGGCTTCCACTACTTCCACCCCTGAATGCACAGGCAGCCCGGCCCAAGTCTCCCACTAGGGATGCAGATGGATTCGGTGTGAAGGGCTGGCTGCTGTTGCCTCCGGCTCTTGAAAGTCAAGTTCAGGTGGTGCTGAGACTCCCTGGGGGCTGCAGCGCTGTGGTGAATGGGGAGCGTCTGCTGGGGTGAAGGTTTAGGTGCACATTGCAGAGGACGTGGCTGGTCTCTGGGATGCAGTCCCTCTGTGGAGGTGGCATGGGGAGGGACGGATGCATGACCTAAGGGGGGTATTTTCAGTGTCTGACATGATCGATACCACTCTGGACAAGGAGGCCAGGATGCAGAAAGCCTGTGTGCCTCGCTGATTGTCGGGGAGGATGTGGCTTGGACAAGAGCCTGGTTCCTCCGATGCCAGGGTTCTTGTTTCTTCCACTCAACATTGCTGTCCTGCAGTCCCTCCCTCCCTGCACCTCCTGCCTTCGCTTTCATTCGAGGTGTCCATGGCAAGTCTGGTCATTTCCCCCCATTTCCTCAGGAATAAAAGTGCAGCAGTGCCTGCTGTGGGGACAGCTGAGGGCAGTGAGGCCCTGGGGAGCTGCTGCAGGCAGCAGGTGGGCGGGACGCCAGCAGGCTGTCTAGCTGTTCCCATGATGGTCTCCTGTTCTCTGCAGAGGCGTGCAAAGACTCCAGAATTGGAGGCATGATGAAGACTCTGCTGCTGTTTGTGGGGCTGCTGCTGACCTGGGAGAGTGGGCAGGTCCTGGGGGACCAGACGGTCTCAGACAATGAGCTCCAGGGTGAGTAGACCAAGCATGATGTTCCTCTGGCCACAGGGTGATGAGGTCAGAGGGCAGGGTAGCTAATTCTGCTCAGTGCCTCTCTATCAGGCCCCAGTGTTACAGACCGTTTTTATCTTGTGCACTGGGTCTGGGTGCCTGTGTCTGGGCCCACTCTGAGCCTCAGCTCCGAGGCCCCTGGTTCAGGCTCTGCGTGCATCAGACTGCCGGCATTTGCAGGCATTTCCCAAGCACTTTCGGCTGTTGCATTTCATTCAGCTCTTCCCCTCCCAGGCCCCTTAGCCCAGCTCCCAGGCCTCCTCCACGAAGCTGTGTCTGGACCACCGGAGCTCTTATCCCTCTCCCCTTTGGAGTGCCCAGAGCTTATCCCTCCTGTGAGCTGACGGTTTCTGCAGGATCATTGTTAAAAACCCAGATCAGACATGGGTGTGAGTCTGTTTCACCTCTTCTCAGCTGGGTGACTTTGGGCCACTATCTTGATCTCATGACACTCCCCCCACCCCCCATTTTATTGAGATATAATTAACAAATAAAAATTGTGTATATTTAAGGTATATGACGTGATGTTTTGAAATGCACATACATTGAAATGATGACCACTTTTTATGGTGGGACGGTGGGAAGACTTAAAATCTACTTTCTTAGCAAATTTCCAGTTATGATATGGTGTTATTAACTATAAGCACCACCTGTATGTTAGACCTCCAGAACATACTCCTCCTACCTGATGAACACTTTGACCCTTTATCATATCACACTTCCCATGTCTCCCTCTGCGAAGTGGGCACGGCGGGGGGCTGGAGCATTATGTAAACTGCACATGAAGTGTTTGGCGCAGTGCTTGGCATGGGATAAACACCAGTGAAGTAGCACTTAGGTGACACAGTGTTTCGCTGCATTTGTCACCAGTGCTATACCTTACTCATTTACTCATCTTCTTATTCCTGTCGCCTGGCACTGCATTGGAACAAAGAAATACACATATCTGTTTAAACTGAACTCTAGAAAGATTTGTGTCCAAAATAACAATATTTTATATTTTGATGCTGCAAAGCTGACACTTCTGGGTTTTTTTTTTTCCTTGCCAAGTTTCTTCTGCACCCAGCTCATTCTCCAGGGGCACATGGCAGTGGCTGGGCATAACTCTGGGTGTGCCGGCTCCCATGGTCTGCATTTCTAAGCAGTAGGGTGCAGTCAGCAAGGAGCCTGTGATGGGAGCCTGTGCCAGGGCAAGGCTGGGGCCATGCTGCTGCCTGCTGGCAGGAGTGGGGGTCCCAGCCTTGACAGCCCCTGAACTGAACGGGCCTTTCTGGCCATCCAGCTCATTCCAGGGTCCTGAGGCCACCTCTTCCTCTCGCCTCATTCTGCCTCTTGCACTTCTCTTGCAGAAATGTCCAATCAGGGAAGTAAGTACGTCAATAAGGAAATTCAAAATGCTGTCAACGGGGTGAAACAGATAAAGACTCTCATAGAAAAAACAAACGAAGAGCGCAAGACACTGCTCAGCAACCTAGAAGAAGCCAAGAAGAAGAAAGAGGTCAGGAGGAGCCGCTACCGCCTCCCTGCCTTGACCATCCCACTGGAGGGGAGGGAGGGGGTCACTGCGCGGTGCCCTGCTGGGTTGCCATGGTGACCCGCAGTCCTCCCAGGCTGTGTCAGCTGATGCTGAGGCTGCAATTAAGAAGCAGGGAAGGTTCATTTGCTTCTGAAAGCATCAGGGAGTGAGATCTTGGATCTGGTTTTGTTATGAGCCTGGCCCAGGGCCTAATGCCCAGATTCATTTCAATAGATGTTTCTAAGCCCTGATCACATGCTAGTTCCAAGCAGGCTCTGGATGGGGTGGCGGCAGGGGCCCAGACAGGCGTGGCGTCCAACCTTCAGGAAGCTTATCTAATAGGGGTGATATGGTTAGGGTTAAGGCAGGCACACAGCACCCCACGTCTTGCTAGAGTTCTGGACTACTTCATAAAGAAACATCTTAAGCCCAGTAGTGGATATAGCAGGTCTAGCCTGTGCTTAATGATTCAACAAAACTAAAACACTATAATTCAATGAACAACTTATTTAAGAAATCAAGTCTCCTTAAGAGTATCCTACAAACCTCCTCTCACGGTCGCCCTACTTCAGATGCTAAGATGTAGCTACCTGCAAGCTTCATGATCCATCGTGCATGTTAAAAGCATTTCAAAGGCTCTGAGAAGTTCTGCCGTAAAGAAACCTGTGTAACTCCATGAAACCCAGAGTTTTCCAAACTGACCAGGGAATTCATTTTTGTTTTTGTTTTTTTTTCCTGGCCGCTTTGAGCACAGCTCCATAGGAGCCACTTCAGGGATTGCTGGCCTGGATGTGGCTCTACCTTTTTTTCAAGTTTCATGCCCTTTCTTGGCCTTAGTATCAGTTCTCACCATTCTATGAGAATCCTCAAATAGCTCCTGGGGAAGGGGCATGACTTGTTCTCACATTTTTGTGGTTATCACTGGAGTTTGACATTCAACAATTCTGGTTTTATAATAAAGCACATCACATACATTTGGAGAAAAGAGCCTGCTACTTCTTAGTTGAGGAGTAGGTGAGCCAGAAGGCAAGGAAGTAGGTAGCAGGGGTGGCGCTTGTGTCTTGGCTCAGTGGGAGGTGGGTTGTCCTTGCCCAGCAGGGGACAGGGGATGATGGAGCAGGACAAAGACCTCACCTAACTCTGGGGTGTGGATAGGCTATTTTTTTTTTTTTGAAGACTAACACACTCATTCATAGAGACTTTAATATAGAAAAGTAGAAAAGGAAAAGTTTTTCCATAATCCTTTTGCCCAAGGACAAGTCACTGTTAACATTTGATCTATTTTTCCTATTATTTTCTTCTATGCTTTTTTGACAGTGGCTATATTTAAAATTATGAATTTTTAACATATAATATTCAAAATGGACTATAAACATCCTTTGTAATGATGTACCATCTACCCTTTATATGAACCATAGTTTGTTTAATCTGTCTCTTTTAAGCATCTGGGTTGGTTCTGATTTTTTTTTTTTTGCCATAAGCTAATACTGTTTCAAATATTTTTAAGTATCTTTTTCTTTGTCAGGGGATTCCTTTGAGATAGAGTCTTTGTTTTGTTTTGTTTTGTTTTGTTTTGTTTTTTTGAGACAGAGTCTTGCTCTGTCACCCAGGCTGGAGTGCAGTGGTTTGATCTTGGTTCACTACAACCTCCGCCTCCCAGGTTCAAGCGATTCTCCTGCCTCAGCATCCCAAGTAGCTGGGAGTGCAGGTGTGCACCACCACACCAGCTAATTTTTGTATTTTTAGTAGAGATGGAGTTTCACCATGTTAGCCAGGCTGGTCTCAAACTCCTGACCCCAAGTAATATGCCTGCCTCGGCCTCCCAAAGTGCTGGGATTACAGGTGTCAGCTGCCGCACCTGGCCTGAGACAGATTCTTACAGAATTATTGGGTCAAGTGGCAAGGGCCCGTTAGAGAATTTTGATAGCTGGTGTGGCTTTGGTGCTGAATGCCTGCCATTCCCTTTGCACGCCAGGAGGCATGGTTGCAATAGAAAGGTAAGATTCAGGGAGTCTGCAGCCTGCTTTGGAAGATGAAATTTAAACACCAGAAGCAGAGAATAGGAAATGAGGCTTCAGTGAGAGGGTAGTCATTGAGTAGGTGATCAGAGAGAGAGGTGGTGTCCACATGGGTTCCAGGAGTTGGGAAGCTTCTAGGAGTTAGGGAACAGTTGGATCTTGAAGGATGAGTGGATTCTTTAAGCCAGGTGGGAAGGGGATTCCAGGTGGGCGAATGAGGGGAAGCTTGAACTGGAGCAAGGGTAGGCACTTGCATGCTGGGTGGCCAGCCTATGGGAAGGCCTGCCCTGGGGCAGAGGGCCTGGCACCCAGCAGCTCTTTGAGTGCATGAGCCTGTGGTCTCTGTGTGGCTCAGCCAGCCTTGTGTCTTCCTGTAGGATGCCCTAAATGAGACCAGGGAATCAGAGACAAAGCTGAAGGAGCTCCCAGGAGTGTGCAATGAGACCATGATGGCCCTCTGGGAAGAGTGTAAGCCCTGCCTGAAACAGACCTGCATGAAGTTCTACGCACGCGTCTGCAGAAGTGGCTCAGGCCTGGTTGGCCGCCAGGTGAAAAGGGGACACATGAGTGGCCAAGGCTCTGAGTGGGGAAGGAGGGGAGCCTAGTGAAATATGCTTCATTCCGCATGCCAGATGCAATTGATTAGCATTGGCTGGCTTGCCCAGAGTGCCATGCTCCATTGGTAATGTCTGGCATGAGTAGAGAGAGTGGAGTCATCAAAAGGATGTAGGCCAGGTATCTGCCTTCTCTTAGAAAACTCATGCAGCAGTGCTTAGCTGGATGACATAATAAACTGCTTCGTGGGATGGCAGAGCCCTGTGTCCACTTATGTGGAAGGATTTAAGAATTTTTTTTTTTTTTTGAGACAGGGTCTCACTCTGTCACCCAGGCTGGAGTACAGTGATGTGATCATGTTTCACTGCAGCTTCGACCTCCTGGGTTCAGGTGATCCTCCCACCTCAGCCTCCCAAGTAGCTGGGACTACAGGCACGTACCACCACACCCAGCTAATTTTTGTATTTTTTTTTTGTAAACATGGGGTTTGGCCATGTTGCCCAGGCTGGTCTCAAACTCCTAAGCTCAAGTAATCCTCCTACCTTGGCCTCCCAAATTGTTGGGATTATAGATGTGTGCCACTATGCCCAGCCAATGTAAGATTTTGTAGTATATTAGTGTTGCTCCTGTCCTCTGCTGCAGGGCTTTTTTGATTGGGACTCAGTGAATTGCTCCAATCCCTGAAGTCACATCAGTTGGCCCTTAGCCGAGCGGGGGTGGATATCATTGGTGGCCAAAGATGACAGTGAATGAACCTGAAATGTTGGGCCTTGTGACTTTTGGGGCCTCCCAGGTGTCTCAAAACTGTCCCCCATGGAGGGAGATAAAAGGAAAGAGCATGGACCTGACAGATGGGGTGCTGGGGGCTGGTCCCAGCTGGGCTGTTGGTCACTTGCTGTGTGACTGTTACAGCCATGGGCAGGGCCTGGCCTGGCTCACCAGGGGGTGGGAGGCCAGGAGGCCGTGGCCTTGGTGAGCTTCTCCTAACTGTGCCCATGCTGGCTGTCCCAGCTTGAGGAGTTCCTGAACCAGAGCTCGCCCTTCTACTTCTGGATGAATGGTGACCGCATCGACTCCCTGCTGGAGAACGACCGGCAGCAGACGCACATGCTGGATGTCATGCAGGACCACTTCAGCCGCGCGTCCAGCATCATAGACGAGCTCTTCCAGGACAGGTTCTTCACCCGGGAGCCCCAGGATACCTACCACTACCTGCCCTTCAGCCTGCCCCACCGGAGGCCTCACTTCTTCTTTCCCAAGTCCCGCATCGTCCGCAGCTTGATGCCCTTCTCTCCGTACGAGCCCCTGAACTTCCACGCCATGTTCCAGCCCTTCCTTGAGATGATACACGAGGCTCAGCAGGCCATGGACATCCACTTCCATAGCCCGGCCTTCCAGCACCCGCCAACAGAATTCATACGAGGTGAGAAGGGGTGGAAGCTCATGGCCTTTTGAGCAACTCGTTAGATGCTGAGAACCATGCCGAGGGCTCAGCGGGTGTCATCTCGATTTTTCTCCAGCAATATCACAAGGGTGATATTATCCTTATTTAAAGAGGAAAAAAACTGAGCTGGGCATGGTGGCTCATGCCTGTGATGCCAGCACTTTGAGAGGCCAAGGCGGGAGGATCATTTGAGGCCAGGAGTTTGAGACCAGCCTGGCCAAGATAGTGAGACCCTGTCTCTACAAAAATAAAAACTTAAAAAATTAGCCGGGTGTGGTGGTGCACACCTGTAGTCTCAGCTACTCGGGAGGCTGAGGCAAGAGAGTCACCTGAGCCTGGAAGTTGGAGGCTGCAGTGAGCTATGATTGCACCATTGCATTCCAGCCTGGGCAACAGAGTGAGACCCTGTCTGTAAATTAAAAAATAAATAAAAATAACAATAGGAATCAGTGGAGTCCATCTCTGCATGGCTGGATGACTGACTCTTCTTCCCTCGTGTGTCCCCAGAAGGCGACGATGACCGGACTGTGTGCCGGGAGATCCGCCACAACTCCACGGGCTGCCTGCGGATGAAGGACCAGTGTGACAAGTGCCGGGAGATCTTGTCTGTGGGTGAGTCGGGGTCCAGACCACAAGCCGTCCCCCCTGATCCCTTGTGTCCTGGGGTCACTGGGGCCTCACTGGTGCTGCCTTTATGGAGTCAGACAGATAAGCGTTTGGATTCCAGCTCTGCAGCCTTTGAGCTGTGTCCCGGGGCAGGTCCTGAGCCTCATGCAGCTTCGGTTCCTCATCTTAGAATGAGATGATGATGCGAGGCTGTCCCTGAAGTCGGTGAGATGTCGTTAGAGATGCAAAAGTGCCCTCCACCTGGTCGGCCCCATGTTGAAAAAAGCTTGTTGAAAAAAGTCATCCCCCTGGGACTCCCCGGTGATTCTGTTCCCAAGCGCCAAGCGCAGTAGGCATCTTCATTTTCCTCTGCAGATTATGACATTGCAGACAGTATGTGTTTTGTTTAACAAAACTGACCAGAGGCCAGGCACTGTTCTAAACACTCGACATACATTTCCTCATTTCCTCAGAATGACCCTCTGAGGAAACTGAGCCACAGAAAGGTTAATAACTTATCCAAGATTGACCCCGACATGGGCGAGCTGGGCTTCAATCCTAGGGCGCTGTGTTCTCTCCTGGGGCCCCTCGCAGCCTCTGGCCACAGAAGTCACGGGTCTCAGTACCTGGGCATCCAAGCAATAGTCCCTTTGGTCGGTTGGTTGGTCCCCTAGGCAAAGGGAATATTTCCCTTTAACTGTCCCCCTCCGTTTCACCAGCTCTGGTTATGGGTTAACTTCTTTCCACTTAGAGATAACAGCTGTGACAGTATTTGGACTAGTTCCTGGTACACAGCAGTTCATACTCACAAAGAGTTAATTGTTTCCCCTTGTCAACAGCTTATCGATCTGGTGGCTTTGCTCTTACTTAATGCTTAGTTTGAGTTTGCCATGGCAGGCCGCCAGGGTCTAGTTAAACATTCCTAGCCTCACTCCTATAATTTTAGAAGCCACTGCAAAATAAACAGTTGTGCTTTAACAGGCTGAAGTATAAGTTGCTGTAGATGAGTGCACAACCAGGCCTTGGGGCTTTTTCTATAAAAAATATCATAGAGTGGCATCAATTACATGGTACCTCACCACAAGAAAGTCATGTTAGGGTCTGAGAAAAGATGTCCAGATGCCTGTGCCCAGATTGGACCTCTTATGCTGATTTTTACTCTGTTGCCCAGGCTGGGCTCAGGTCTGGCGCCAATCTTAACAGTCATTGATTACAGTTGAGAGTGCAGCCAGCGCCAGTCTTATCAGTCATTGATTATAGCTGGCGTACAGTGGCTCTATCTCGGCTCACTGCGACCTCCGCCTCCTGGGTTCAAGTGATTCTCCTGCCTCAGCCTCCCAAGTAGCTGGGAGTGCAGGTGTGCACCACCACACCCAGCTAATTTTTGTATTTTTAGTAGAGACAGCATTTCACTATGTTGGCCAGGCTGGTCTTGAACTCCTGACCTCAAGTAATCTGCCCGCCTCGGCCTCCCAAAGTTCTGGGATTACAGGTGTGAGCCACTGTGCCTGACCTGAGATAGATTCTTAGAGAATTATTGGTAAGAATAATTCTCTAAGCTGAGCTAAATAGTCTACACTGAAGAGGACTGCCTACTGTTATTTAAGGTGCTTGCAACCATATAAGCACGTACTGCCTGGGAACTCTAGATGAGGATTTCTCAATTTCAGCGCTGTTGATTTTTTTTTTTTTTTTTGAGACAGGGTCTCTCTCTATCACCCAGCCTGGAGTGCAGTGGCACCATTACAGCTCACTGCAGCCTAGACCTCTTGGGCTGAAGTCATCCTCCTGCCTCAGCCTCCTGAGTAACAGACTACAGGTGTGCTCCACCATGCTTGGCTAATTTTTTTATTTTTAGTAGAGATGGGGTCTTGCTACATTGCCCAAGCTGGTCTCTAACTCCTGGGCTCAAGTGATCCTCCTACCTCAGCCTCCCAGAGTGCTGGGATTACAGGTGTGAGCAGTGCTGACATTTTGGACCAGGTCATTCTTTGTCGTTGGGGGCTGTCCTGAGCAGTTCAGGGTGTTTGGCAGCATTCCTGGCCTCTGCCCACTAGAGGTCAGCAGCTCCCTTCCCTTTGTTGTGACAACCAGCTTCAGAACTTGCTAAATCTCCCTGGGTGACAGCGTCACCCCAGTAGAGAACCTCTATTCTAGACTAAGCCTCAGCTCTCAAGGATTTTTCTTATTTTATTATTATTTTTTTAAGACAGGGTCTCGCTCTATCACCCAGGCTGGAGCGTAGTGGCGCAATCTTTGCTCACTGCAACCTCTGCTTCCTGGGTTCAAGCGATTCTCCTGCCCCAGCCTCCTGAGTAGCTGGGATTACAGGCGTGCACCGCCACGCCTGGCTAATTTTTATATTTTTAGTAGAGACAGGGTTTCACCATATTGGCCAGGCTGGTCTCAAACTCTTGACCTCAAGTGATCAGCCTGCCTCAGCCTCCCAAAGTGCTGGGATTACAGGTGTGAGCTAGTTTTTCTTATTTTTAAATTTTTTTTTGGTAAAATAATGAAGTTTATTTATTACATATTTATTTTCAAACTGGCATCTTGTTAGTAATTCTGTTTCTTTCCCCACCTAACATTTTGTTTACTATAAATGATTGCAGTCATCATCCTAAAGCATATGCAAAATCTCCCTTCCCCTGACTCACGTTTGATGTACCTGCCTCTGGATATTTTTGAAATACCTTAGGGGGAGAAAAACAGTAGTTTTAAGAGCTAGTGGACAGTTTCCAGGTCTTAATGAATCTGACAACCTGCAGCCCAGGGCCAAGAGGAATGAATTCTCTTTTCCCTGCTCTCTTGATGAACTCACTGACCAGCCATGGGCGGGCAGGTGGGCAGGCAAGGACCCCTGGCCACCAGGTGCCAGTGCATCAGCTGCATGAACTCCTGGCACCAGAACTGCCACCTCTACAGACATGCTCAAAAGACAAGTTTGGACCGGGTGCATTGGCTCACACCTGTAATCCCAGCACCTTGAGAGGCCGAGGTGGGTGGACCCCTGAGGTCAGGAGTTTGAGACCAGCCTAGCCAACATGGTGAAACCCTGTCTCTCCTAAAAATACAAAAAAATCACCCGGGGGTGGTGGCAGGCACCTGTAATCCCAACTACTCTGGAGGCTGAGGCAGGAGAATTGCTTGAACCCGGGAGGTGGAGGTTGCAGTGAGCTGAGCTCGCGCCATTGCACTCCAGCCTGGGAAACAAGAGCGAAATTCTGTCTCAAAAAAAAGACAAGCTTGGAGGATTGTCCAGAACCACAGATCCAGGGTAGGAAAAGCCCAAGCTTAGGAGCTGAAGACCCTGGTTCAATCCCGGGCCCAGAGATCATTTATTCTATGGCTTTAGGTAAGCTATTTATTGATACTTCTGTGGGCCTCAGTTTCATTATTGGTAAAAATTATTTCATTATTGGTAAAATTAGGACTTAAGTCCTAATCCTTAAGTCAGAACAGATCCAATTCTTAGAGAAAAAGGATATCCAGAGAGAACTTTCTGCGGTGTCTGGGACGAAGGCAGTGCCACACGAATGGCAGCTGTGAGTAATATTCCTCCTCTCTGGAAATGATTCCCGGGAGGGACTAGGGCAACGAGAGCCACTCCAGGTCTGAGAACATGGAGAACTTGAGATCAGTGCTTTTGGAAGTGTGGTCAACACAGTTTGTCACCAAAGAGATAAGGGTCTGGCACCCAAAGATAAATCAATGATGTTACGAAGCACACTGTTTAGGTCAGTTGGCGTATTTTTCCAGAGCAAGGCTTCTCAGGCTGGGCGTGGTGGCTCACACCAGTAATCCCAGCACTTTTTGGGCAGATGGGTTGAGCCCAGGAGTTCGAGACCAGCCTGGACAACACAGAGAAACCCCGTGTCTACAAAAAATACAAAAATTAGCTGGGCATGGTAGCATGTGCCTATAGTCCCAGCTACTCAGGAGGCTGAGGTTGGAGGACAGCCTGAGCCTGGGAAGTCAAGGCTGCAGTGAGCCGAGATCTCACCACTGTATTCCAGCCTAGGCAACAGAGCAAAACTCTGTCTCAAAAAAACAAAAACAAAAACAAAAAACCCAAAAGACTTTCTGGATGACGGAAGCAGTGTCTAGATTCACATTCTGAGGCAAAACCTTTATTTTGTCGTGGACAATTCCAGTTTGTGGCCCTTCCCTTAGGGAAGCACTGCTTTTGTTCCCGCTGCATGTGCTAACTTCCATTCATTCATGGTTCTATCCCTTTGTAGCCTTCCCTTCACACTTCTCACTTGCGTTTCTTCCATCTCTGGGCAGACTGTTCCACCAACAACCCCTCCCAGGCTAAGCTGCGGCGGGAGCTCGACGAATCCCTCCAGGTCGCTGAGAGGTTGACCAGGAAATACAACGAGCTGCTAAAGTCCTACCAGTGGAAGATGCTCAACACCTCCTCCTTGCTGGAGCAGCTGAACGAGCAGTTTAACTGGGTGTCCCGGCTGGCAAACCTCACGCAAGGCGAAGACCAGTACTATCTGCGGGTCACCACGGTGAGCTGTGTCCCGGCCACATGCTGTGGCTCGGGAGCCCGAGCTGTGATCGGGAGCAGGGGCATGTGTGCTTTTGACTGAGCATTTATCACACGGCAGAAAATAGAAAACTTTAGGCGCCCCTGTTGCCTTGAAGCCTCATCACCCACTCAGGGAAAATATAACCCTGCTTTACAAAGGAGCAAAGTAAGAGAGGTTCCACAGCTTGGCCAAGGTGTGATAGCTGACAGATGACTTGGACGGGTATTTGAACCTGACTGCCTGGCTGCCAAGCCTGTATTTTGTTGTTGTTGTTTTTGTTTTGGTGCACAAATCTGTGAATAAACCAGAAGCCTCTGTTCTTTTCTCAAAGCTACAAGGCTGCCCTCTGGCATGTAAAATGGCTTATGAATTAGTACATCACTCTCTGCCAGTGATAAAAACTTCTCTCTAGGCCAGACATGGTGGCTCATGCCTGTAATCCCAGCACTTTGGGAGGCAGAGGCAAGAGGATTGCTTGAGGCCAGGAATTTGAGACCAGCCTGGGCAACACAGCAAGATTCCCTCTCTACAAAAAATACAAAAATCAGTCAGGTGTGGTGGCACACACTTGTAGTCCCAGCTATTCAGGAGGCTGAGGTGGGAGGATTGCCTGAGCCCTGAAGTGGAGGCTGCAGTGAGCTGTGATCACGCCACTGCACTCCAGCCTGGGTGACAGAGTGAGACTCTGTCTCTTAAAAAATATATATATATAAAATAATAAAATAAAGTTAAAAAATCAAATAAAACTTATTTCTAGTACTGGGAACTCTTCTTTTTCTTTTCTTTCTTCCCTCCAGGCCCTCTGGATTCCTTTTCTACCCTACTCTGACCAAGGGCTGCTTCTAAAGCAAATGTTTGGAAACCACTTTTATTCTTTGGGGTGCTCCCTGGGCTGGTCATTTGCAGATGACATTTGCCCCAACACATGAGTGTCTGTGAACCAGGTCCGTTCTGTCCACTGAGCTGTACTTACGTCTAGATGTATAAGAAGCATGGGGTCAGCTCTCTAGGTTTCCTTGGAGAAGCAGGAGGACTTCCTTATCAGAAGCCTGACTTCTGTTGCAGAGCGCATGCATTTTGACCACAGTGTTTCAGCTCTTCCCTTTTCTCTTGTTCCATTTAGGTGGCTTCCCACACTTCTGACTCGGACGTTCCTTCCGGTGTCACTGAGGTGGTCGTGAAGCTCTTTGACTCTGATCCCATCACTGTGACGGTCCCTGTAGAAGTCTCCAGGAAGAACCCTAAATTTATGGAGACCGTGGCGGAGAAAGCGCTGCAGGAATACCGCAAAAAGCACCGGTAAGCAGGCGGGCCTTTCCTGCGGGCCTGCAGGGCCCAGTGAGTCTCTGGGAGCCACAAAAAAACAAACAAAGTGCAGACTCTATAGCCTGGTGGGAACGACTCCGCCCGGAGCCAGAGCCCAAGAACAAAGCCAGGAAGTTACGGGGGAATTTTATTTTTCCTTTGGAGGATGTTTTACTTTGGAGGATAACTGTTTTTTATTTCAGGGAGGAGTGAGATGTGGATGTTGCTTTTGCACCTACGGGGGCATCTGAGTCCAGCTCCCCCCAAGATGAGCTGCAGCCCCCCAGAGAGAGCTCTGCACGTCACCAAGTAACCAGGCCCCAGCCTCCAGGCCCCCAACTCCGCCCAGCCTCTCCCCGCTCTGGATCCTGCACTCTAACACTCGACTCTGCTGCTCATGGGAAGAACAGAATTGCTCCTGCATGCAACTAATTCAATAAAACTGTCTTGTGAGCTGATCGCTTGGAGGGTCCTCTTTTTATGTTGAGTTGCTGCTTCCCGGCATGCCTTCATTTTGCTATGGGGGGCAGGCAGGGGGGATGGAAAATAAGTAGAAACAAAAAAGCAGTGGCTAAGATGGTATAGGGACTGTCATACCAGTGAAGAATAAAAGGGTGAAGAATAAAAGGGATATGATGACAAGGTTGATCCACTTCAAGAATTGCTTGCTTTCAGGAAGAGAGATGTGTTTCAACAAGCCAACTAAAATATATTGCTGCAAATGGAAGCTTTTCTGTTCTATTATAAAACTGTCGATGTATTCTGACCAAGGTGCGACAATCTCCTAAAGGAATACACTGAAAGTTAAGGAGAAGAATCAGTAAGTGTAAGGTGTACTTGGTATTATAATGCATAATTGATGTTTTCGTTATGAAAACATTTGGTGCCCAGAAGTCCAAATTATCAGTTTTATTTGTAAGAGCTATTGCTTTTGCAGCGGTTTTATTTGTAAAAGCTGTTGATTTCGAGTTGTAAGAGCTCAGCATCCCAGGGGCATCTTCTTGACTGTGGCATTTCCTGTCCACCGCCGGTTTATATGATCTTCATACCTTTCCCTGGACCACAGGCGTTTCTCGGCTTTTAGTCTGAACCATAGCTGGGCTGCAGTACCCTACGCTGCCAGCAGGTGGCCATGACTACCCGTGGTACCAATCTCAGTCTTAAAGCTCAGGCTTTTCGTTCATTAACATTCTCTGATAGAATTCTGGTCATCAGATGTACTGCAATGGAACAAAACTCATCTGGCTGCATCCCAGGTGTGTAGCAAAGTCCACATGTAAATTTATAGCTTAGAATATTCTTAAGTCACTGTCCCTTGTCTCTCTTTGAAGTTATAAACAACAAACTTAAAGCTTAGCTTATGTCCAAGGTAAGTATTTTAGCATGGCTGTCAAGGAAATTCAGAGTAAAGTCAGTGTGATTCACTTAATGATATACATTAATTAGAATTATGGGGTCAGAGGTATTTGCTTAAGTGATCATAATTGTAAAGTATATGTCACATTGTCACATTAATGTCACACTGTTTCAAAAGTTACTTTTTCTTTTCCACTGTTATGTTGCTAGACTCTGGAACTCACTATATTCAGTGGGTTTTTTGGTTGCTGCTTCCCCCCCCCCCCGCCCCCCGAGACAGAGTCTCACTCTGTTGCCCAGGCTGGAGTGCAGTGGTGCAATCTCGGGTCACTACAACCTCCACCTCCAAGGTTCAAGCAGTTCTCCTGCCTCAGCCTCCTGAGTAGCTGGGACTACAGGCACGTACCACCACACCTGGCTAATTTTTGTATTTTTAGTAGAGACAGGGTTTCACCATGTTGGCCAGGCTGGTCTCGAACTCCTGGCCTCAAGCGATCCGCCTGCCTCAGCCTCCCAAAGTGCTGGGATTATAGGCGTGAGCCACCGTGCCAGGCCTTTATATCCAGTGTTTTGGATTTTTTTTTTACACTCTTAAATACTAGCACCCTGAAAGACAGATCCTAAAGCTGGCTCTAAAGCTTCCTGAGACCCCTTCTCTGCACCTCCTTACCCCTCTGCACAGTGGCCTGGGGTTGGGGGTCCTTAGATGTCTCTCCATCCCTGACAGAGGTTCCAACATGAGGCACTGGGAAGACTGAGTCAGCACATGATGTCACCAAGGTGTGGGGATGAGATGAGGCTAATTCTGCCTGGGGGACTGCGGACCCTGAGCCCTTAGTGTCTGGCTTCTAGGACTCTTGTGGCAAAGGGGGAGCAGGGCTTGATGTGCTGAGAAGAGAGGGATTTGACATCTGTCTGGAAAGGGAGGCAGCACCAACCCTGCTGAGCCCCTCTGTTGACACTCAACTGTCATCTGCCAGAAAATTGTAATAAGATACAATCTCTCATGGGTACAAGGTGAAACGGTGCTGGAGTTGTGCAGTGCATGGCTTGTACAACTGTAAACAGTGGCCTTGGGCCAATTACTTCATGTAATCTCACTAGGTTTCAATAATTATTTCCAAGGCAGGAGTTACTTTCCCCACATTACAAAGACTTCCCAGAATAGCCTGCATCAGATAAGTGTCTTGGGGCTAGGAAGGCCAGAATGGGGGAGCAGCCACCCCAAGCCTTTGTGGCCCACGGAGCCTGCTGAAGGGACTTCAGGGTTGCCCATCCCTCACTGTGAAGTGGCCCAGAGTAGGAAAGGGGTGGGAGCCAGGAAGCCACCCAGGTGTGCAGAGCAGAGCTCTGGTATAGAATAGGTGGCAGCAGAGTGGGAGGCAAAGTGCTTTGATGTGAAAATGCCTGACATTCTCAAGCAAACCACTTGTTCTTTTAACTGTGGATTTATCTGGAAGTAATAGAGTCTGCTTGAGATGTTACCAGGTGATGGAACACTGGTTAGAATGAATAAAAGGTTCACGTTTGTGTCTTCAAATGAGCTGAGCCTCCACAATAAACCGGTTCCAGGAGCTGTTATCCACAATGAAGCGTGAGGCTGAGACATGACGCATCCCAGGGCGAGGTCACCCCGAGAGAGGCTGGGCTGTGGGAATAACAGGGACCACTTTTTTGCAGTTGTGCCACTGGTAAGTGCTGAAGCTAAGAATGAACACGGGTCTGTCTCTGGGGATCACAGGGCCCCACTAGAAAATAGGATAGTGGCAAACCCAGGAAGTATCCAGTAGTTCTAGAGACAATGCAAAGAGGACTTGGGTCTCCACGGTTTATTATAGAACCAATGATTACTAAGTCAGCCGATGTGATAGCAGCGAAGGCCAGGCCTGGGGGACACATTTACAAGGTTAATAATGAACTCTTTGTTTGCTCTTCTCCTACGCTGATCTGGTTAACCTGTAAGCCCAGCCCCTTGGTCATAATCCTCCTAGATGATGGCATCTCTCAGTGTTGGCCGGGGCCACATCACAGTGTGGACAGCTCCTCTTGCCCTGGCCCCCACAATGCCACGCTGAGGGCTAGCTCACTGGAGGTCCAACAGCTGCCACTAGCTAGCTCTGGTCCAGCCCAAGGCAGGGTGGGGACTTCCTCAGGGTAGGAAAGGGGACAGGGAGAGGTACAGCAATACTACCTGCCTATCCTCATTTGTTGCCACCAGCACCCAGAGGAACAAAGACCATGACATTGAGCTGGTGCCAGACATTCTCCCAGGACCCCACCTTCACCCCTAGTCCTGCTCAGGTGCCCAATCCTATAAAGACTAGCCCCATCCTTAAGGTTCATCATGAGGAGGGGGTGACAGGGGGACACTTACTCCAGCCTCATATTCATAAGAAGACTTCAACATATTTACAAATGACCACATGAGTATAAAACCACAGAGATGCACTGACACTGTCAAAGGAAGGTGTTTGTTTTCCACGTTGAAACCTGTGCCCATCACCAGCCCACATGCTTAGAGAACACGAGGCATTTTTGTTTGTTTGTTTGTTTTTAAATAGAGATGAGTTATTGCCCTGTTGTCCAGGCTGGAGTGCTGTGGTGGAATCATAGCTCACCGCAGCCTCCAACTCCTGGGCCCAAGTGATCCTCCTGCCTCGGCCTCCCTAGTAGTTGGGGCTACAGGTGCACACCACCATGCCTGGTGGTATTGGTTTTTAAAACTCTAACTGCAATTACCTTGAGCACAACACAATATAATCTCACTTTGTGTGTGTCAAAAATTTTAACCCAAAATGTCAGTAAGTCTGTTTTAGAATTTTCTGGAAATGGGCCGGGTACGGTGGCTCACGCCTGTAATCCCAGCACTTTGGGAGGCCGAGGCGAGTGGATCACGAGGTCAGGATATCGAGACCACGGTGAAACCCCATCTCTACTAAAAATAGAAAAAATTAGCCCGGCGTGGTGGCGGGCGCCTGTAGTCCCAGCTACTCAGGAGGCTGAGGCAGGAGAATGGCGTGAACCCGGGAGGCGGAGCTTTCAGTGAGCCGAGATCGCGCCACTGCACTCCAGCCTGGGTGACAGAGTGAGACTCCGTCTCAAAAAAAAAAAAAAAAAGAATTTTCTGGAAATGTCTGGACCTCTCTTAATCTCTAAAAGCCCTGCCATATGGGGAAGAAAACCAGGGTGGAAACTAAGATATACCAGGCTCAGATATTTAGTGCATCTTTACTGAGATACTGCCTTGAAATTCTTCCTTTTTACTGACTCAAGGCCCCACCTGGACTTTGGGATGAGGGTACTCATAGGTATTCTTCTGTCTTCCAGTCTTCCATTTTGGAAATAGCTCCCAACTTTTGCCTCATTCTAGTAACCGCAAACCTGGCCAGGCACGGTGGCTCACGACTATAATCTCAGCACTTTGGGAGGCTGAGGCGGGTGGATCACTTGAGGTCAGGAATTCGAGACCAGACTGACCAACATGGTGAAACCCCGTCTGTACTAAAAATACAAAAGTTAGCTGAGCATGGTGGCGGGCGCCTGTGATCCCGGCTGCTTGGGAGGCTGAGGCAGGAGAACTGCTTGAATCCGGGAGGCGGAGGTTGCAGTGAGCCAGGGTCACACCAAAGCACTCCAGCCTCGGCAACAGAGTGAGACTTGTTCTCAAAAAGTAACGTAACGTAACGTAACGTAACGTAACGTAACGTAACGTAACGTAACGTAACTAGTAACCGCAGACCTAAGGATAAGATCTTTCTCGCAGGGGACTCGGAGACATCCCTTCCAGTTTGAAACCACCTGTCTGTCCTGTAGCGAACTCTTCCTTTCCGGCAACTCGCCTGGTGCCTCCCTGGGGGTTCGCTCCCGTCTCTGTGCCATTCCTCAATCACTTTAGCGTGGGACTAGCAGGCTGTGCAGGGTTGAGGTTGGAGACCAGGGCTTGGTGTCCTCCTGTGTGCCTCGCCTGGGTTAAGACAGCTGCCACCAGGGGCCACCTGAATCCCCGCCCCCCCGGCCCCGCGCAGGGGCCGACAGGATGCTAACCCTGTGAAGGCCCAGAGTGAGATTCCTTCAGCTGAACTGTGTCCCTAGGGATGGGGGCTTCACTGGCCCCTCTCCCCCGTCAGCCCGACCTACCCGCCTTCCTTAGGTCACAAAGCCACATCTTACCCCGGGGACCCTCCCATGTAGGTGGCCAGGTTGGCTCTGCCGATGTTGGGCTATCCCCACCCAATCCCCACTAGTCAAGTGAGGTGGCATCTGTCTTCAATTCTCTGTCTTTGTATTTTTGGGGGGGCTTTCTGAGTGGTGGTCAGGTGCTGTATCCCCTGGGACGCTCAGAGCTCAGCTGGACCCCTCCCTTCCTCGGCCCTGCACCTGAGGAGTGTGGGGCCAGGTGGCCGCCTGGAGGGGAGAAGCTGCCGGAAAGCCACTCACTCTACATGGTGAGATTTGCGCATGCCCTGTTGGCAGGCGACTTCTTACCTCAAATTCAGCTTTGAGAGCCGCTCACGGCCAACAGCCTCAATTTTGTGCTGTGGCTGAGTTTCACGCTAGCCAGGGAGGCGCCGTTCCCCATCCTTCCACGTTATTGCAACTTCTTGGATGCTGCGAGCAGAAGCCGGGTCACGCGCACCGACTCTCAGCCTGGCCGCCAAGCGTTCCCGTTTCCTGAGCTGGGGAGGGCTTTGGCCACAAGGGGGCAGCGCGGGCTCACGGCGACTTGGGCTTAGATGGGGAGGGCAGCGCTGGGAGAAACGAGGACCTGGAAACCAGGAAAGGAAGCGGCCTGAGGACGGGGAGGCACGTGGATCGCATCAGCGATGCCCCTCAGCGCCCAACCTAGGGGCTGCGTGCACGCCGCTCCATATCAAAAGATCTCTGCAAGGAGAACGCTCGGGAAAGAAGATCTCAAGCACCAGAAAAATCCCACAGCAAAGAAAGAGTATCTTATACGCATCTAAAAGCTGAACCGAAAATTGCATTGATTCTGGAAGGTCTATTTCGAGAACATTCGATTGCCTTAGGCTTCTAGGAATTGAAGTTTTACTGAGCCTCAGGGTTTCAGGCTTCAGTCACTGTGCTGTGCGTCCCTACTGTCTTCACTACTTCCATCGGGTTGGTGTGCGGGGTCAGAAGTCCGCGGAACAGGCGTGGCACTCCTTCCTAGAGCAGAAATGTTAGGGAAAACGATTTGGAAAATAAAACACTACTTAAAAATGGAAAACACAATTATATAATGGAATAGAATGCAAAATTCATAGACGTTTAGAAATTAAAATATAAGCTATAGAAAACACACGGCTACCAGGCACTCTTTGATGGAGAAGTGTGAAGACACCGCCTTTCCTAACTTGCTGTGTGACACTGGACAAGTTTCATCACTTCTCTGAGCCTTGGTTTCCTCATATGCAGAACAACCAGGTGATTTGGACTTGATGATTTTCAAAGCCTGCTGTGCTTTTGTTTTTATTAACTTCACCAATCCATTTCTTTTCTTATGTATCAGTCAGGGTTCTTCAGAGAAACAGAACCAATATATATTTCTATTAAGAGAGTTATTTCTAGGAATTAGCTCACGATTATAATCTTGCAAGCCCGAAATCCGTAGGGCAGCCCCAAAGACTGGAAACTCAGGCTGAGTTAGTGCTGTGGCCTTGAGGCAGAATTTCATCTTCTCCTGAAAACCTAGATTTTTGATTTTAAGGCCTTTTAACTGATTTCATAGGATCCACTCACAGTATCAAGGATAATTTATTTTACTTAAAGTCAACTGATTGTTAACCACATCTACAAAATATCTTCACAACAACACGGAGATGGGTGTTTGATTAAATAACTTGGTACTGTAGCCTGGTAAGTTGACACAGAAAACTAACTGTTACATACCTCCCAGCTGGGCTGGCTTCATGAGGGATGACCTGGGTAGTGCTCCAAAGGACCCTGTGCTCATGGGGGATGCTCCAAAGGACTCTGCACTCGGTTTCATGGAGGATGACCTGGGTAGTGCTCCAAAGGACTCTGCATTCAGTTTAATGCCCTGCTGTCACCCTCTTGAAATTCTTAAACATTTTGGAACAAGGGCTCCTCCATTTTTATTTTGCACTGGGCAGGCCTTCAAATTATGTAGCCGGTCCTAGTGCCCCAATAGAAATAGAGAAATATATAGAAATATACAGAACCTAAATTTCACCATCGTGAGCACTTTAAGTGTACAGTTCAAGGACTTTAAGTTCCTTACAATTATTGCACAACCATCACCCCCATCCCTCTCCAGAAAACGTTTTCATCTTCCCTAACTGAAGCTCTGTACCCATTAAACACTAACTCCTCTTTCCCCACCACCTCCAGCCTGTGGGAACCACTGTTTACTTTGCTTCTGAATTTGACTCTTCTAGATACCCCATATAAATGGAATCACACAGTATTTGTCCTTTTGTGTCTGGTTTATTTCACTCTGCACAATGTCCTCAAAGTTCATTTTGTTATTGTATGTGTCAGAATTTCCCTCCTTCTAAAGCCTGAATAACACTATTGTATGAATATACCTCATTTTGTTCCTCCATTTGTCTTGATAAGACATTTGGCTATTGTAAATAATGCTGTTATAAAGATGGGTGTACAACCACCTCTTTGAGACCCTGCTTTGAGTTATTTTGAGTATATACCCAGAAATAGAATTTATGGATCATATGGGAATTCTATGTTTAATTTTTTGAGGAACCACCATGCCATTTTCTGCCGTGGCTGCCCCATTCTACACTTCTGCTACATTTCCATTACATTTGTGCTTTGAGGGAACCCCCAAAGCAAAAGAGTTCCAGTTTCTCCATATCCTCACCAGACACTTGTTAGTTTCTGTTTTTTGTTTTTTTTTTAATTGATTCTAAGGGGTGTGGTCTCTCATTGTAGTTTGATTTGCATTTCCCTAATGACTAGTGATGTTGAGCATCTTTTCATGTGGTTTTTAAGTATCATTTGTTTATATTCTTTGGAGAAATGCCTATTTTGAATCTTTTGCCCACTTTTTTGATTGGGTCATTTGTATTTTCATTGGTGAATTGTAGGAATTCTCAAGGTATTTTGGATATGAATCCCTCATGAGATAAATGATTAAAATATGCATTGCTTGAGGGTAGGAACCTACCTTAAGGTTCTTTTTATTCCCCTCAAGCACTTGCTGCATGGCCTATGATCAAGGAATGCGCTCCATGAAGTCTGCAAGGCATGGTAGGTCGGAGGCAAGTTGAAACGAGGTTTGAAAAAAGGGACATGAAAAGCATTTTCTAGGCAAGTCCAAGACTGGGTACCCTAGGAGGGAAGCCTCCTGGGGTAATCAGTGAGCCTCCTGCTCCCAAAGAATAATCTTGGAGGTGCAGAAGAGGAGACAGGGAGGGAATCAATTCTTGGTCTTTATTAAGAAGAAGGTGAGAAGAGTCCCATTCCCCAAACACCCCCGAAATAGACATGCTGCTGGTCAGGCTATGGGAGGGCTGATGTCCAGGCAGACCCTGCTAGAAGAGGGCAGCTCCAGGGGAGTGGGCTCTCACCTGAGCACCTGAGAGACCCTCAAGGGTGAGAGAAATCAGAGCAGGGTGCACACCACCCCTGTGCTCCAACATTTGCCAAGGAGCTCCCTTCTGAAGAGGGCTGGATAGGGAACCCCCAAGGCTACAGACCCTGCAAATTTTACTTTCACACCCAGGTGGAATCTGTGAGTGACTGAACCCCTGACCTTCTAGACAAACATATCAGGGCTCTTCTTTCTCCTGGAAAAACAGGATGTGGTGATTGCAGGATGGGGTGCCTGTTGAAGATGTAAACAGGGATGTGGGTGCTGGGCCGCCTCCAGCTGCAGGGATTGGGAGGATAAAGGGGGCCCCTATCCAGGACCTAGTTCATCACTGTGGGGTTGGCAGGGGACATCTGCTCCCCCATCCTTGGGCCAATGGGATGCTGGGGCTCCACCCTCATCAAGGGAGGCCTGGGGAGAGCATGAGGGTAGCTTGTTTTCTGCTCTGACTTCAGTAGAACACCTTCTCCAAATACAAATTTAGGAACATCCCAGTGGGTTCTAGCTTTTCTCAGATGGCACAGAACTTTGGGAAGGCAGGATGCATTTTCTCAAAGTTCTTTGAGGTACAGTGTGGCACCTGTAGAAGCAACCAGGTGCAACGGGCCTGGTCCCAGGGCTGGTATGTCAGCAGGGCTGCAAACCAGGCACACCTGTGTCCAGGAGCCTCCATGTGTGACACTAGTGCCCTGAGACAAACATGTGTGCACCACACACACACACAATGTAGAGATCCCAATAGAATGGAGGAGCGTTTTAGACAGTAAAGAAGGGGGATGTTAAAATGCAGCACTGACCTCCCTATTTCTATTGCAATCAGCAGTGTGATACATAGTGGAGGAGGCTCTGGCCCTATTTCCACTGCTAATTAATATGTAAGTCCTGTCCCCTCTGAGAGACCTTCACTTTCTTATCTGTTCAATGGACTCATGATGCCTTATCCTGCTCATTGGGTTTCTATGATAATCAAATAGACTGAAAGATGAGAAATTTCTCTGAAAACTCTGAGTGCATCGCAGTCACTGCGCTGTTGGAACAAGAACCCAAGAGAGGGTAGAAGGGTAGTTGGGGCTCAGCCCTGCATCTCCTGGGTCAGCCCCGGGGGTGGCAGAGGCACAGGGAAGAGCAGTGCCCTCTGCTGGACATGGTAGTGCATGGTGCACCGCAGCTGCCCCGCCGCTCCGCGAGGCTCTCACCCGCAGCCCTACCTGGGTGCAGTGGGGATGGCTCCCCCTCCCCCACCCTGCATTCTTCATGATCAACTTATTTTGTTGAAAAAGGGTCTTGCTCTTTCTCCCAGGCTGGAGTGCAGTGGCACAATCATGGCTCACTGCAGCCTTGACCTCCTGGGCTTGAGCGATCCACCTCAGCCTCCTGAGTATCTGAGACTACAGGTGCAAGCCACCATGCCCAGCTAGAGACAGGGTCTCACTATGTTGCCCAGGCTGGTCTCGAACTCCTGGGCTCAAGCAATGCTTCTGCCTTAGCCTTCCCAGGTGCTGGGATTATAGGTGTGAGCCATGGTGCCCAGCCAAGATCAACTTCTTAAATGACCCAGGTATATAAGCCTCATCTGGGAGACCACTGCCTAACCAACTGGGAAGAGATAACACAGTCAAGGGCATGGGCATAGCACAGGGGCAGGCAGGGCTGGCTGATGGGCAAATGAGTCCATGACGGGCACCTGGCATTGATTATGATGGTCTCTTCTGCTGAACTTCAATCTGGCCCCAGAATCCTTCTCAACACAGCATTCCAGGCTGTCAGGATCACTGACTAGAGGAGGTACATGAGATAGAGTACATTTGTCATTCCAGCATATCAGCTTCATAAATGGTAGCTATTCCTATTATCTATGAATTCATACAATTTTTATATTAACACAATACGGGCTGGAAATGGTATGTGCAGAAAGGGTCTATGGAGCGGAAGAGCTATAGGAACTCAGAAGAGAGAGAGACTGTCCCCAGCTGCCAGGATCAGCGAAGTTCCCCTAGAGAAGGAGACATTAGAAGTGACATTGAGGCCAGGCATGGTGGCTCACGCCGGTAATCCTAGCACTTTGGGAGGCTGAGGTGGGCGGATTGCCTGAGCTCAGGAGTTCGAAACCAGCCTGGGCAACATGGCAAAACCCCGCCTCTGCTAAAAATACAAAAAAATGAGCTGGGTGTGGTGGTGCACTCCCGTAATCTCAGCCCTCCTCCATAGGGAGGCTGAGGCAGGAGAATCGCTTGAACCCAGGAGGCAGAGGTTGCAGTGAGCCGAGATCTCACTACTGCACTCCAGCCTGGGCGACAAAGTGAGACTGTCTCAAAAGAGAAAAAGAAGAGACATAGAAAGATTGGAGAAGGAGGAGGTCCGTTCAACTCTGAGGGCCGGCTCCCAGGCCCATCTCCACCTCCCAGTGAGCTGTCACCTGTACAGGTTGATGTTCAGGTAGCGGCTGTCCCACTGGAAGCAGGGGCTCAGTAGGATGTCATCCTCCAGGTGAAGCGTACCCCCACCAGGTAGTGGGACACCACCTCAGGGTGGGCCTCCAGCACGGCCTTCAGCTCCAGCAGGGCCTCCGTGGTCTTCTTTCTGCACTCAGCCCAGGGGGACAGAATCTAGAACTCAGGGTGGGAAGGGACCGCTGGGTGCCCTCCCTCAAGACTCTGCACAGGTTCCCAGCCTCAGAAGGCCTCAGCTGCCCTTGGACATGGCTGTGACAGGGGCTCCTAGCTCTTCCAAGGCCCCTTCCTCATAGCAGCGGAGCCTGTGGAGGTGTCTCCCTGAAGATCTACCTGTTGCTCATCTGGCCCCCGGGGCCCCATGGAATCCGGGGCTCCCTTCAGATCTCTGGCCACAATTGTCTCATATCCCTAGGCGTCCTCCTCTTCAGAGGAGAGTCCCTCTGGTTCTAATCCTCCTTCTTCCTAATATTCCCACCTGAAGATCTGGAGGGCCTCACCCTTGAACACAGTGACAGAGGCAACCCCTGAGAGTCCCAGGCACCAGCCTCTCCTCCCCCGGAGAAAGAGACAAGGAGAGGAGAATTTAGAGAGAAAGCCACAGGGAACCAGGCTCCAGGCCTATCCTTAGGTCTTTGCTGGGGGGTCCCCTCCAACACAGAGTACCCGGACCCTAGCACGCTGGGTGGGCTCTTCTGGGTGGGGAGAGGGATGGGTTCTGTGTCTATTTTCCTCATGATGCTGACAGGTGTGGTCCCAGGAGCACTGCGAGAGGACTCAGAGCCCGTGGCCACCCATGAAGAGTGGGCAGGACTCGGAGCCTGGTTTGCAAATGAGACCTGGTGCTCTGCCTGCTAGGGTCACATTGAGGACCGCCTGAGCTGACCCAGTAAAGTGGGTCCACAGGGAGGGATGGTTAAGGCAGCAGGTTCTGACTCCCTGCAGTCCGGCCACAGGGCAGAGCCCCCTGGGGATGGCCCAGTGCTGGACATGCTGCTTGAAGTGGCACACGTGGGTGAAGATCTTGGGGCTGAGGTTGCTGTTCTCCTGGCAGGCAAACAGGAGTCAGAAACAAAAAGCCATTGATCCAGCCCACAAGGCACTGCAAGAAGATGCTGCAGGGGACAGGGTGGAAGAGGGTGTGGGGACAGGGTGGAAGAGGGTGTGGGGCCAGGCAGGGTGGGGATGGGGGACACAGTCATCGTGATACCTGACATTGATTGGGTGCAGGCTCTGAGCAGAGTTCTTTACAAACCAGGGCCTCATTCTCAGCAGACTGTGCCCCTTAGCTCGCCTTTGCAGTTTCCCTGTAGCTTGGGAGTCCCTCCGGGCCATTGCTGGAGGTCATTCTTTCAGTGGCTGCGTGGAAGTCCAGGCTGGGGAAGGCCACAGGCTATTCCACCATTTTTCTCTCGGTGTCTATGTGGGATGTTTTCAGTGTCGTGCCACCACACGCTGCACTATAGCGAATGTCTTAGTCTCAAAGCCTTTCCAGATTGTTGGAGCAAAGGGAAAGTAGAGTTTTAACTTCAGCTGCTTCTTGCCAGATTAATTTCCTTACAGACTGTGCTAATTCACCTCCTTCCACACCTTGGGAAGCCTTGATTGTTGTAAGGGTTGAGAGCCTGGACTTCTGGGTGTCAGCCAGACCTGGCTGGGATCAATGGGGTTGAGTGGCCAATGGGGACCAGTGTTCTGGGTTGGGGTCTCTGGTCACAGATTCTTATCCTTAGAAATGATGGCAGAACTGCCCCAGTAATTGCAAAGGGAGGGCTCCACGCTTCTTGGGCCAGGAAGGAACTCACCAAGGCACGACCATCCAAATCTACACCTACACACACACACTAAAGCTCTTCTCCCCTTACCCCCTTTATAAAAGAACTAAATGTTCATTATAGATATTTTGAAAAGCCAAGACCATAAAGTCAGCATTCTCAATGCCAGTGCAATGTCAGACCTAGCATTTGTAGCTGCATTTTTGATGGATGGAGTCACTAGGGCATCGATCCCAGCCAGGTCTGGCTGAAGCCCAGAAGTCCAGGCTCTCGCACTATTGTACATGCACTTGGGGAACAGGGACATGGGAAACATGGCGAGGATCATCCAGGGAAGTGAACAGTTCACGGCTGTGTCCTTGAAAATGTGACATCTTCTGCATATTAAGGGCGGAGAGCTGAGGCCGTGAACAGAGAGGCTAAAAGGCAGCCTCAGAGAAGGCCAGCCTCAGATCTGCAGCCAAGAACTCTAGGGGCAGGGGACAGAGGGGACAAAGTCCAGTGGCTTGTTGTGGGGATGGTTGAGTGGAGGGACGATTGGGAGGAGGCCCGTCCAGCCATCCCATTCATGAACTCAGCTCCTGTCTGCTCTGGGCCCTGGAGGAGTCCAGAGGGACAAAGGCCAGCTCAGGCCTTCTGAGTGGAGCTGGTGCTAATCCCCTCCCATCGCAGCTCCTGCCTCTCCTGGAGCCACTGACGACCTTGCATAATAGGGCTGGGACTGGAGCTGGTGGCCTCTGTGGCTTGGTTAACGTGTGAATGCGCTGCTGCCTCTACTGGGCCTGCATCGCCAGTGCCCAGCCCCTCCTCTGGATTCACTGGAGAGGTCGTTCGCCCCCTCCCACCCCACAAGCCTGTCCCACTGTCCCATCCTTGCCATCTCACTGTGGGCCATAAACCAGATGCCCAGGGCACCTCCTGTGGGGTTTCAGATGACACCAGAGGTGGGGGTCTTGTATGGAGAATGAAGAATCTTTGTTTATCATAGTGAGAAGGGAGGGCACATCTGGTGAGCACCCTTCATGCGGACTAGACGCTGAATCCTCCCAACCCCAATTGTTGCTACCAGCTTTACTTTATATATGGGCAAACCACAGCTCAGAGAGGCAGAGCGATTTACCTAGAGTCACACAGCAGGTAAGTGAGGGGCGAGGATCAGAGGCTAAGTCCACTTGAATCCACAGCCTGGGCATCTTCCACTGTCCCAAGGAGCCAGAGTTTCTGGGCATCAGGTCTGGGTATATGCAGAGTACACACTGGGGAGGGGCACTTGCCTCTTTCTAGGCAGATGCTCTGTGGTGTCTTGGGGACCAGCCTGGCCATGGCAGAGCTTCCACAGGCCCCAGGGCACAGGGTTATTCTAACCACAGGCGCTGAGTGTGTCTCTGGCCCTGGCTCACTCCCCAGGGACAGTTTGCTGAAGCTGCTAAGCCGGAGAGCCACGTGGGCTGAGCTCAGAGGCCCTGGAGCTCTCTTGGAGCTTCTGGCTGTTCGCCGGAAGGTGGCAGGTGTGATTTAGAGTTTAATTTATTGGGAAGCTCCCTGGCTCAGCTCCGGCTCTACAGACACAGGCACATAAAGCTGTCAGCTGTGTTGGAGCTGAGGCCACAGAGAGAAAGCCTGCGGGGCCCTTTCCATTCTCACCCCAAATCTGTAACCCAGACAGAGCAAGGCCTTTGGGCTGGTCTCCCTCACTGCTCTTTGGCCCTTCCCTGCCCAGATCCAATACGTGGCTTCTTGTGTTTCACTTCCCAGCACCTTTCAGGCAGTTAGTCTTCCTCATGGTTTGTTTAGTGGGGTCCCTCTAGTGCCACCTGTAGTCCCCCTCCCCTGGGGAGAGGCCGATCCTCTGGAGGAAAGAGGCCGACTTGTCCCTTGATTCCTGGTTCAGACCTAAAGCGGAACAATCTTGGCCACACCCAGAAATGCCATGAACTCCAGTGGGTCCCCCAGGCTCTGCTGCTGGTGTGGACTCTGTCGGGCTGCCTGGCTTGGGAGAAAACACTACAGCCCAGCCTAGGGCTCAGCTGGAGCCAGTGAGTCCTATGATCCCATCCTGGCTGCTCATCACAGACCCTCTGGAGATACCTCTCTGAGCCTCAGTTTCCTCATCTGTAAAGTAAGGGCAATGTGTCACTTTCTAGGGATGCTGCAAAAATTAAAAGGAATGACACACCCAGTGCAGGCCTGGCATACAAAGAACACGTGGTACATTTAAACCTTTAGCTGCTGGCTGGGTTCAGTAGCTCACGTCTGGAATCCCAGCACTCCGGGAGGCTGAAGCGGGAGGATCGCCTGAAGCCAGGAGTTCAAGATCAGCCTGGGCAACAAAGACCTTGTCTCTACTAAGAAAATAAATAAATAAATAACAAAAAATTAGCCAGGCATGGTGGCACGCGCCTGTGGTCCCAGCTACACGGGGGAGGCCAAGATGGAAGGATCGCTTGAGCCCAGGAGTTCAAGGCTGCAGTGAGCTATGACTGCACCACTACACTGCAGCCTGGGTGACAGAGTGAGACCCTTTAAAAATAACAACATTAAAAGAGAAAAATAAACCCTTTACTGCTTCTGATGGCTGCTGCCCACTGGTAGAGTGTTGGGGACAGGGGCGGGGACAAGAACAGGGGTTAGTGAATGTTTGCAGCCTGAGTTGATCTCGTGAAAAGGAAACTACAACATGTGTTCTTTTCCACCAGGCTCGGAGCCTCAGGGCTGGACTGGGCTTCTGCTTCAGGGGAGCACTGGTTGGCAGTATCTGGGTCTCAGTAGAGGAGAAAGGAAAAGGGGCTCTACTCTGGCTGGAGAATTCCCCTAGATCAGAGCCCAGACCTTGGCCTTTGGCCTATCCCCTTTGATTCCACATTTCTTTGAGGCTGTAGCAACATGAAGAAGCACAGTATCATGTAGTAGTAGATCAGGCCCCTGGGGGAGGGTCTATTTCATCACAAGGGTGCAGGTCCATTGTCATCTACAGGAGCTTCTTAGTTGGATTTATGCGAAAAAATATTGGAGGACCTTTGGGTTAAATTCATGTTGGCCAAGTAGCATCTGGGACTGAACCTGAAGGCAGAGGCCTCCCAAAGCAGGGCTGTGGTGTCTCTGAAGATGACACAACTGCATACCATTGCCTCCCACCCCCAACGGAACCTTCTCTTGCTTTGTCACACCCTGGCTTTCTAAATTCACAGGGTGGCACTTGTGACAATGCCACAAAGAAGTGGTTGTCTGTATATTTTTCTAATCATCATTCTAAATTCCAGAGCTAAGATTCAACCTGTTGAGCTGACACTGACTATTCAGTGAAATCTGGAAGCGCCTCCTAAGTTGAGTACCCCTGGAGTCTTCCCCATTGCACATCCATTTCCTCCATGGGTCCCAGACATTTCACCTGTTTATGCTTCCATTTCTCTGAGCGGTCCTTTGGTGCCAGGCCTTGTGCTGGGTGCTTGCAATACCAAGATGAAGGAGGATACCTCACTGACCTTGAGGAGCTGGAAGGAAAGGCCTAGAACTTTGGTGCAGCGGGTGGCTTTGTGGTTTACAGCAAAGGTGGGAAACAGAAGAGAGATAACCATATGACTTGAGAGGCGCCAAGAAGTTGGGAAGTTTGAGCTGGGCATTTTGGGATAACTGAGAATTCACCAGGACAACAATGGAAGGCCTTCCAGGCAGAAGGAAACACAGCAGCAAATGTTGATTTTGTCCCAAGGCTCGCAGGGCAGGAGGGGAAATGGATGGATAGGGTGTGGGCTGAGATTGACTCACTCCCTGATGTAAAAACTAACTGCAAAACTACAGGAATCAAGATGCTGGAGTAGTGTGCTAAAGACTGACATATAGGTCAATGGAATGAAATTAGGAGTCCAGAAATACACGCTTACATTTGTGGCCATTGATTTTTGACAAGGGTAGCAAGACAAATAAATGAGGAAAGAAGTCTTTTCAACAAAGGTGCTGGGACAACTGGATATTCACATGCAAAAGAATGAAATTGGACTCCTACCTCACACCATGTACAATAAGAGCAATGTAAGAACTAAAACTATTAATCTCTTAGAAGAAAACACAAGTGCGAATCTTCATGATCTTGGGTTGGGCAATGGTTTCTGAGAATTGATACCCAAAGCACAAGAGACAAAAGAAAAAGAGAATAAGACTTCATCAAAATTAAATTTTGTTGTGCTTCAAAGGACACCATCAAGAAAGTGAAAAGCCAGCTCACTGAATGGGAGAAAATATTTGCAACTCCTATCTCTGATAAGGGATTGGTATCCAGAGTGTATAAAGAACTCTTACAACTCAGTAATAAAAAGACAAACCAACATTTTAAATGGGCAAAAAATCTGAATGGACATTTTTTCCCCCAAGGAGACTGACAAATGGCCAATAAACTCATGAAGAAATGCTCATCATCATTAGTCATTAGGGGAATTCTAATCAAAACCACAATGAGATACCACTTCACACTCATTAGGATGGCTTAAAAAAAAAAAGACAGCAATAAGTGTAGTGAGGTTGAGGAGAAACTGGAACCCTCATACATTGCTAGTGGGGTTGCAAAGTGGTACAGCCCCTTTAGAAAACTGTCTGGCAGTTTCTCAAAATGTTAAGCATAGTTACCATGTGACCTAGCAATTCCACTTCTAGGTACCTACCCAAAGAATTGAAAACATATGCCCACATACAAACTTATTTGTGAATGTTCACAGCAGCATTATTCAGTATTGCCAAAAAGTAGAAGCAACCCAAATGTCCATCAATTGCTGAATGAATAAACAAAATGTGAATACTATTCAGCCATTAACAGGCATGAAATATTCACACAAGCTACAACATGATGAATCTTGAAGACGTTATGCAAAGCAAAAAAACCAGTCACAAAAGGCAACATATTGCCTAATTCTATTTTTATGAAATATACAGAACAGACAAATCCATAGAGACAGAAACCAGATTAGCAGTTGCCAGGGGCTAGGAGGATGGGGAATGAATGCTAATGGGCTAGGGCTTTTTTTTTTTGAAGTGATGTAAATGTTCTAAAATTAGATTGCAGAAATGGTTGTACAACACTGTGAATATAGGGAGAACCACTGAATTGTACATTTACAAGGGTGAACATAAGGTATGCAAATTATACCTTAATAAAGCATCTGTTTGCCTTTAGTTAGGAGATGACGTGATCTGATCTGTCTTTCGGAATGATTACCTTGGCTGCTCGGTGGAGAGTGCAGGAGTGGAGGTGGGAGACCGGGAAAGGAGCCTCCCTGTGGGAGGCCACAGGGAGCCAAGAGAGAACAGAGCCAGTGTGCAGCAGAGATGAAAAATGCATGCATTTCAGATCCACGTGGCAGATGGGCTGGATCCGACTTGAGAACTATTCAATTGCAGGTGTGCTCCTGCACAGCGGACCTGGCACTGCAGGGTCCTATTAGAGCTTTCCTCCACCAGAGGAGACACAGGGGAGGCAAGAGCTGGGAGAAATGGGAGAAATGTAAATGGCTACACTTGTAGCAAAGCATAGATGATACCCCCCAAGCACCAGGTGCTGTGCTAAGAGCTCCATGTGATCTCACTGAGTTCTTGCAACCCTATGAGATTGATACTATTATGATTTGTTTCACAGAGAAGGGAACTTAGGCACGGGGAGGTTGTATAGCTTGCCCCAGTCCTCCCAGGTGGTAGAGCAGGAACCTGAAGCCAGGGAGTTGGACTGGCTGGAAAACTGCTGGGTATGAGAGAGGGCAGAGTGGGGTTAGGACTTGGCTCTCCATGGCGGAAGGTTCTGAGATGCCCAGGGTGGGAGAATGTAGGCTCAGCCCTCAGAGATGGATCTTCTCTTACAACACAAGGACTCACACAGTAGTTCCCAGAGCTGCAGCAAACACTTGCCAGACAGGACTGGACCGCGGTGGTTAGAGAATTTGTGGGAAACTGAGAGGTGAGGGCCAGGCAGGGATGTAAATGCAAGGTAAAGTTCCAGCAATGGGTTGAGAGCAACCAAGATGCTTCTGAAAGTCAACAGGGTGGGGGACTTGCTCTAGCAGATTTTAAGCCTTCTTATACATTTACAGTCTGCCTTCTGTATCTGCGGGTCCATGGGTTCAACCAATCACAGAGAAAACATTCAGAAAAAATGCCACAAATGTCCAAAAAGCAGAGCTTAAATTCACCAAGCACCAAGTACTACATTGAAGCCATGCATGTGAAGTGATGTGTAGGTATTGTGTTGGCACCCTGAGTCATCTAGAGATGATTTAAAGTATATGGGAGTGCCGGGCACAGTGGCTCACACCTGTAATCCCAGCACTTTGGAGGCCGAGGCAGGCAGATCACGAGGTCAGGAGATCGAGACCATCCTGGCTAACACGGTGAAACCCCATCTCTACTAAAAATACAAAAAATTAGCTGGGGGTGGTGGCGGGCACCTGTAGTCCCAGCTACTCGGGAGGCTGAGGAAGGAGAATGGTGTGAACCTGGGAGGTGGAGCTGGCAGTGAGCTGAGACCGCGCCACTGCACTCCAGCTTGGGTGACAGAGCGAGACTCAATTTCAAAAAACAAAACAAAACAAAACAAAACAAACAAACAAACAAAAAAACTGTTAAACAGTGTCAGGACAATAGGTTAGCCACTTGGAAAAACTGAAATTGTTTGCTACTTTAAATTACAGGCATACATCAACTCCAGGGGTATTAAGGACTTACATGAAAAGGCACAATTAAAACTTTAGGGAAAAATACAATATTTTATGACCTTAGGTTAGAGAAGAATTTCTCAATAAGACTCCAAATTTCCAAAGATAAAATATTAGATGGGTAGATTTGACTGTATTAAAATCAAATACATCTGCACACCAAAAGACCATAAAGATGAAAGACGAAACACAAACAGAAAGAAGATGTTGTAATACATACAACCAACAAAGGACTAGTATTCCAAATATATGTAAATAAAACCCTGTAAAACAGTAAGAATGAGAAAAACAACCCAATTTTTAAAAGGGCAAAATACATAAATAGACATTGCACAGAGGAGGAAACTTGAATGATCAGTAAACTGAAAAGATGTGATACCTTGTTCATCACCAGGGAGATAAGAATGAAAAACCAGAATGAGATATTGTTTAATACACATCAGATGAAAATCTGAAAGTCTGACAACTCCAATCTTGACAAGTGTGGGAAGCTTGTAGTGTTGGGGATTAATTTGTTGTAAACACTTTGGAAAACAACTTGGTTTCTGATAAAACTGAAGATGCTCCTGATTGACGGCCCAAGAATGCCCTCTGAGTATGTCCTTGAGACAGAGAATGTGCCATACAGTTCCCAAGAATGCTCACAGCGACATTATATGTAATGGCAAAAAGAAAAAAAAATCCTGAAGCATCCCCAATGTCCATCAACAAGAGTATGTACAAATACACCATGGTAAATATATACAGTGAAAAATAAATAATTAGAACTGTACAGTCTTCCCTCTCAGCAACATGGATAAAACTCACTCACAAAGCCAAACTAACACATTTCTTATTTGGGGATTCATAAAACTAGAATACAAACAGGTGCAGGCAGGAGCTGCAGCTGCCTTGCTGGTGTGGTCCTGGTGGATGGCACTGACATTCTCGCTGTGTGGGAACCAGAGGAAGCAGAAGTCCTCAGATTTCTTCCAATGCTGTCCAGGCTATGGAGGAACTGACCTCAGCAGGAGGAAAAGGGAGAGGCTACATTGGCCATAGGAAGGTGATGCGAGTAATGGAAGCCAGGGCATGGGTGTGCCTCAGTTTCTTCTTCATCAAAAGGAAATACTTAAAGATGTCATAACATTGCAAATAGCATGGAATGAGTTTTATAAGATGCTGGGCATTCAAATGGTCCACTTACATGATGACTTCCCCGAGTAGTTTAGAGGACAGAAGTGATTTCTTCTTTGTCCTGGCTTGAGCAAGTACTAGCTGTGTGAGTTTGGGCAAGTTATCTAATGTCTCTGGGCCTCAAGTGCCTCATCTGTAAAATGGGGTTAATAACAGTATCCACGTCAGGATTGTTATGGAGAGTAAATGAGCTAAGGCCTAGAAGGTGTTTAAAATGGTCAGGCACGTGGCAAGCAATATATAGGCATCAGCTACTGCTTCTAGTGCTATTATTCTTTTTCTTTAAAAGGGCTGTCTTGCTCTGTCACCCAGGCTGGAGTGCAGTGGCACGATCTTAGCTCACTGCAGCTTCAAACTCCTAGGCTCCTTCAGGGCTCAAGCAATCCTCCTGCCCCAGCCTCCTGAGTAGCTGGAACTATAGGTGCACTCCACCGGGCCCAGATATTTTTATTTTTATTTTGTAGAGATGGGGTCTCACTATGCTGCCCAGGCTGGTCTCAAACCCCTGGGCTCAAGTGATCCTCCCACCTCTGCCTCCCCAAATGCTGGGATTGCTGGTGTGAGCCACCATACCCAGTTCTCTAGTACTATCCCTCTTACGTTGTAATCATCATCTCTTATCTCCTGACAGATAGTGGGTCCTTAATAAAATGAACAGGAGAGTCTTGCTGTGTTAGAGCTAATCACTGCACACATCCACATAATATCACAAAGCAAATCATGCCTCCCTGAAACCCAGCAATCTGTTACAGGACAAGGGTGGAGCCCAAGTATAGATTTGGGGTTTGTCAGGCAGCTATGGGGTTGGAGAAGAGCACTGGTCTTGGAATAACTTCTAGAATCAACTCTAGGATCCCAGCAGTAACTGTAAGGGCGCCCCTTTCTCAGCTGCGGTTCCCGAGAGGCATGTCCAGCTTCCTACTTGGGTGGTTCCATCATGTGATAAGCACTTAGGGCTAGATTAGGTACAGTGCCCTCCACGGCCCCTGACCTAGCACCAAGTGGTTACTAAGGCCTATCCCACTGTGAATTCAACACCCTCTCATCGGGGTTCACAAACTGTCTTGTCTGGGGAAGGGCATTCTCTGGGCTCATGGAGTCCCTGGATCTGACTTGTATCTCCTGGGAACACCATCAAGGGAGATTCCTAGAGGAATGAGCCAACAATGCTGGCATGTCCCCAGCTCCAGTCCTACTTCTGGGGTTGGGGGCGGGGTGATTCAGGCAGCCAGCTACACTCGCTGCATCATGTCATGGTTTGGGTGGCATAAAGGTTGACAATGATTTCTAAAATCCCCGTCTTCTAGCTGTGATTCCATACTGACCAGACCACCAAGAATTGTTAATGCTGAGAATCTGTCATGAAAAGCCACAAGGCAGCCTCGATCTCAGCACCACCTTCACAAAACTGAACTAGACGTCTGTCTTTACCCCACTGCCCTGCATCTTGAAGCATGAATCCCAGCTCTCTCTGGGGTCTGAGAATGATCCCTTTCCTTAACAGGGCTTTGAGCAGCACTCACAGTCATACTGAGATGCATTTAATAGACTCAGTACTGGGGAACGTGGACCACAGACAGCATGGGTGGGAGTGTATGGGGAAAGTCCCAGAAAAGGATGGATTTTTACTCAATTCTTGATCAACTGATCATTGAGTCATCTTAGATTGAGAGTACTTAGTGGACCCTGGGGAGCTAAAACTGCCTCAGACAAGACTTCCACCCCCAAGAAACTGACCATCCAGCAGGAAGAGGGAGGGACAAATGCCAGGAGGAGGTGACAACATTCATGAGCAAAATGGGCGTGACCAGCACATCCAGCCAGGAAAGTCCAGCATTGACTCTGATCCTAGAATCCACACAACCCCACAGAGCCTGGGCCCGGTGTCCGGCATTATCTCCCGAAAGAGTCAGAGGTAGAACTGCGGGTTTCTCTCTCTGAGGCTGTCTGTAAAGGGCAGTGAGACAAAGGATCTCTGTGCAGTCTTCCCTCTCAGCCTGACCAGAGTCCCAGGAGGACAGCGGAGCTCTCATCCACCACATGGGTGAGGAATCCAGGTCCCAGAGAGGCTGGTGGACTTGTGCAGAGTGACAGCAGGTTGGTGGGGACCAGATGGTCTGACTCTGGAGATGCGATCCCCCCTGCCTCGACTGCTACACTGAGGGGTCAACCCTCCTGATGGGTCTCCTGGGGCGCTTCCAGAACTTAGGGTGGAAGATCCACTGTAGTGATTCTATAGACATGTGTTAGATGGAAGGAAGGAAATGGGAAAGGAAAGGAAGGGAATATAAGGGAAGGAGAAATGGCTGAAGAGCTGAATCTTCAACCCTAATTACATGCACAGGAAGCAATCACCATGCCTCCTCGTCCAGGCGTCTGTGCGCCTCACAACTTCCTCCCGTGACTCAGGACCCACCTGCCTGGAGAGCTTGACTGTCAAGAGAGCATTAGGAGATATACCTAATGCTAAATGACAAGTTAATGGGTGCAGCACACCAACATGGCACATGTATACATATGTAACAAACCTGCACGTTGTGCACATGTACCCTAAAACTTAAAGTATAATAATAATAATAATAATAATAATAACAATAATAATAATAATAAAAAGAGAGCAGCTCTATGCTAAACAGAGGACCTGGGGCTGGGGAGCTGTATGCATCCCAGAGCAGCCCCTAGATAAGCCCACATAGGAATTTTCTGATTCCTGACTTAGAAATCTATCCTTCCCGCTCCTTTATGGAGTTGTTTCCTTTGCGGGAGCAAGGCCTGTGCTGTGTTTGTCCATCTTCAGCTTAGCTCTCCCTACTCCCGCCCCTACCCCACCCTGGTGCATCCCAAGCACTCTCAGCTTCTCACAGATGCCCTTTACAGGCTGCTCTGAGTGGCAAGCAAAAGGCAATTAACTACAGAGCTATTTATTGCACACACCCCTTGCAGTGAATCACAGGGCTGAAACTGCCACCCACCCTTGGTGGCAGTCCTTGTTTATGGCCTGCCAATGGAGGTGGGGGGTGGTGGTGACAGAAACTAAGGATGGCCTCTAAGACTGGTGCTGGGTCTGCAAAGCAGGGTATGGCAGCAGCTGCCACTTCAGGGCAGGGAAGAGAATCCATCCAGAGTGCACTGAAGCACAGATGAGTGAGCAGGAGAGCAAAGTCCTGCTCCATAAGCCCCCTGGGATGAACTGGGGTCACCAGTGGGGACTGCAGCAACATTCCCAACAGGGTTCACGTCCTCCTCAGGGATAGCCCAAGAACTTTCACCAGATCCTTGAAGGAAGAGAAACAGTAATGCAAGAGATGGCCTTATCTCTAGGGTGGAGCAATAAGGTTGGGGGGACAGTTTTGCATCCAAGTGCTGTGCTGGCTTATGGAATGTCAGAGCTGAAAGTGACCGCAGGGAATTAACCAATCCAATCTCACTGTTAAAAGACATAGAAACTGAGTCCCCAAAAGTTGGAGGAACTTGATCAAGGTCACACAGAGTCAGCAGAACAGCAGGGCTTGGGCACCTGCCTCCCTTCCCAGAGTCCTTGCCGTTGCACCTTGCTGAGAGTTTTTGGTTGTGCAATTGTGTGTGGGTGCACACATGCATGCAATTGTGTATTTTGTCTTCTTGGGGGGGGAGATTATAATTGCTATTTCTCATGCATCACAGCCTTCTAAAGTTAAATAAATTGGAAATTTTGGGAAGGTAATCTATTGCCTAAGAGTCACTTTGAGTTTTCAAGGATGTCATGTTTAAGTGAGAAGCCTCCATGTTGAGATGACCTGGAGGCCACAATCTTGAGCTCCGAACACAGAAAGGTCAGTTGTGTGTGTGTGTGTGTGTGTGTGCGCGTGCGCGCGCATGGCAGCCCAAGCTTAGGCTCTGACAGAAACAGGACTTAGCTGTAATCAATCTCAGCCCATCTCAGCCAGGTCAAAGAGAGGGCGGAGAGAGGGTGGGCAGGTACCAGGAGACCGTCCATCTTCCACCCACCTCTAATATCCTAGCAGGAGAGAGGGGGCCAAAGCCAATCCTCTGGCAAAAAGAAGCATCCCTTTATCTCTGGGTCAAAACATTCAGCTTAAAGATTAATAAATTCTGATCTGAGTGTGAAGTAGAAAAGTTGATTCTATAACTAGGCAGGGTTTTGGCACCTTTCTTGTTGAAAGAGGTCCTGCCACCCATCTTTTCCTGGCTTGTGATGGTCATTCACCCCTCACCCTGCCCAATGCCCCACTCCAGCTGTTCTCACAGAGAGAGGTCAGCAATGGCTGTGAATAATCAGCTCCGGGTGTGGGTCCCTGATTCCCTGCAGCATTGACGCCTCCATCCTGGGCACCCAGCACCATTGCTTCCAGAGCACCGCCCTCCTATGGTCCTCAGTCTTCTCTCACCATCCCCTTTGTTTCCTTCATGGCAGCCTCTGCGTCCTCTCACCCGTGGAATGCTCCTGTCCTCGAAGGCCCTCTTGTCACCCAAACCCATTCTCCCTGGGTGTCCCCTCCACTCTTGCGGTCACTTGTCTTGGAGCTGATGACCCTTGTTATGGCCTGAACTGTGCCTCCTCCAAAGTCCTACGTTGAGTTCCTAACCCCTGGCACCTCAGAATGTGACTGTCTTTGGAGACTGTGTCTTTAAAGAGGTGATTAGGGTTCAGTGAGGTCATATGAAGGGGCCCTAATCCAATGTGACTGGTGTCCTTATAGGAACAGGAGATTAGGAACATAGGCACACAGAGAGATGACCATGTGAGGACACAGGAAGAAAGTGGCCATGTGCAAGCCAAGGAGAGAGGCTCAGGAGAAACCAACCCTGCCAGCACCTTCACCTTGAACTTCTTACCTCCAGAACCACAAGGGAATAAATATCTGCTGTTGAAGCTGCCCAGCCTGTGGTATTTGCTATGGCCTCTCTAGCTGGTGAATATGACATCTCAATCTGTACCTCCAGCCCCTGAGTTCCTGAACTTCAAAGCAGCTGCTCCGACACTTCCGCTTGAGACCCCTCGAACTCAAGTTCCCAAAGGAAACAATCACCTTGTTGCCCCTGCCGAGCCTCCTGGATTCTCTACTGATGGTGGCCCCATCATCCTTGACTCTTCCTTCCTGCCACCTCACCACACACTCAGCTGCCGAGTCCTGTTGGTTCCTCATCCTAAATACCTCTTGAACATGGACCCTGAGAAAATGGACTTGGCTCTGTATTCCAGCCCCTAGGATCCTCTCCAGGCCATGCTCACTCTGCCCAGCCTCGTCCACACCTCCTTCCCATGTTCCGGACTTGAGGCATGGTCTTTGCCTCGGCCGTCTCTGCCAGGCTTGAATTATTTCTTTAGCTCCTGGGTAGGCCCTCTGCACTGGATACTGCCTTCAACTTCAAGCCCCAAGGGCAGGCTGGCTCCTCTGCTGGTCCTGGAGGCCCAGCTCTAAGGCTGAAGTTCCTTCACGAGTCCACGCGCAGAGCTTAACCTCAGTGCACAGACCAAGACGGGCTGCTCTGGGACCCCTCGCTGCATGCTATTTCCATAATTCCCTGTATGTTAGAAACCGTTTAACTGAGAAAGGCTGGTGTACTTGGTTCAGAGACAGCAGGAATGAGCCAAGCAAAAGACCTATTATCACTTCTGCAGCCAGTCCAGTCCAGGCCAGAAGGACCCTGAAGGGCAGAGATGACGGCAGGAGCTGCTGAGGGGGAGAGATGCAGGCTGTCCTGGAGGGGACTGTTGAGGAGAAGAAAGGGTCACTGGGCTGCCCAGCACAGGCCTGACAAAGGTCCCTCCCTGGGTTGCACCTCTGTGGGAGTCCCTGCCACATTCTGCTGCATAGCCAGGAGGGAGCGTTCACTCCTGACAGGCAGAGAGGGGAAAGGCCACGATCAACAGAGGCATGAGGGCTGGAGGAAAATCTCTTCCGTCTTCATGGTGGGAGCTCAGAATGGTATTTCATGGCTCTCAAGGTGAGCCCATGGGTCATATGAGCCCCAAATGCCAAATCCACAATCCCTCTCAATCAGCATGCCTGGCACTGGGCAGAATATGAAAATGCCTTTTAAACCCTGTTTGGTGTGAACAAGTGGCCTTGGTGAACCCCTTGGCACTGCTCTGAGGGACTGTGGCTGGTTGAAGCACACCCAAGGTCACCCCAAAAAGCTCAGAGTCTGGGACGGCTCCAGGTGGAGCCGTGTGGGCCAGTGAACATCCAGCCTCCCTTCCTCATTCCAGTGTCCTCCTCCCTGCCCCTTTCCTCACGGGGCTCCCTGGCTCAGGCATGCCTTTTCAAAGCCCAACAATTCTACGGAATGCTCTTGTCCTGAACTTGCCCCACTCTCTTGGGCTAAGACATCAGGCATCTCATTTGCTGAATGATTTCTGCAGGCCCAGCATTGGCACCTCAGGGATCCATGCTGTACCCCGGGAACTGTGGAATCACTTTTTCAACCACCAGTTGGGAGTTCTGGGTAAAGATTTTCCCCAAACTCATGCCTCTGAGGAGGGGGCTTCTGGAGTGAAGGTCTTTGCCCCAAGTCTTAAAGTATTAGAAATTCCAGTGGGAAGGATTTTAGACTGGGGGCTAGAAAACAAGTTTCTGTTTGTCACCTACTGAGTGCCATGCGGGGCATGTTTGAACACTAAACTAGATGCTTTACATGTATTATCTGGCTTAATCCTCAGATTCAATACTTTAAGGTAGACATTATTAACACTCTCCGTAGATGAGGAAACTAAGGCTCAGCAGGATTAAATGACTGGCACACGCTCACAGCTTAGGAATTGCAGAGCCAGCATTCAAAATTGGGTTCATTTGATTTCAAAGCCCATGATCTTCATCTTCTTGAGTCAGTACTGCTCAAATTATTGCCAACTCCATCTGCACAGAGGATCTGCTCATATTGAATCCTTATTCAATATGACTAGAGAAGAGCCCAAACTTCAAGGAACTTGAAACCATAGATTTGAGTCCTATGGCTTAGTGAATATGAAGAATGGATCTAGGATTCCAGGCACTTCAGGTATGCTGCATACCACCCACCCATCCATCCATCTCTTCATCTATCTATCCATCCATCATCCATTCTCCCATCTCTTCATCCGTCCATCCATCCCTTCATCCATCCAACCATCCATCCATCATCCATCCTTCCCTTTATCCATCCAGCTATCCATCCATCCATCCATCCGTCCATCCATCCATCCATCCATCCCTTCATCCATCCATGCATCCATCCCTTCATCCATCCCTTCATCCATCCATCCATCCATTTGTCCATCCATCCATCCCTTCATTCATCCCTCAAACCAACCATCCATCCATCTATCCATCCCTTCATCCATCCATCCAACCATTCAACCATCCAGCTATCCATTCATCCACTCATCCCTTCATCCATCCATCCAACCATCCATCCATCCATCCCTCTAACCAACCAACCATCCATCCATCCATCCATCCATCCATCCCTTCATCCACCCATCCAACCATCCATCCATCTATCCACCCATCCATCCATCTATCCACCCATCCTTCCCTCCATCCATTCATCCATTCATCCATCCATCCCTTCATCCATCCCTCCAACCAACCAACCATCCATCCATCCATCCCTTCATCTATCCCTCCAACCAACCAACCATCCATCCATCCATTCATCCATCCATCCCTTCATCCATCCCTTCAACCAACCATCCATCCATCCATTCATCCATCCATCCCTTCATTCATCCCTCCAACCAACCAACCATCCATCTATCCATCCATCCATCCATCCCTTCATCCATTCAACCATCCATCCATCCATCAATCCATCCATCCGTCCCTTCATCCATCCCTTTATCTATCCCTCTACCCATCTAGTCCTTCATCCATCCATCCATCCATCCATTTGTCCATACAACACTGTTTTTCATTCATTCAAAAAGCACTGCTATAAATTACAAGCCCCCCGTTATCCAGATCCAAATACCCTGCATGTCACCTTAAGCAGCCAAATAAGCCTGAAAATGACTCCACCCACCTTGCTGTGAAGAAACCATTATAAAGGGAATCCCAGGCATATCCTCTGGGGCTCAGTGCAGCTGAGGGTTAATGCCCTCCCAGGAGCGGCAGCTCACACCAGCCTCATGTCTCCTGTGGCAAGTCTCTACTCAACCCCTTTTCCTGCCCATGCCTCTGCTACCTCCTGCAGTTCCTCCAGGTTCACTGACCTGCTCAGAAGGGTCCTGGCCACAGTGTCCCCAGGGCCAAGGAAAGGGTGGTGAGGTCATCTCCCTTGCCCCAATTCAGGGGGCCTGAAGAGCCAGGGTCTACTGTCACAACCTGAGGGGTCTCATTGTCATGGGAAAGAACAGTAGAGATGGGGAAAGGGAGGCTATGCTTAAGTGGGCATCAGTTCCCCACAGGGGGTGGGCCCAACACTGCATGAGGGGACCTGGGTTATCCTCCCAGAACCGCTGCCCATGCACCCTGTGGGCCTCACAGTCAGGATGCAGCAAGGCCTCCTCTGCCCAGGGCAGCTCTAAGAGGAGACTAGGCTTCAAGGAGCCATGGGTTCCTGGGGGAAGGGCCTTGGGAAGACAAAATGAGGATGTGTGTGCATCTGGGGTCAGGCCAGCCCAGGAGCCAGGGTCCCAGGCACTTCTCTGCCTATTGCTTTTCCTGGGCAATGTGTTGGCCAAGCTGTCCCTCCCCTCATCCACGTGCCCATCCACCTTCGGAACTAGATCCTCCTATTCAGCCACACCCAGCCAGATGTCTTTGGGTTTCTGCAAAGACCAGGGTGCCCAGTGGAAATCTGATGACTGACTTCTACACCTTCCCCTGGCATCTCCAGAGGAAACCTCTCTTGACGCTGTTTAAGCACTTCACACTCCGCTACCTGCTAATTTTGATGGAAATTGCTTTTGACATGTGCAGTTGGTGGCCAGGAGCTTGGGGTGAGAGAACACATAAAGCTGAACTAATTCTCATTAACAGTGAGCAAAGACCAGAGATAGGAAATTGGCAGAAATGGGGCACCTGGGGAGCAGGGTGAGGGCATCAGAATGAGTTTTACAAAAGCTAGCTTTTGTCTAAGATCCAGGGAAGCAAATGAGAGCTGGCCTGCAAAACACTTCCACAGGATCCAGAAACCAATGCGCAACAGGCACTGTCTTTGCTAGCTGTATGACCTCGGGTGTGTTATTCAGCCTGTTTCCTCGTTTGTAAAATGGAGATAATAGTTATAACTATTGAGGTGAGGATAAAATGAGGGAATATCAGGGTAAGTTGTGAAAAAAAACAGCAGCCCCTTCCACTGGCTTCCAGACCTGCTCAGCTGGGCTCCTAAGAAAAGCCAGAAACTCTTGTGTGTATTTTGATCTGTGGCCACTCAATGACTTTCTTTTTCTTTTTTTTTATTATTTTTTTATTTTTTGAGATGGAGTTTTGCTCTTGTTGCCCAGGCTAGAGGTGAGATCTCGGCTCACTGCAACCACTGTCTCCCAGGTTCAAGCGATTCTCCTGCCTCAGGCTCCCGAGTAGCTAGGATTACAGGTGTCTGCCACCACACCCGGCTAATTTTTTGTATTTTTAGTAGAGTCGGGGTTTCACCATGTTGGCCAGACCGGCTTCGAACTTCTGACTGCAGGTGGTCCGCCCGCCTCGGCCTCCCAAAGTGCTGGGATTACAGGTGAGCCACTGCGCCCAGCCTCAATGACATTCATACTTTGCTGATCATTTTGTAGAAACTGAGGCAACCGATTTGACATAAGTCCTGGATAGTGGACTAGGACTGGGGCCAAATCTTGAGGAAGGGGGTGGCTCTCATGTCATCCTTCACCCTCAGTTACCACTGGGCTCCCTCGGGCAGTGAACCCAGCTTTGAGGAGGAAATGAGAATGTCCATGCTGGGCTCTGGGGAATCAGGACCCACACATCCCTCTATGCTTTGCTGCAAAGCCTCTTACCTGGGAGGGCGCAAGAATGATGGATGCGAATGGCCTCAGTCCTTCCCCTTCCGCAGCCCCATCCCCTCAGATGCTCCCGTCTTGCCTGGTGATTTTTTGAGGATTTTGTGATGAAAAGAGGGAGGAGGAGAAGGGCAAGGAGCAACGAGGGTGTGTATGTGATGCCCAAGAGAAAGCAGAGTGAGTTTTAAGGAGCAGTCACTGGGAATTAGGTTTCCCTTCACAGAATTCAAGAAATACAAATAAAAACAAAGTGCATCCCTTAGAAATTGCTTTTGGGCTGTTTTTATTTATTTACTAGAGACAGGGTCTCACTCCGTAGCCCAGGCTGGAGTGCAGTGGCGTGATCTCAGCTCACTGCACTCACTCTCCTGGGCTCAAGTGATCCTCCCACCTCGGCCTCCCAAGCTGGGACTACAGGCATGTGCCACCACACCTGGCTAATATTTAAATTTTTTTTTTTTTTTTTTTTGGTAGAGACGGGTTTTTGCCATATTGGCCAGGCTGATCTCGAACTCCGGGGCTCAAGTGATCTGCCCACCTCAGCCTCCCAAATCCTGGGATTACATGCATGAGCCACCATGCCCAGACTTGGGCTGTTTGCTTTTGGTCTCAGTGCTGCTCTGAGCCTGGACTACCTGGGGTCAAACTCCTAGAAGTCAGTCAGACAGTGTTTGCTTGGCTGCTTGCCTTCATCAGAACCCCTGGAGAAGGCAGGGTATGCTTAGTTGAGAGGAAACGTATGCAGAACCAAGAGGAAATTTGTGTAGTCGAGAGGAAACTTAGATGACCCATGTGGTCTAACCCCTGGCAATGCTGAAGCTTCTAAGTCAGCACCAAGTGTGGGCTCTGGAAAAGGGCTTGTCTTATAAGCAAAACCATCATAAACACTTATTGGGCACTAACTGTATACACTCTTCTAAGTCCCTCACATGCATGGCTATCATGAGCATTCCTATTTTCCAGGTAAGCAAACTGAGGTAGCCAGAGGTAAAGAGACCTGCCCCAGGTTACACAGACAATAGTGGTGGAGCCCCAGCACTTAGCCATGATGCTCCAGGGGCCAAAGCCACATGGCCCCTAGTGCAAATGGGCTCATACAGGAGAAAGAAAGCACAGCTGAGTGTGTGCACCACTGCACCAGCACAGGAGTGTCTTGTACGTCTCCGACAAATGAGCAGCCAGCCTCTGCAAGCACCCCAGCAGCCTGCTCCAGGGAGGCCCAGCCTGGCAGAGAGGAAGCCCCTCCTAATATTGAAAGCTCAAGGTGACTGCCCTCCAAAGGGTGGCTCCTGACACAGGCATCCGCTGAATTGTCCTCTGGTTGGCCACACATGTAACATGTGCTATCTAAGTTCCTCTTCAACGAGTTGAGGATTGCTCTCCCCATTGGGGGTGATGCTTTTTTACAGGGATGTCCAGAGAAGCTAAGCAACCAAATGTGCATTCCACACCCAGTGAGTGGTGGAGCCAGGCTTTGAACCCAGGGCTGAGTCCCAGACCTGTGCTCTTAACCAGTTCCCCAAATGGTCTCTTGTGAAGTGTAAGAAATGCTTTTTAATGACTATAAGGTAGGGGTTCCAGGTCCACAAGCACTGGGCTCCTATCCTGACCCCTCCCTGCACCTGCTAACCTGGACAGCCCCATCCCCTGCACAGCTCTGGCTCAGATCTTCAGTGGAGATGGCACCCCTTCCCTGCACCCCATCCCTGCCCATCCCTTCCCACAGGGTGGCAGTGAAGCTCCTAAGAGACGAAGGTGGGAGGGCACTGTGCAACTGTCAGAGCACCGACATGCAGCAGGGTCCCTTCCTCATCGTGACTGTCAGCCAGAGAAGGCAGTGACATACCTGGAGGGCACCTGTTGCATCTCTGCCAAAGGGGGCCAGCTGGGCTGGGTATGAGGCCCCCACAGAGCTGAGCCAGCACTGCAGGGGAAGCAGGTGGACTCACCTGGCTGGCCGGGGTGCCAGGCCTGATTCCCATGTTTTGCATTCCAGACCCAACGACGCCAGCTGCAGTCACATCTACCACTATGCCCAGGCTGGGCTCAGCAAGAAGCAAAAAGGACACAAGAGACCAGTTAGGCTTCCCGGGGCAGCAGGCACACTCCCAGGCACATCAGATTGAGGTGCGAGGCCCCTCAGGGCAGAAAAGTTTATTCAGTGCTGTCTGGGTTCTCATCCCAAATCTGCTATGACTTAGCTTGTGTGATGTGGCCTGCCTGTCTTCTCTCGGGGTCTCAGTTTCCTCATCTAAGTGGCCTGTTAGATGACCCAGTGGCGACATGGTTCAGGGCTGAGGGGAGGCCTGCCTGCCTGGCTCTGGGGGCCTCTGCAGCCCACAACACCCCTTTCTTCCTTTCCTCCAACCTCCATCTGCCAACAATAAATACCCTCTCCACAAACCAAAGGCCAAAATTCTCCTGCTAAGACTTCTCTTAGGTACCCAGCCTACCAAGGCCTGCAACATCCTCATGGAACCAGCCTGGTTCAGATCTCACAAATAAACATCCCAGAAAGGTTTGGGGAGATGAGAAAGGAGGAGGAGGAGGCCCTGTCACCTCTCCTGCTCAGAAACCTTCAGGGGCTCCAGGAGAAAGGCCTCATCCCTCAGCCTGGCGTTCCAGGCCCTAGAAGGAATAATGGGAGGCTTCCATGTGCACAGGAGGACAAGATCATGAAAGGAATCCTGTATCCCTTGGCAGGCGTGCACCATGGGGGCAGGAATTAGAAAGACCTGCCGATCTCAAGGTCAAGGACGAAGAGCGGATCAGGAGTTTAAAAAATCTTACTTCCCAGGAACTTTCTGAGTCATCTCAGCCCTAACTTAAAGGAGAAGGAAACAGATATTTTCTGAAGACCTCCAAGGGCTCAGGTGCCTGGAGCTTCACAAGCTGTGAGACAGCTTCCCCAGAGCCCAGCTGTCCTCAGCTCACACACAGTGCTCTCACAGGTAAAAGATGGGAGGGCAGGGATGTGGCAAGTTCCTCCATTGCAGACCGAGGGCCCTTGAGGGAGGCTGGAGGACACCAGAGGCTCCACATCTCCCACTTTGAACCCAACGTGACAATGATTAGGAAATCTCACCTCATGCCTTCCTAGAGAGAGAAGATGAGACCTGGTGCTGCCCTGGCTGAATGGGGAGAGGGTGAAGGACACACAAGCCTCTTCTAGCCTTCCCTCACCCACCCACTCACCCTCCTGGCTACTCTCATCTATTTGTCCATGTTGGTGGGGTTAGTGGGTGATAATGCCTCTTCTGAAAATGCCAGAATGTGAAAAGAAGATCTCAGATATTTCTCAAAAGGAGACGCACACAGCCAATAAATATACAAAAAATGCTCAGCATCACTAATCATCAGAGAAATGCAAATCAAAACCACAGTGAGAATGGCTATTACAGGAAAAGCCAGTAATACCCCAGTTAGAACGGCTATTACTAAAAAGTCCTGGCTGGGTGCGGTGGCTCACGCCTGTAATTTCAGCACTTTGGGAGGCCAAGGCGGGTGGATCAGTTGGTCAGGAGCCTGAGACTAGCCTGGCCAACATGGCAAAAACCTGTCTCCACTAAAAGTACAAAAATTAGCCGGGTGTGGTGGCGCACATATGTAGTCCCAACTACTCAGGAGACTGAGGCAAGAGAATCACTTGAACCCAGGAGGAAGAGGTTGCAATGAGCCGAGATCACACCACTGCACTCCAGCCTAGGTGACAGAGCGAGACTGTCTCAAAAAAATAAAAACAAAAGTAAAATAAAAATAAAAAGTCTCAAACAGCAGATGTTGACAAGGATGCAGAGAAAAGGGAACACTTATGCACTGCTGGTAGGAATGTAAATTAGTATGACCTCTATGGAACACAGTATGGAGAGTTCTCCAAGAACTAAAAATAGAACTACCATTCGACCCAGCAATCCTACTACTGGGTATTACCTAAGGGTAAAGAAGTCAGTATATTAAAAAGACACCTGCACTTGTATATTTATTGCAGCATAATTCACAACTGCAAAGTCATGGAGCCAACCTAAGTGTCTATCAATGGTTGACTGGATAAAGTAAATGTGGTACATATACACCATGGAATACTGTGCAGCTATAAATAAGAATAAAATCATGTCCTTTGCAGCAACATGGATGCAGCTGGAGGCCATCATCTTACGTGAACTAACTCAGAAGTGGAAAATCAAACATTGCATATTCTCACTTATAAGTAGAAGCTAAACAGTGGGTACATATGGACATAAGGATGAAGATAATAGACACCTGGAACTCCAAAAACAGGGAAGGATGGGGAAGGGGGAGAGTTGAAAGATGACCTACTGGGTCCAACGTTCAGTCTTTGGGTGATGGGTACACGAGAAGCCCAATCCCCACCATTACACAATATACTTATGTAACAAAACAAGCACATGTGCTCCTGAATCCAAAATTTTAAAAAATGATTAAATACAAGAGGACCCTAGAAATTCTGCCCTAGGAAAATACTCCAGTACATGGCAGGCACACATGTGAGGATGTCCCTCACAGCATTGTTAATAACGGTGAAGCATGAGAGTGACCCAAATGCCAACAATGGGACAGGGTGAGCTTCTTTTCTCCATGAAGTGTATGAAGACTAAAGAGGAAGAGGCAAGATGCTTAGGACCCTGTTAAAAGACAGGGATAAAAGCGAGGCTTTCAGTGAAAAGGAGTCAATTGGAAGGAAGAATTAGACTTTGGTCCCTGAGAGAGTGGAGATAACAAGGGGAGGAGAAAGGCCATGTCCGGAGTCCCTGAAGCGAGGCCTTGACAAAGCCAGAATGAAGGAGGCTGACGTTTACTGAACCACACTACAAGGGGCATCTCTAACTCACCAGCCCTCTGAATACCCCTATTTTAGAGACCTGTTTTCTAAGGCAGGATGCTGTGGCCCCGAGGCACAAGGCACTTGCCTAACAGCTGGTGCAAGGTAGAGGCAGGCTCACGCTCAGGCCGACTGCTCCTAGAGCTGGGCTTCACCATCATGTTGCCCTGCCCCGCCTGGCACCAAACACACAAAGTCTCGGAGCCTTCCAGCTGCATGACTTTGTCAGAGGCGTGTGAACCAGAACGACTCCATTTTGAACAGGAGCTGGGTAAAATGAGGCTGAAACCTACTGGGTTGCATTCCCAGACAGTTAAGGCATTCTAAATCACAGAATGAGACAAGAGGTTTGCACAAGACACACGTCATAAAGACCTTGCTGATAAAACAGGTTGCAGTAAAGAAGCCAGCTAAATCCCACCAACACCAAGATGGCAATGAGAGTGACCTCTGGTCATCCTCACTGCTACATCCCACCAGCGCCATAACAGTTCACAAATGCCATGGCAATGTCAGGAAATTACCCTATATGGTGTAAAAAGGGGAGGCATGAATAATCCACCCCTTGTTTAGCATATCATCAAGAAATAACCATAAAAATAGGCAACCAGCAGCCCTTGGGGCTGCTCCATCTATGGAGTACCCATTCTTTTATTGCTTTACTTTCCTAATAAACTTGCTTTCGCTTTATTCTACGGACTCACCCTGAATTCTTTCTTGTGCGAGATCCAAGAACCCTCTCTTGGGGTCTGGATCGGGACCCCTTTCCTATAACATCTTTGGGTAAGATTCTGGCTTCTGTGCCTGTAAGTGAGACTCTCATCCTTTCCCCACAGGGCTGATGTGACGGTTAAACCAAAGACGGCGTCCAGACCCCGCATGCAGCCTTCCTCTTCCCAACAGCGCCCCAGCATCCTTGGAACTGCAGTCCCAGGCAGCCCCCTAGGACATACAGGATGGGACATCCCAGCTGCCTTTGGAGAGGCAGATGGGCCTCATCCCAGGAGCCACTTGAGGAGGACAGGGCCCCTAGGGGAGGACAGGGACACATCTTAGATGGGCAAGAATGCTTCAGGGCCCAGGAGCTGATGCCCGTAATTAAGAAGAACACGTCTCCTCCTGTTGTCATTGGTCAAGGGCTGTTTCCGCCGTTTGCTTCCAGGTCCTGCACACCTCACACTCTGTCCCTCTCCTGGGCCTTGTTACTGCGGCTCCCTCTGCCTGAGATTCCTCCCTCCTCTCCTCTTGCTGGTTAATACCTAATCATCTTTTGGGGCTCAACCCGGGGGTCCCCCCTGAAGGGATTCTGTTCCTATTCTTACCCTCTCACACATTTCCCTGCCTGCCAAGGCTGAACTTGGGCCTCAGGCTGCCCTGAATACTTCACTGACATTGAACCTATTGCTCTGTGTGATGCCTGCCAGTTCCTCGTCTATGTGGCCCCTTGCTAGGAGCTCCTTGCTTGTGGGGTCTGGGCTTTGTTCATCTTTGCCTCTCCAAGGCCTGAACAGGGCCTGCACGTGGTAGACACTCTATAAATGTTTGCGTTGCCATGGCCTTTAGAGAGGCCAGAACAGAGGGTTTCCAGAGTGCAGAGGAGTCATGATGCCCAAGGGCCTGTGATAAGAAAGCTAAGGCATGCAGGCCACCCCCACGTGAAGACCAACTACAGGTTTCCATGGGTATGATTCCCAGCTGCAAGGAGATTGCTCACCTCACTGCTCCAAACAGCTCTGTCACCTGTTTCTAATGGTTGAAATTCTGCAGTTAGAGATTCACTCCTTTGGCTGTGTTTTGCTCCTGTTTCAAAGGAAATCCCCTGATATTAAACCTGAGCAATCGCTGACACCATGTTTGGATGGAGGAACAAGTGAAGCCATGGATAGGCATGCCAGGAAACCCTGGGGCTCAGTCATCAGGGTCTTCTGTTCCTCTGAGGGTTTATTGGCATTTTCTTGTATTTGGATCCCTGGAGTTGTTTGTTGCAAGTTTTCAGAATGACTTAATCCAGGGTTGTCCCATTTCTGTTTGAGACTATTATTTAATGCTCATCTCATCTCTGGCCTATTTCTTTCTATTCCCAACACAACAGCCCCTGAACCCATGGGGGATGGGGAGATAGGCACCACAATGGGGAAGAACAGGAGCCCAGAGAAAGGGGTGCACACTGGGAGGCGCTCCTCTGTGGCTCCTGACAGATCCTTGAGTGTCCAGCCAGGCAAGGATGGGGGGTGGGCAGGTGGTCTTGGCCCACCCAGGAGTGGCAGCATGGGCTCTTACCTGGACAGGGCCAGGCCATGCTCATCCAGCTGTGGGTGCAGGTTGGCCAGGAGGATGCCAGCCTCCATGGTCACCTGCTTCTTCTCCTCATCCACCTGCAAGAGACCAGTGTAGGCCGGGAGGAGCCAGGTGGTTGCCCAGCCCTCACTCCTGCTGCCAAGCTTCTTGGGAGCATAAGTGGGTCTGTCCCAGCCTGGGGTCAGCTTGAGCCACGTCCTCTGCAGGAGCCTGAGAGTGCTGGAGCTTTAGGAATATTCTGGGTAATGCCTTCTGTTCGAAGGTGAAGATGAGGCACAGGGAGGAGGAGAGACTGGCCCAAGTTCACTGGGCTGAGCTGGGTCTAGCATTCCTCCACCCCTGTGCTCCCACCACCGCCCAGACTGGGAAGCCAGGATTGCTTTGTGTAGTTGCACAAAGTCACCAACCAAAGAGGGCGTACTCCCATAGGGTCTTGACTTTGCTAGATGGACTTCAAATTCTCCACTTATTCTCACCCTGGGAGGTGTGAGGACCTAGGCAAAGACTAAGAGCTGGAAGGGAGAGGAAGAGACGTACTGTCTGTTTGGTGCCTGCCATATGGACAAGGGTACTATGTCATGAGATCCCCATGGCAGCCCTGGGCTGTGGGAATGGTCTCTCCACTTTACAGGGAGGGGACTGAGGTCTGGGACTTGAAATCACTTGCCCAAGGTCACACAAACATCAGTGGTGGAACTGAGATGAGAAGGCACATCTGTCTGACTCCAAAGCACAAGCGCATTCCATGGACCCGGGGCACAGAGCTCGGTGAAATCGATTGCTGGAGCCCAATCCTCACTAATTAGCAATCAGAGTTCATTACCACCATGACTGATGTCTCAGCTGAGATGTTTTCTACAAGTTAGAGACCATCAGCCTGAGCAAATAAGGAAATAGCAGAGAGAATCCCAGAGCCTTTCTAGCAGGCATAGAGGAAGGGGAGATTATCTGGCAAAAATTACAGCTGAGGGAAGCTGGCCCCAGCAGGTGAGAATGGGAGTAACATGCAGCACACCTGTCCGGCACCCTGACTCGCTGGCAGGCACCTGGGGGCACTCACCAGGTACTGGCTCAATTGCATGGACAGTAACTGAGCACAGAGTTGGCATCAGTCCTGAGTCTGTGCCCAGCCCTGCTGCTGATTGGCTCTGCGACCCCAGGCAAATCACTCACCCTCTCTGATCCTTAGTTCCTCATCTGTAAAGTCAGCTAAATGCCACCTTGCACCTTTCTGTATTTGTCATGGTGAGTCTATCTTTCGGGGCCCTGCTCACTGCTCTTGCTCCTGAGAAGTGGAGAGGGGGCTCTGGCAAGAGGCAAGTGAGCAGCATTGACAGGTTCCACTCAGGCAGGATTAAGGCCATAAACAAACAGATGCTCAGGTCTGCCTCCCGCCCTGGGCTCCCTCTCTGAGGGAAGGTGGGAGGGCAGGGTTTAGCTCTCTGAACTCTGACCCCAATCCTAGGGATTCTGGAGCCAAATGACACACCCCCAGCCTCTAACTAGGTACTTAGCATCATAGATCAGGGGAGGCTGTGATGTTGGGGGTGCTGGGGGGTCTTGATGTGGGGCTGCCACAGCACCCTGGGCTGGAGGAGGGCACAGGCCTGTGCAGCTGAAGCCTGGGTCCCTGTGTGTGTTCGTTCCCTTGCCAGACCTGGGGGGTGACCAAGCCAAGCCCCCGCTCCACTGTTATGGAGACAGGACAGGATATTGGTGGCTGTAGCACAGATGGTAGGGCCCTTGTCCAATGTGACTGGTCTCCTCATAAGAAGAGCTCAGGACACACACACGGAGGAAGACCATGAGAAGGAGACTCAGGGAGAAGGTGGCTGTCTACAAGCCGAGGAGAGAGGCCTCAGAAGGCACCAGCCCTGCTGATGCCTTCATCCCAGCCTTCCAGCCTCCAGAACTGTGAGAACACAAACGTCTGTTTAAGTTACCTGATCTGTGGGACTTTGTTATGGCAGCCATAGCAGATCGTGTCTGCGAGCCGGAGAGCCTGGGGTCAGGGCCTCAGGAGAGAATAGGGCAAGGCCAGGACTCTTCCCTTTGCGTCTGCGCACTTGGGGCTGTCCCTGAGGAAGGGGCAGGGCCTGCAGGGCCCCAGAACTGCCAGCTCCATGGCCCAGGGGCAGAGATCCCCGCAGGACCGCAGACTCCCTGCTGGAAAAGGCAGGGCTTGGGGTTGGGGGGGCCTTGGGGCTGAGACTGGAGAAAGCAGCTGTCAGGTTAGCAGCTGTCCCTTCTCCACACTCACTGTCCCAAAGCTCTGCAAGGGGCCCAGGGGCTGTGGCCAACACAAGGACTGACTGGTATCAAGTCCTGGGGACAGAGAGGCGCCTGGCAAGCGGGGAGGGCATGCAGAGGTGTAGCCTGGTATCACCCTAAACCAAGGACTTGCTTCTGCAGACCCTAAAGGAAAGAAGCTGCAGCGAAATTAATCTGAGTAGAGAGTTTATTTGGGCCAAGCTTGCAAATTGCAACCTGGGAGCATAGATTCAAGTTGCCCTGAATAGACACTCTGATTAGCAGCAGTTACAGATGGACTTTCAAGGCAAAAAAGGGGGACAGGGAGTGGACTGATACAAAATTGTCAGGATTTCTCTTTGCTTTACAGAAATAACACTGATTAGTTAGCTAATAGCTAGACGTTGTTAAGCTATAGGGTATGGGTCGGAGTGTCCAGTGTGGCACCGTTAGGTTAATTTATAAGTACTTGTGGCAGAAGCAAGCAGCTTCAAGAGATGGAGACAGAGCTCAAAGCCGGGAGGAGGGCATGATTGCTATATCGTTTTAATGTCTCTTTGGGCCTGGCCATTAAAAGGATTGTGTTCCTCAGATAAAAGTTATTTTCTTTTCTAACTCCCCACTTCCTTCTCAAACCCTGTCCTTACAATTTTAAGGAAAGTACATTCTCCTCTCCACCCACAAATTCCCCTTTCAGCTATAGTCCAGTCCAAGTGCTCCTTTTTTCTTGACTACATTTTGAGCCTAGTGTTGGGGGGTGTGAGTGGGCCTGATCTAGTCCACAGCCCTGGGACCCTTGTGGACTTTCTGCCCTTCTCCCCTGAAATTTCCAGAGCCTGGATCCATGCAGGAGGTTTCCTTTCTTCACCTGGCATTACTGCCCTTGGATGGAATGCTCCTACCCCCGCCCTAAGCCAAGCACATCAATTTTATAAACTGCCTTTATTGAAAAAAATAAAATTACATGAGAATATGAAACTCAGCAAAAATCACGTGAATCAGTTCATTCGATCTGTGTTGCCACCGTCCCATGATTGTGATCGAGGGGTTATTTATTTCCTCTTGCCTGAAGGACTTAGCCTGTTCTGGACTTGCTGAGTCTTAACTTTTACAAACATTTCTTGGCAAGGAAAATGAATGTTGCTGCCTTAGTGGTCACCGAAGGGCTTGTTTTTAGATCTTTTCCCCTCCCAGACTTGTTAATCATTGAGAATGCGCTCCTTAATACACCATTTGTACCTGGGAACCTAACACATTTCTGTGAAACACCCGTGTCCTTACTGTGGACATTGTGAAGGGTGTTTAATCATTTCTGGTCTGCAGGTCTCTCTTCCTTGCCTCATTCCACCAGCATGTTCCCTTTAAAATACAACACAGGGCATAACGTTCCTTCAGCACATGTGAGACAAAGTAGACGAGGCTGCCTAAAGTACTTCAGACTTCCTTTACCATCTGAATCCAAGATAATTGATAAAGAGGATGAATATGTATTTGTCCCTTAATACTTTCAAATGAAAATGAACACCACTATTTGGGGCTTTCTCAGGAATTCTCTTACTTTGAGTTGCATAAATAAAAAGTTGTTTCTGTCAGGCCAGGCGCAGTGGCTTACACCTGTAATCCCAGCACTTTGGGAGGCCAAGGCAGGTGCATCACCTGAGGTTAGGAGTTCGAGACCAGCCTGGCTAACATGGTGAAATCCTGTCTCTACTAAAAATACAAAAAATTAGCTGGGCATGGTGGTGGGCACCTGTAATCCCAGCTACTTGGAAGGCTGAGGCAGGAGAATTGCTTGAACCCGGGAGGTGGAGGTTGCAGTGAGCCGAGATCGTGTCACTGCACTCCAGCCTGGGCAACAGAGACTCTGTCTCAAAAACAAACAAACAAAAAATTGTTTCTGTCTTTGAAACTCTGACGTTTAAGCCCACATAGTCACATTGGAAGGGCCTTAAAGCATGGGCTATTGGACCTTCTCCTGCCCTTCTGTCTCTGGTCCTCTTTCTTCCCCAAAATGGGGTCACAAAAACTAGAATTCCTCTTCCCCCAAGGTGGTCATAGACTCTAGACCTCCTCTCCCCCAAAGCAAGCCATAAAACTTAGATCACTTTCTCCCCTCTCCCTTGAAGACCCTCGTTCCAGAGGGGTCCTGCCCTATACCTGGGAGGAAGGAATGCTATACAGAAAGGCCAAGAAGAATCTGAGCACACAGGCCTTGCTGGGTTCCCCCTTAGTCTATTACAATGAGGTCATGGCCTTTTGTCAATCACTTTTCCACAGGACTGTCCATTCTTCATAGAACACAAGCATGAAAACAGACAGTTCTCCTGGGTCTTCGTTTCTGAAGTCTCCCTTGTCATGTAAAATTGTGATTAAATAAATGTGGTATGCTTTTCCCTTGTTTACTGTCTTTTGCTATAGAAGAATCAGCCGTGACCCTTATGATGGGTGAGAAGAAGTATCATACCTTCCACCCCTACACAATCTAACCCACAGAATGGGAGAGTATATTTGCAAATCATATATCTTATAAGGGATAAATATCCAGAATATACAAGATTTAACATTCAACAACAACACAAAACAACCCAACAAAAAATAGACAAAGGGCTTGAATGGACATTTCAAAGATATATATAGATGGTCAATAAGCACATGAAAGATATTCTACATCGGGGGAGGAGCCAAGATGGCCAAATAGGAAGACCTCCGGTCTACAGCTCCCAGGGTGAGCGATGCAGAAGACAGGTGATTTCTGCATTTCCATCTGAGGTACCGGGTTCATCTCACTAGGGAGTGCCAGACAGTGGGCGCAGGTCAGTGGGTGCGTGCACCGTGCATGAGCCGAAGCAGGGCGAGGCATTGCCTCACTCGGGAAGCGCAAGGGGTCAGGGAGTTCCCTTTCCTAGACAAAGAAAGGGGTGACAGATGGCACCTGGAAAATCGGGTCACTCCCACCCGAATACTGCGCTTTTCCAACGGGCTTAAAAAACAGCACAACAGGAGATTATATCCCGCACATGGCTCGGAGGGTCCTACACCCACGGAGTCTCGCTGATTGCTAGCACAGCAGTCTGAGATCAAACTGCAAGGCGGCAGCGAGGCTAGGGGAGGGGTGCCCGCCATTGCCCAGGCTTGCTTAGGTAAACAAAGCAGCCGGGAAGCTTGAACTGGGTGGAGCCCACCACAGCTCAAGGAGGCCTGCCTGCCTCTGTAGGCTCCACCTCTGGGGGCAGGGCACAGACAAACAAAAAGACAGCAGTAACCTCTGCAGACTTAAATGTCCCTGTCTGACAGCTTTGAAGAGAGAAGTGGTTCTCCCAGCACGCAGCTGGAGATCTGAGAACGGGCAGACTGCCTCCTCAAGTGGGTCCCTGACCCCTGACCCCCGACCCCCGAGCAGCCTAACTAGGAGGCACCCCCCAGCAGGGGCAGACTGACACCTCACACGGCCGGGTACTCCAACAGACCTGCAGCTGAGGGTCCTGTCTGTTAGAAGGAAAACTAACAAACAGAAAGGACATCCACACCAAAACCCATCTGTTCATCACCATCATTAAAGACCAAAAGTAGATAAAACCACAAAGATGGGGAAAAAACAGAGTAGAAAAACTGGAAACTCTAAAAAGCAGAGCACCTCTGCTCCTACAAAGGAACGCAGTTCCTCACCAGCAACAGAACAAAGCTGGATGGAGAATGACTTTGACGAGCTGAGAGAAGAAGGCTTCAGATGATCAAATTACTCCGAGCTATGGGAGGACATTCAAACCAAAGGCAAAGAAGTTGAAAACTTTGAAAAAAATTTAGAAGAATATATAACTAGAATAACCAATACAGAGAAGTGCTTAAAGGAGCTGATGGAGCTGAAAACCAAGGCTTGAGAACTACGTGAAGAATGCAGAAGCCTCAGGAGCCGATGCGATCAACTGGAAGAAAGGGTATCAGCGATGGAAGATGAAATGAATGAAGTGAAGCAAGAAGGGAAGTTTAGAGAGAAAAGAATAAAAAGAAACGAGCAAAGCCTCCAAGAAATATGGGACTATGTGAAAAGACCAAATCTACGGCTGATTGGTGCACCTGAAAGTGACGAGGAGAATGGAACCAAGTTGGAAAACACTCTGCAGGATATTATCCAGGAGAACTTCCCCAATCTAGCAAGGCAGGCCAACATTCAGATTCAGGAAATACAGAGAACGCCACAAAGATACTCCTCGAGAAGAGCAACTCCAAGACACATAATTGTTAGATTCACCAAAGTTGAAATGAAGGAAAAAATGTTAAGGGCAGCCAGAGAGAAAGGTCGGGTTACCCTCAAAGGGAAGCCCATCAGACTAACAGCGGATCTCTCGGCAGAAACTCTACAAGCCAGAAGAGAGTGGGGGCCAATATTCAACATTCTTAAAGAAAAGAATTTTCAACCCATAATTTCATATCCAGCCAAACTAAGCTTCATAAGTGAAAGAGAAATAAAATACTTTACAGACAAGCAGATGCTGACAGATTTCGTCACCACCAGGCCTGCCCTAAAAGAGCTCCTGAAGGAAGCGCTGAACATGGAAAGGAACAACCGGTACCAGCCGCTGCAAAATCATGCCAAAATGTAAAGACCATCGAGACTAGGAAGAAACTGCATCAACTAAGGAGCAAAATAACTAGCTAACATCATAATGACAGGATCAAATTCACACATAACAATATTAACTTTAAATGTAAATGGACTAAACGCTCCAATTAAAAGACACAGACTGGCAAATTGGATAAAGAGTCAAGACCCATCAGTGTGCTGTATTCAGGAAACCCATCTCACGTGCAGAGACACACATAGGCTCAAAATAAAAGGATGGAGGAAGATCTACCAAGCAAATGGAAAACAAAAAAAGGCAGGGGTTGCAATCCTAGTCTCTGATAAAACAGACTTTAAACCAACAAACATCAAAAGAGACAAAGAAGGCCATTACATAATGGTAAAGGGATCAATTCAACAAGAAGAGCTAACTATCCTAAATATATATGCACCCAATACAGGAGCACCCAGATTCATAAAGCAAGTCCTGAGTGACCTACAAAGAGACTTAGACTCCCACACATTAATAATGGGAGACTTTAACACCCCACTGTCAACATTAGACAGATCAATGAGACAGAAAGTCAACAAGGATACCCAGGAATTGAACTCAGCTCTGCACCAAGCGGACCTAATAGACATCTACAGAACTCTCCACCCCAAATCAACAGAATATACATTTTTTTCAGCACCACACCACACCTATTCCAAAATTGACCACATACTTGAAAGTAAAGCTCTCCTCAGCAAATGTAAAAGAACAGAAATTATAACAAACTATCTCTCAGACCACAGTGCAATCAAACTAGAACTCAGGATTAAGAATCTCACTCAAAACTGCTCAACTACATGGAAACTGAACAACCTGCTCCTGAATGACTACTGGGTACATAACGAAATGAAGGCAGAAATAAAGATGTTCTTTGAAATCAACGAGAACAAAGACACAACATACCAGAATCTCTGGGACGCATTCAAAGCAGTGTGTAGAGGGAAATTTATAGCACTAAATGCCCACAAGAGAAAGCAGGAAAGATCCAAAATTGACACCCTAACATCACAATTAAAAGAACTAGAAAAGCAAGAGCAAACAAATGCAAAAGCTAGCAGAAGGCAAGAAGTAACTAAAATCAGAGCAGAACTGAAGGAAATAGAGACACAAAAAACCCTTCAAAAAATTAATGAATCCAGGAGCTGGTTTTTTGAAAGGATCAACAAAATTGATAGACCGCTAGCAAGACTAATAAAGAAAAAAAGAGAGAAGAATCAAATAGATGCAATAAAAAATGATAAAGGGGATGTCACCACTGATCCCACAGAAATACAAACTACCATCAGAGAATACTACAAACACCTCTACGCAAATAAACTAGAAAATCTAGAAGAAATGGATAAATTCCTTGACACATACATCTCCCAAGACTAAACCAGGAAGAAGTTGAATCTCTGAATAGACCAATAACAGGCTCTGAAATTGTGGCAATAATCAATAGCTTACCAACCAAAAAGAGTCCAGGACCAGATAGATTCACAGCTGAATTCTACCAGAGGTACAAGGAGGAACTGGTACCATTCCTTCTGAAACTATTCCAATCAATAGAAAAAGAGGGAATCCTCCCTAACTCATTTTATGAGGCCAGCATCATCCTGATACCAAAGCCGGGCAGAGACACAACCAAAAAAGAGAATTTTAGACCAATATCCTTCATGAACATTGATGCAAAAATCCTCAATAAAATACTGGCAAACCAAGTCCAGCAGCACATCAAAAAGCTGATCCACCATGATCAAGTGGGCTTCATCCCTGGGATGCAAGGCTGGTTCAATATATGCAAATCAATAAATGTAATCCAGCATATAAACAGAACCAAAGACAAAAACCACATGATTATCTCAATAGATGCACAAAGGCCTTTGACAAAATTCAACAACTCTTCATGCTAAAAATTCTCAATAAATTAGGTACTGATGGGACATATTTCAAAATAATAAGAGCTATCTATGACAAACCCACAGCCAATATCATACTGAATGGGCAAAAACTGGAAGCATTCCCTTTGAAAACTGGCACAAGACAGGGATGCCCTCTCTCACCACTCCTATTCAACATAGTGTTGGAAGTTCTGGCCAGGGAAATTAGGCAGGAGAAGGAAATAAAGGGTATTCAATTAGGGAAAGAGGAAGTCAAATTGTCCCTGTTTGCAGATGACATGATCCTATATCTAGAAAACCCCATTGTCTCAGCCCAAAATCTCCTTAAGCTGATAAGCAACTTCAGCAAAGTCTCAGGATACAAAATCAATGTACACAAATCACGAGCATTCTTATACACCAACAACAGACTGTAAACAGAGAGCCAAATCATGAGTGAACTCCCATTCACAATTGCTTCAAAGAGAATAAAATACCTAGGAATCCAACTTACAAGGGATGTGAAGGACCTCTTCAAGGAGAACTACAAACCACTGCTCAAGGAAATAAAAGAGGATACAAACAAATGGAAGAACATTCCATGCTCACGGGTAGGAAGAATCAATATCGTGAAAATGGCCATACTGCCCAAGGTAATTTACAGATTCAATGCCATCCCCATCAAGCTACCAATGATTTTCTTCACAGAATTGGAAAAAACTACTTTAAAGTTCATATGGAACCAAAAAAGAGCCCGCATCGCCAAGTCAATCCTAAGCCAAAAGAACAAAGCTGGGGGCATCACACTACCTGACTTCAAACTATACTACAAGGCTACAGTAACCAAAACAGCATGGTACTGGTACCAAAACAGAGATATAGATCAATGGAACAGAACAGAGCCCTCAGAAATAACGCCGCATATCTACAACTATCTGATCTTTGACAAACCTGAGAAAAACAAGCAATGGGGAAAGGATTCCCTATTTAATAAATGGTGCTGGGAAAACTGGCTAGCCATATGTAGAAAGCTGAAACTGGATCCCTTCCTTACACCTTATACAAAAATCAATTCAAGATGGATTAAAGACTTAAACGTTAGACCTAAAACCATAAAAACCCTAGAAGTAAACCTAGGCATTACCATTCAGGACATAGGCATGGGCAAGGACTTCATGTCTAAAACACCAAAAGCAATGGCAACAAAAGCCAAAATTGACAAATGGAATCTAATTAAACTAAAGAGCTTCTACACAGCAAAAGAAACTACCATCAGAGTGAACATGCAACCCACAAAATGCGAGAAAATTTTTGCAACCTACTCATCTGACAAAGGGCTAATATCCAGAATCTACAATGAACTCCTATAAATTTACAAGAAAAAACAAACAACCCCATCAAAAAGTGGGTGAAGGACATGAACAGACACTTCTCAAAAGAAGACATTTATGCAGCCAAAAAACACATGAAAAAAATGCTCACCATCACTGGCCATCAGAGAAATGCAAATCAAAACCACAATGATATACCATCTCACACCAGTTAGAATGGCAATCATTAAAAAGTCAGGAAACAACAGGTGCTGGAGAGGATGTGGAGAAATAGGAACACTTTTACACTGTTGGTGGGACTGTAAACTAGTTCAACCATTGTGGAAGTCAATGTGGCGATTCCTCAGGGATCTAGAACTAGAAATACCATTTGACCCAGCCATCCCATTACTGGGTATATACCCAAAGGACTATAAATCATGCTGCTATAAAGACACATGCACACGTATGTTTATTGCGGCATTATTCACAATAGCAAAGACTTGGAACCAACCCAAATGTCCAACAATGATAGACTGGATTAAGAAAATGTGGCACACAGACACCATGGAATACTATGCAGCCATCAAAAATGATAAGTTCATGTCCTTTGTAGGGACATGGATGAAATTGGAAATCATTATTCTCAGTAAACTATCGCAAGAACAAAAAACCAAACACCGCATATTCTCACTCATAGGTGGGAATTGAACAATGAGAACACATGGACACAGGAAGGGGAACATCACACTCTGGGGACTATTGTGGGTGGGGGGAGAGGGGAGGAATAGCATTGGGAGATATACCTAATGCTAGATGACGAGTTAGTGGGTGCAGCACACCAGCATGGCACATGTATACATACATATGTAACTAACCTGCACATTGTGCACATGTACCCTAAAACTTAAAGTATAATAATAATAAATAAATTTAAAAAAAGGAAAGATATTCAACATCACTAATCATTAGGGAAATTCAAATAAAACCATCATGGGACATCACATGGCCATTCTATATATTAAAAAAACAGAAAATGGAAACCAGCTATGGAAAACCATCTGGTGGTTCTTCAAAATATTAAACATAGAAATTACAATATAATCTAGCCATTCCATTTTTTGATATATACCCAAAAGGACTGAATTCAGAGCCCTAAAGAGATATGTGTACACTGATGCTCAGAGCATTATTCATAATAGCCAAAATATGGAAGCCATCCAAGTGCCCATTGCTGAATGAGTAGGTAAACAAAACGTGGTCTATACATACAATGGAATATTATTTGGCCTTAAAAAGAAAGAAAATTCCAACACATGCGACAACATGAATGAACCTCGAGGACATTAGGCTATTTATTTATTTATAGAGATGGAATTTCCCTCTTGTCGCCCAGGCTGGAGTGCAATGGCATGATCTTGGTTCACTGCAACCTCCGCCTCTGGGTTCAAGCGATTCTTCTGCCTCAGCCTCCCAAGTAGCAGAGATTACAGGTGCCCACCACCACACCTAGCTAATTTTGTATTTGTAGTAGAGATGGGGTTTTGCCATATTAGCTGGGCTGGTCTTGAACCCCTGACCTCAGGTGATCCGCCCGCCTCGGCCTCCCAAATTGCTGGGATTACAGATGTGAGCCACCATGCCCGATCAAATTTTAATTATTTTAACTTGAAACTAATGCATTTGTCCATTCATCCATTTGTGCATATACTCTCCAATTTATTCAGCAAACGTCTAATGAGCATTTTACATATGCCAGGCCAGTGCTGGGTTGGGTTTCAGGACGAATTACTTAGACAGGCAGCCCCCGATCTCAGGGCCCTCACAGTCTAACAGGGAGACAGACAGTTACACATTTGGGTGCAGGAGTTGACACTTTACAATTGCTCAGGCAAGAAAGTATTTTATCATTTGTGGCCAGATGGAGTCCTTTGAACAGTGAGGCATAATATTTGTCACCCAATTCCTGTTGGAAAAAAACCCTTTGAGCCTCTGACCTAGATATTTTAACCATTGTTTGCTTTTAATTTGTATTGATGGTAATGTGGCTGTGAACGACACGGAAACTGGTGGACAGTCATGTCAAGGTCTAAAACCGTGGGTTCCCTATACCCCAAGACAGACAGAAATAGCTTTTTGTCCTGTCTAGTCTAATAGACTCACTTTTTAGAAGACGGGTCTCCTGGAAACCTTGGATGTTGCTAATTGACAGCCACTAAGTGGTCCTTCCTTGACAGAATATGTGAGTGATCTCAGCCTCCTCCCGGGAGCAGCACAACCCACTGCTGGAGGGTGTGAGAGAGAATATGAAGACTGCTGGACCTCTTTTTTAAGGGCCGATTTCTTTTAGCAGAGGGGAATATACTTGTAATCTATTCCCTTTGTAATCATGAAATAAAAATAACATATTTTTACTATTCAGCCACAAAAAAAGAATGAAATCTTGTCTCTCGCAGCAACGCGGATGGAAATGGAGAGCATTCTGTTAAGTGAAATAAGCCAGAAACAGAAAGTGAAACACCACATGTTCTCACTCACATGCAGAAGCTAAAAAAAAATTCATTTCCTAGAAGTAAAAAGTAGAATGGAGGATAGGAGGCTGGGAAGGGTTGGGGAAGAGGTGGGGGATAGGGAGGGATTTAAGGAATGTCAAATTCCAGCTAGATGGGAGGAGTAAGTTCTAGCGTTGTATAGCACTGAGCAATGACTACAGTCAACAATGATACATTGTTTTAAATAGCCAGAAGGAGGTTATTAAATGTCCTCAATACAAAAACGATAAATGTTTGAGATGACATGTGTAATTACCCTGATCTGATTGCTACACATTATATGTATCAAAACATCACTATGTACCCCATGAATATGTACTAGTATGTTAATTACAAATTAAATTCAATCCCAAAATATAGCATTTTATAATTAAATCATTTTGAACACACTCCTTGCCATTTGTACTTAAAATGGCATCTGAAAATCTTCCCTGATTGTTCCAGGGAATGCCCTGATACCACCACTGCAACAGTTGACGTGTGGCCCAAAGGTCCTCAAAGCAGACCAGGAAACATAGCCCTGGACATTCCACTATCTTCTTGAAAAACCTAAAGACCTCTTCCAGTCCACTGTCCTTTATGGCCCTTGATACGGTTTGGATTTCTGTCCCCACCCAAATCTCACGTCAAATTGTAATCCACGATGTTGGAAGTGGGGCCTGGTGGGCAGTGACTGGATCTTGGGGGCGGATTTCCCCCTTGCTGTTCTCGTGATGGTGAGTTCCCATGAGATCTGGTTGTTTATAAAAGTGTGTAGCACCTCCCCCTTCTCTTTCTCTCTCCCTCCTGTTCTAGACACGTAGGATGTGCCTGCTTCCCCTTCACCGTCTGCCATGATTGTAAGTTTTCTGGAGCCTCCCCAGCCATGCTTTCTGTAAAGCCTGCAGAACCGTGAGCCAATTAAACCTCTTTTCTTTATAAAGTAGCCAGTCTCCAGTAGTTCGTTATGGCAATGGGAGAACAGACCGATACAGCCCTCAATCTTGTATAACCAGTTATATTTTCTGGCAATGCTATGGAATGGAGTTATTCAACTCTTACTTGCCAAAGGAGCAGAATTTCTGAGGCCTTTTTGATGGCTGATGGAGATGACTGGATAGAATATTAAAAGCGAGACTTTCGGGAAGACAGGTTTGCTGTTTGTGCTCCTTCCAGTAAAGGACGCTTTTAGGTTTTGATTATTTCCTTTCCCCCAACTGCTCCCTTACAAATGAGCTTGAATACACCCAGTTAGGAAAATAATGTGATCTGGTGTAAGCCTTTCCCCCAGTCCTCATGATTGCCTTTAAATTAGCCCTTTAATTCTCAGATGCAAAAGATTGAGATGGTGGTGGCATGGCTGGAAATGGAAAGCCCTTAGAGGTCTTGTCCTAAGACAAACTGGAAATCTTATAGCTGATACTTCCATAGCACTTCCTCCATGCCAAGCACTGTTCTAGAACTCTGTGCATATTATTAACATACTTGATACAACCACCCATGAGTTAGGTCCTACTAACGTCCCCTTTTTTATAGATGAGGGAACTGGGGCACAGATATCCTTTTTCAAGGTCACAAGGCGAGTATGCAGCTGACCGGAGGCCTAACCTAGGTGGTCTGGCTCCAGATTTAGAAAGGAGAACTTCTCTTTTTTTTTTTTTTTTTGAGTCGGAGTCTCAATCTGTTGCCCAGGCTGGAGTGCAGTGGCGCGACGAGAACATTTTTTTGTAGAAAAAGCTCAGCCTTAGGAGCCAGAAAGCCTGCTTCTGAATCCAGGCTCTGCCCCCATCTAGCCAAGCAGTCCTGGGCAAATTATCTGAACCTCAGTTTCCCTCTCGGTTAAATGGGAAGGACTCTCTGGAAGGATCAGAGGTGGTGCATGGAAGACTCCAGGTGCACTAGGGCAGTGAAGAAATGCCAGCAGCCTCCATTTCAAACCTCTCCTGGCTTTCTCCCTATACACAGATACTCAGGCTCTTGTGACCTGGCCAACTCATGCCCGTCATCATGCCAAACTCAGCTTGGAGGGACCACTTTCTCTCGCAAGCAGCGAGGCCATTGTGCGTGCATCTGTGAGCCCGATAACCATGCAAGGGGGGCAGGCAGAAAGGGCTCGGAACCCAGCCTATGGGCTTGGAGGAGGTGGCAGGAGGAATATTCCAGGCAAAGAATGGGTAAGTTAGGCAGAGGGTCAAGGAGGATCAGCACCTGCAAGTGTGCTGCTGGAGGGCGGTTAGGAATTGGAGGGTGATGGGGCCGGGCTGGGGGTGGGCAGGGGCAGTTGGGGGAGGCCCTGCGAGTTTCAGGATCCAACCATGTGGGCGGCAAGACCCGTGAGGAGGCTGCTGCTCCAGGACTCTGGGGCTGGAAGCAGGGCAGGGGAGAGACCACTGCAGGAGACACATCAGTGAGATGGGAGCCTAACCGGATGTGACAGGAGGCAGGAGAGGGTAGAGGGGAAGATAGGGAGGAGGGGGCAGAGGGGAAGATGAGCTGGATCTGCCTGAGCCTCATGGCAGCTGCTGCTATTTAACTTTAAACTGATTACAATTCAATGAAATTTAAAATTCTCTTCCTCAGCCTCACTAGCACATTTCAAATGCTCCAGGTGCACATTTGTGCCTGAGCAAACTCTGCTAGGGAAGCCGGGAGAAAGGCAGGTGGCTACCTGTGGCCAGTGACTGCTCTAGGGGACAGAGCACAAGACACCACTGCCATCCCCATAGGATTGTCTCCTGGCCAGCACGGCCTAGATCATACAGCACCTTGGAGCCCAGAACAGGGCTCAAAAGCAGAGGGAAAGGGTTCATCCCCATGCCGTGCATTCTCCGTGAACAGTCACTCCACCTCTCCAAGAACAAAGACAGCCAGCAGCATAGTCATCTTAGCTTTATTGAGTAAGGCATCCCAATCTCTGCTAAGATTCTTCTAAATGAACGGCTGATTTTTCTGCCAAACTATGCATTGGTCAAAGAGAAATCACCACCTGGCCACCCCATTCTGTCCCCCTACAGGACACTAAGGGTTCTTACAGATAAAGGGACGATGCATTCATGCCTGGAGAACTAATCACACCTGATTTCTCTGGGATCTAAAATAATGTCAAATTTGATTCACTTTATGTAAAGAAAATCTTTTTTTTCTGCAAACCCCTTCAGAACAATGCTGCCATCCATGCAAGATGTGTGTAAGGCCACCTCTGTATACTAAGAATGGTGCCCCAGCAGGTGGAAGGATGGCACACCTGCTGAGCGTGGGCACACGCTGCGTTCTACATCTTTGAGACCACCGGTGGGTTCCGGGCATCAGAATCCAGCCACTTAATGAGGATCTGATTCACCTCGGTTGGCCTGGGGGAAAGGGAGAAGTAAAAGAAAAAAATAGCCATTCACACTTGTCTGCACCTACCCAGCCAACTCGAAGGCAGAGGTGAGTGACATGAGTGGCTAAGCCAGGCCAAAGCCAGCACAATGAAACCAGGAAAGCTTTTATGGAAGGTGAACGGGGGGCCCTGCTCTCCCCGACCCCAGGAGCCCCCAACCTCCTTACTTGTCCATCTGTGTCCAGTGCCCACAGTCCTCAATGTGTCCCCTTTTCAGGTGGGGAATCTGAAAGGAAACCCCAGGCAGAAAGGTAAATGGAAGAAGGCAGATGGGTGTGTCTCTAGCTAGTGCAATGGGCAATGGACGCCTTCTCTCTGCTCCCCGCAGGCCACCCTGCCCAAACCCTGCATGATTTAGGAAGGGAATAATGAATGAATGAGACCCCACATCCATGCAGGGGAAAGGAAGGTACAGTCACGGTTGCTGCTTGCAATGGGGGGACAGTGATGTTACTGATGATGTGCTTCAACCATGGTCCTATCCACATGACAAGGTGTATCTTCTGCTGCCGTCTTCCCTCTGAGCACCCGTGCCCTCTCCCGGGGTGCACTGATGACCCTTGTACAGGGCCATTCCCTCACCCAGTCCTCCATGTGCTGGGACATCTGAGGAACGAGCACGAAGTCCTTCTCCGCCGTGACCATCAGGGCCGGAATCAGGATCTGGGGGGAGAACAGGAAACAGAAGTGGCCAGCACTCCACAAAGGAAGCCCTCCCTCCTCCTCTGAAAGACCCCTGCTCGCCACCCTGCTGTGGTCCTGACGTTGTATCTGCCGAACTTTGCACAACAGACTCGTGGTTATTACTGGAGATCTTTAAAATAACAGCTTCAGCAGTGCAGAGGCCAATATGGGTCTTATGTGTGCAGATGTGTGTGAGTGAGAACGTGTGCTGAGCTGCATGTAACTGGGAGAACCGAATTGATGGCACCAAGAAGGCAGAAGACACCCTTGAATGAAGATCAAGATTCCTCTTCCCTGAATTAAATAGATGCTTAAAAGGGGCGACCAAGGTTCCAGAGAAAATGGGGGCAGCCACAGTAGTAATCAATGTGACATGAATGGCAGCAAAGTAACTTCCAATTGCTGGCAAATGAGTTGAACACAGGGAGGCATGCACAGGAAGGCCAGGAAAGCCTCTGTGTTTTTTCCTTTGTTCTCGCTCCACCATTACCCTAATTTCCAAGCAGCTTTGACCCATCCCTGGTTGAGGAACGTGCACTATTTTCATTTACACCCAGAGTGATGGGCATCTCTCCACACCCCTCCCTCCTCCCACAACCAGGAGCCAGGAGAAGGTCAAAAATGATTTTGTGGCTAAAACGAATCCTGAGGCTTCTATGAGGTTTGTAAACTCTAGAAAGTTCCAAGCTAAAATGTGAACTGGGCGGGGGGCGGGGGGGGGAGAGGATGGGATGGGAGGAGGTGGGGGAGGAGAGAGGAAGATCCAGCTGGAAACTGCAGAAGAGAGGCTGGGTGCAGTGGCTCACGCCTGTCATCCCAGCACTTTGGGAGGCCGAGGTGGGTGGATCGCCTGAGCTCAGGAGTTTGAGACCACCCTGCGCAACATGGTGAAGCCCCATCTCTACTAAAACACAAAAAATTCGCTGGGTGTGGTGGCGCACTCCTGTAATTCCAGCTGCTTGGGAGGCTGAGGCAGGAGAATTGCTTGAACCCAGGGGGCAGAGGTTGCAGTGAACCGAGATCGTGCCATTGCATTCTAGCCTGGGCAACTGAGCAAGACTGTCTCAAAAAATAAACTGCAGAAGAGGAGGGTTTCTGACCTTAGCACCATTGGGATTCACCTTCCCAGCGCCTTTGTCAATATTTTCCTCCACGCTTTGAGAGATTTTGTCTGTCCAACTGCAGTTTGGTCATTTTCATCGGTCATATGATGATAATGACAAGGAACACTAATGGAGCTAATAGGTTCCCAGTACTGCTTGTAACAGGTCACATGCCTTCAACCATTTCATCCTTACACAGCTCTGTGAGGGAGGCACTGTTCTTGCCACTTGCATATTGCAGAAGAAGCCACAGTGGATCAGAGGGGTTAAGTACCTTTCCCAGGGTCACACAGGGATTAGACTCAGCCCATGTGCTTCCTAGCCTGCTCTTAACCACGATGTTATATACTCTAGTGCCTCAAGACTTAATTTTGGGAGGTCAAGACCTGGTCTGTTTACACACCATGGTATCCCAGGGTCTGGCAGGAAGTCTGGCATGTAGCAGTGTGTTCACTTACAGAGTGAACCAACAAGGTAACCATGGCTACTGAGTGAGCTGATGAAGGCCTAGCTACCTGTGCAGTCACACTGGGGAACAGATTTCCCTTAGATTTTTAAACATTTTGAATGTAAACTGGGAACCTCCATTACTCCTTCTGCAGACCCAGAGATTGGAAACTCATCTTCTGCTTGACAAATGAGGAAACTGAGACTCAGAGATTGACTTGTGCAAGGTGACACAACCGAAGGCTAAAGTCACATCTCTGAGAGCACCTAACGCTCCTCTGGGCTGGGGGCTCCAGTATCCATGTCACTTCTGGGAGGTGCCCCAGGCCATCTGCAGCCCTGCCTTGGGGTACCACCAGGGGACCTGGGGATTCCGGATGGATGCTGCAGTTCCCTGGACACACCCCAGCTCCATCCCCAAGGTCACCCTCTACCATCCCAAGAGAAGCACCAGCAAGAAAGATCCTAGGGAAACCCCTGAAGGGAGTCACTTCCCAAACCCCAAAGGGAAAGGAGGTGGCCAGCAGATCTGTCCACAACCAGCTCTGGCCCAGGTCATATCAGCTCAGGCCAATGGGAAGCCCCGCGGGCGGGTCCTGGGGTGTGGATGAGACTACACTGAACCTGGCACTCACCTTCCGTCCCAAGCTTTTGCAAGCCCACTTCCAGTTCCTTTCCATGTTTCGGTACCAGTTTAGAGGACCTCTGGGGAGAGATCAGAAAGTAAAAAGAGGGAGGCAGTAAGTAGACGGCTCTGCTACAGACACCAGCAGAAACCTGCTCTGCACAGCCAGTCGTCCTGGGAAGAGCAAAGCCTCCTGCAGGGGCAAGAGAATAGAGCCCAGGACCCACGCCTTGCTGTCGGGCGCAGTTGCCAAGCTCTAGCAGCAAGGCCTTGTGCAAGGACACAGGACTCCACTGAGTGAACTGGCAGCCTCTAGGTTGGCTTTTGGGACACAAAGAAGCCGGCCCTACAGGACCCTCCAGGGAATGTCATCGTGTCACCTTGGAGGCTGGGGAGGTTGCTGATGGTGGGGAACTTGGTTTAGCAGCCTCACCATCCAGAGGCCACTCGCCTGCCCCAGGGAGCCCACTTGAGAGGGACATTGGGAGGTGGAGCAAAGATGCCCCCTCCTAATATGACATCAGGAAGTAGGGCAAATGCACCAAAATGTATGCACTTTTTGAGTTTATGTGGATTTTTATGTTTTTCTGAAGAAAGAGCCCAGAGTTGCCATCTGATTCTCTGAGGAGCCATGACTAAAAAGTAGTGAAAACCCTCTGCCCTATGGGGGCCCCATAAGCATAAGGAAGAACAAGCTGAGCTATCCCAAACTAGAGCAGGCTGAGCACCATAAAGTAGTGAGCCTCCCGACACTGGAGGCATTGAAGCAGAGGCTGGCCTGGCACTAACGAGGGCTGTGGTGGAGGAGAACTGGGCCTCACCCTCCACCCTGAGGGCTGAAGATCCCTATCTGTCGATCATCTCTCATCTGTGTCTGGGCCCTGTGCTCTCTTTACCTGAAACCAGACTTCTTGAACTGCTGCACATAGAACTGGATTTCCTCCTCAGTGACCATCCTGCTGAGGCTGGGCTCTTCTGGGCTATTTACAAAAAGTCCTCCTGCAAAAAAAGCCACTTGTTGACTTTCCCATCCCCGGGCCAGGTGTCTGCATTTTAAGGTGGGGACCTCATTGCCTCTCGCAGACCATCTGAACTTGCGCAAGGCCTTATGAGTGCCTCCATCTTTTGTTCCCTTATCCTTTGCCAGAGTGATCCCATCTCCTCGAAAGCTCAAAGCTGTGATCTCACGGTCACACTGGAGCCTGATGTTCCCTCCCACCTAGCCACGACTTCACGGGCTATTATCACAGCTCCTGGACCAACCACAGTTGCCGGCTTTTTCAGGCACACAGCAGCTATATCCCAGACCCTGCCAGCCCCCAGCTCCTGCTCTCCCCTCGTCTAAACCTTTCCCAGCCAGCTTAACTGTGGCCCTTTGGAGATATCGCCAGAGATTCTTGGAATTTTCATAAGGATTTGCTCCGTTTTTCCTCTAAGGCAGGAAGAGAACCCAGGCCAGGTGGCTGCATCCTGTCACCTCCCACGTGCCGCACAGACCCTCTGTGGTATCCCACTGTGGACCCCTCTCTTGTCTTCAGGGTGCTGCACAGTCCCTCCAGAGGATGGCCTGTGATGACCCCTGGCAGCCCAGGGACCACTGCAATTTCACAGGGCACAGCCTCAATGCTGGTGCCTGAACAGGGCCCGTCGGCATTTTCAGATTCACGAAGACCCGGAGGCACAGGAACTGGTCATTCCAGGCTTTTGTGAGACACATCAAAGGGGTATGTGATGAGGATGTCACCCTGTGATGAAGCCACCCTGAGCCTCCCCACCAGGCGGGTGCTCCAGACTCACTGTACCTCAGGGCCCCTCTGCGAGCATCCCAGCTGCTCTGCCTCCCGTGAGACTGTGGGCTCACTGAGGGTGGCCACCCTGCTTCGTGTGTCTGGGTAGCTGAGCATGCAGCCCCAGCTTCATACCCAGCCTGTGCTCACAGCATTTGAGGAATGAATGAATGGGTGAATGAATGAGTGACAGACGGTGTGAAGGAATAAGGGAATGTGGGTGTGGGGGAGGGAAGGAAGATGTTCTTTGAGCAGTGACAAGAGCATGGCCTGCAGGGTCAGAGGAGTTTAACCCCAGCTCAGCCACTTCGGACAAGTTACTTAACCCTCTGAGACCTGTTTTCCTCTTTGGAAATTAAAAATAGTAGCATTTTTCAGAATGCTTCGAGGATCACAAATATTTTATCTAAAGGGGGTTAGTCCAGAGTTTTATACAGATGGTCAGCACGTGCCCAAACAAGTGACAGTGGTCATCATTATTCATAAAAATACAAGTGAATGCTGTCAAGGCCACAGTGCTGCAGCAAAAATAAGGTCTTGTGGGAAGAGTGCTGGATCTAGGGGCCATGGGGATGAGCTCAAATCAAATCTCAACTCTGACCCTTCACTCATACCCAACCCAGGAGGGAGACAAGGATGAGCTCCAGGTGGGGGAATTGGAAACATGGCGCCTGGATGGAGAGGGGCCAGTGGACTGCAATGGAGGAGACCTGGGCAGGGGCCCCACTCCACTCCACCTGCATACACGAGGTGACCCCCATAGAGGTAAGCTCTCAATCCTGGGGTCCTTATCAGTAGAGGGTGGATTTTGCCCTGGACAAGCTCTAAGACTCCTCCAAGCTCTTACTGCTTAAGATCTTGAAGCCACAGCTCCCTAGAGGGTAGGAACTCCAGGCTGTGTGCTCAGGCCTGGGGTTAGAGTCAGCCCTATGCATGCCGAGGGGACCCTGGTTGGGCAACTTAAAGTTCAGAGCTGGAGAGCTCAGGGCTTCTGCCCATAGCAGTCAGAGACAGAAACATCCCTTTAACATTCAGCTGGTTCCAGATATGGCTCTCCCAAGCATGTCTCTTACCCGCTTCACAGACTTTATGCATGGATAAAACACTCTGAAGGAAGAAAAGAAAAGAGTTACAAATGATGTCATGGGTGATACAAAGGAAATATGCTCATCTGAAAACCCTGTTACGACAAATGACAAAGGAAATATGCTCATCTGAAAACCCTGTTATGACAAATGACCTCTGAGTACCACGCAGACTGTAACAAACATGTGGAACTCCCAAGAGAGCCAGGGACCCCCTCACAGAAGTCAAGTAAAGAGCGGGCTCACGACCAAAGCTCTGGGCTGAGACTGCCCCAGGGCCCTTGCAGACCTTGGTAATATGAAGACCTAGGTTTATCAGCCAATGGGAACAAGAAAAGAGACCTTGGCCTATGATGAGAAGTTGAAGATGTGATATTCCATGCTCCTCCATGGTAAATCCAGTAAATCTGGGGTCTCTGACATGCTATACCCTCAGTGAAAAAATTGATTAGAAAAAAAATCCCCTCATGATGATAAAGATGTTAAAGGAGTTTGTCTGTTTCAGCTTGGTACTAAGAGGAAACCAAAAGACACCCCCTTGGGAATTCATAGCTCTAGGCCTGCCTTCCCAAGTGCTTGGATTTGAGTTTGCATTCTCTGCATGATCTGGAAACTCTCAAGGTGTGAAGTAAACAAGAACAACAACAACAATAACAACAAAGTGAGCCTGGGTTGGTAATGCCACCAGGATGCCTGGCAGAAGAAATCCTTAACCACTCAAGGGGTCATTTCCTCAAGCCCAATTGAAGCAGATGGGTACAGATTAAGTACTGCTGAAGATGAGCTTATAAACCAAAATTACAAAACCCACACTCACACAAAAAGGCCCCACAGCAAGAGGCAAAAAATGTAGCAAACAGTAAATACGACTCCCCAAAAACATCCAATAACAGAGTTTGCGAGAGGGAGAGAGAGAAACAAGAGAGAATTAGAAATGAATATACTTAAAATAATTGAAAACATAAAAGGAACTGAAAAATAAGAATACAACAAGACTCTATCAAAAGAGATCAGAATGATTTGAAAAAGAACCAAATAAAACTTTCACAAATTAAAAAAAACTATTTATTGAAATTAAAACTTCAAAGACAGGTTAAACTGCAGATCAGACACTGCAGTGTCCAGGACAATTAATTGGCTAAGACAATTAATGTATAGGAGGTTAGACCCGAGGCTGACTCACAAGCAATGACAGAAGTTTCTAAAAGAAAATAACCTAAAATTCTATACTCAGATAAATGATTCTTCAAGATTAAAATTAAGATGTCTTCAGGCACCAAAATGTGAATTTACCACCAACAGACTCTTATTGAGAGAACTACTAAAGGGGATGTTTCAGGAAGAAAGAAACTGAACTCAATGCAAATGAGTGAGATGCAAGAAGTGATCAGTAAAGAAAGTAGAAAATATGGGACAGTTTGAGCAGGCACTGACTGTATATAAAACAACAATAGTGATGATGACTCCTAACACCTAAGACAGGAGGGTGCAGCTTACAGAGTTAAAGGTTTCTAAACTCCTCTGCTTCAAGAAGAGGGTTGGGGACATCAATTAATTTTGTACTTGGGTAAGCCAATTATGCATGTTAAAATGGTAATGGTAATAGCATAATTTCCAAGCCATCATTATTATAATCATTCTCTGACCTTGTGTGTCAACGAGGATGTAAATTTTCCCAGTAGAGTGAGGACCTCAATTACCCTGACTATAGAAATGAAAGAAAAGGAGGCCAGATTGCTACTCCTGGTCCCTGCCACACACTAGGTACCCTACTTCCTTCACAACTGCCCCCTCCTGTTCTTCTGCACCCATCCCCACCCCTCACCTCATCGCTTGCTCTGAAGAGGCTTTTGAAAGTCCGACTCAGGTTCTGTTCCAGTTCAGCCTCAGCCACTCCCTAAAACAATCAAGAAAGCAAAATGAAGGACCCCCTAGAAATCGTGGAAACTGTACCCCTCCTTCATCTGACTGAAAGCAACAAGCACCCTACCTGTGCCCCATCCAGCCCAAGTTTCATCAGAATAGCATCCATTTGAATTTTCATCATAAAACATGTCTTTTAAAAAGGTTAGCATAAAATACAAGATGCTAACTGTAGTTCCCCACGGGAGGCAGGTTTATAGATGCCACTTTCTTTGTGTTTTTCAATATTCCTATAATGAGAAGGTACTACTTATAATAATCTCTTGAAAGGACTTGGGAGGGGGCTGGTAGAGGAATGGGTTGGAGGCTGACTGGTGGTAAGAAGAGAGGGGCTCCAAGGATTCTGAGAAACCAAGCAGAAAAGCCAAAAACTATATACCAAATGCTCTTCCATCCAGGCATCTAAATTTCGCTATATTGAGGCCAGGAGTTTAAGAGCAGCCTGGGCAACCTAGCGAGACCCCATCTTTACAAAGAAACTTAAACAATTTTTTTTTTGCTGTAGAAACTTCAAAATCAACTCCTTTGACTTGGGTCTTAATTGTTACAGACCATTAGATTGCCAATAGATTGTATTCCACAGACAGGGCAGCAAGGTTTCCACTGTTAAAGAGCTGGGACACATAGCCTTCCTGGTGACAAATGACCAGGTCCTTCCAGTTCTTGGGAGCAGTATGGCATTTAATTACCCAGTCGACACACAGTTCTCTGGCTGTTCCCAGGTCTCTGGCTTGTGTATGGTGGGAATTCTCTGACCTGAACTTGCTTCATCAGCTCCACAGACACTGAGCTCCTTCTCTGGCAAACTGGACCAAGAGATGCCAATGTACAAAATAGGCTCCAGAACCTTCCTGGTGGACCAAAGGATGGGGGAGGGGCTTGGATGAGGACTAAAGTGAAGTGTCCAGGTCACTGAATGTCATGTGCTGAGGGCTGGGGAGGAGATTCCTACTGGAGGCTCAGGGTGTGGAGTCTTCCTCTCCTGCTTCCCCTCTCCTTCCTACCCCAACCCTCTCCAGGAGCACTTCAGCAAAGCAGACACCAAGAACAGGGGAATGGCTGGAAGGTGACAAGAGATCCATCCATGGATCCTACTCTCCTAGTGGGGGTAGCCTGGTTCATGGCTTTTTGGAGCATAAGAGGACAATTTTAATTCAAGCTGTCGTTTCCAGAAGTTGAAAGATGGTGGACCCGAAAGCTGTTCCAGACGTAGTTTAGGAGAAAACAGCTGTCCTGGAGGCAGAGATCCACTAGGGGCAACCACTCAGAAATAATAAAAATCTTGGCCGGGTGCAGTGGTTCACGCTGTAATCCCAGAGCTTTGGGAGGCCGAGGCAGGCAGATCACCTGAGGTCAGGAGTTTGAGACCGGCCTGGCCAATATGGTAAAACCCCGTCTCTACCAAAAATACAAAATTAGCCGGGCATGGTGGTGCATGCCTATAATCCCAGCTACTCAGAGGCTGAGGCAGGAGAATCACTTGGACCCGGGAGGCAGAGGTCACAGTAAGCCAAGATCTCACAATTGCACTCCAGCCTGGGCAAAAAGAGCGAAACTCTGTCTCAAAATAAATAAAATAAAATAAAATAAAATATTTCTGTAACACAGCTGCTGCTGAGGGACTAGTGCTACCAGAGGGAATTGAGTTAAGTGTGGCAATGCCAACTGACTCTCCTCTCCTTCCCTCTAACCACCCACCTGCACGCACCCAAACATCAGCTGAACTGTTCTGCATGTGTTTTCTGAGCGGGCCTCCTACTCGCTGGCCTCCCTGGTTTAACACATTGTGACCTTCACCAAGAGCATGGACTTCTATTAGTTTGGCCTTCAACACCGGACCCAAACACTGCCTTCTCCATGAGGTTCCATCTTTCCCACCACCAAGGGGTAACTCTGCTTTTCTTGGATCCTGCAGAGCCTTGAATGTGCTCTCCTGGGATCCCCTTAGTGGTGGGGACTCATCCTGTTCTCAGCAGCATCTGTGGCTGCCTTTGAGATAGAGTCAGAGGACAGGAAGATCCTAAAGCCACATCCACAAAGCTTTCGTTCCAGCGACCTGCAGTCCTCAGTGCTTGCACACGTTGAGAGGTTACTTTTTTTATTTTTATTTTTTTTAGATGGAGTCTTGCTCTGTTGCCCAGGCTGGTGTGCAGTAGCGCAATCTCAGCTCACTGCCAAGATGGGTTCAAGAGATTCTCTTGCCTCAGCCTCCCAAGTAGCTGGGATTACAGGGGCCCACTATCACGCCCGGCTAATTTTTGGTATTTTTAGTAGAGACGGGGTTTCATCATGTTGGTCGGGCTAGTCTCGAGCTTCTGACCTGAAGTGATCCGCCTGCCTCGGCCTCCCAAAGTGCTGGGATTACAGGCATGAGCCACCATGCCCAGTGAGACGTTACTCTTTTTTGTTCTGCTCATCACTCCTCACGAGAGCTCTGGATCTGTGCAGTGGCAGCACAGAAGAATGGAGACATTGATCATCTGGCGGTGCTGGATCTAGGGTTGGAGATTTTCTGATGAAAGCTATGTCTGCCTGTTAATGACAGTTCCCTCCGTTTTGTAAGATTCAATTATAATGGTGCCAATGGCGGCCTTCCGCAACATGATGATGAATGCCACAGTGAGAAATAGCCATGGGAAGAAGCACATTTAGGTCATGGATGGAAGCCCTGGTCAGGTCTGTGTGTGTGGCTGTCGGTCATCATTCTTATTTACTGAGAGCAGTCCTCATCCCAGAAACAGCTGCTGTTCATGAGCTCAGGGGTGCATTTCAGTGTTTGAAGGAACCCATGGAAGCCTGGACAGGGCTTTGCCTCAAATGATCCTTTAAAGGGCAAACGATGTCAAAAAGTCAGTAAAGAAAATCAAAGAGTCTAGGTGTGGTGGCACAAGCCTGTAATCCCAGCACTTCGGGAGGTCCAGGCAGGAGGACTTTGAGGCCAGGAGTTCAAGACCAGCCTGAACAACAGTAGAGACCCTGACTCTACAAAAAATATTTTAAAAATCAGCTGGGCATGGTGGTGCATGCCTGTGGTCCCAGCTACTAGGGAGAATGAGGCAGGAGGACTGATTGAGCCCAGGAAGTCAAGAATGCAGTGAGTTATGATTGTGCCACTGCACTTCAACCTGGGCAACAGAGTGAGACCCTGTCTCTTAAAAAAAATCAGAGAGAAAAAAGGTAAATAAATCTGTTCACTCACATAAAAGTGCAGCAGAGCAACAGAAAGAATAGGATGAAGCTGGGAGCCAGAAAGGAGAGAAGATAACATTTGTCCTCTGCTTATGCACTTAGCTGAGATCTTCCGACTCTCTTTCATCTACAAAAGATAAGACTATATCTTTAAATCCTACAGACCAATGACAAATTTCCTGTCTGCCCTGGAGAGGGGCTCCTCCTTCTGTGTTCCTGCGCACAGAAGTTAAAGGATGGACTTTAGAATCCAATAAACACAGTTTCAAGCCCAAGTACTGACAGTTACCAGCTGGGGAACTTCTTTCCCTAGAGCCTCGGTTTCCTCATCTGTAAAATGGGGATTTTGTAAGGATTAAATGAGATAATGCCCATTTCTTACAATGCCTGACATGCAGGAGGCATGCCAATAAATATTAATATCATTATCTCCATTATTATTATTATTCGTTTAGAGACAGGGTCTTGCTCTGTTGCCCAGGCTGGAGTGCAGTAGTGCAATCATGGCTTACTACATCCTCAAACTCCTGGACTCAAGTGATGCTCTCGCTTCAGTCTTCTGAGGAGCTGGGATTACATGTGTGCACCACCATGCCTGGCTAACTTTTAAAACATTTTTGTAGAGACGGGGTCTGGCTATGTTGCCCAGGCTGGTCTCAAAGTCCTGGCCAAGTGATCCTCCCACTTGGCCTCCCAAAGTGCTGGAATTATAGGTGTGAGCCACTGCACCTGGCTGATTTTTTAAAATTTTAAATTAATATCTAATTAGGGTTCTTTAAATGATATCATCTTGGCTTTAGATTGGGCCCTAGATCTAATGACCTGTGTCCTTATGAGAGAAAGAGGGAAATTGAGACATACAGAGACACAGAAGGGAGGATGCCACATGAAGACGGAGGCAGGGACGGGCGTGATGTGTCTACAAGCTGAGGAACACCAGGAATTGCCAGCAACGGCCAGGGGCTGGGAGACAGGCATGAAATGGACTCTCTCTCGGGAGCCCCCAGAAGGGACCAACCCTGCCGAGACCCTGATTTTGAACATCTAGCCTCAAGAACTGTTGAGAATTCACTTTTGTGGTTCTAACTCACAGCTTGTGGTACTTTGTTATGGCAGCCCCGGGAGTGGGAACACAAAAGGAGAAGCCCCTATCCAGAGCAGGCAGGAAATTTGTCATTGGTCTGTAGGATTTAAAGATACGGTCTTACCTTTTGTAGATTAAAAAGAGTCAGAAGGTCTCAGCTAAGCACATAAGCAGAGGACAAATGTTATCTTCTGTTATTTTCCTCCCATTTCTGGCCCCCAGCTTACACTAAAGCATGTCTCCAGGGGGTATCTTGATGTGGGGGCTGAGGGGAGAGGGTGAGGAGGGAAAGGGGCCAGGGTCTTCATTACCCTGGGCTCAGGGGGCCCAGGCACCACCCCCAGGAGCAACAGGCAGCAGGTGTGCCAACCGCAGGGTGGGGGTCTGGAGGGTCCCAGGATCCAAGGTGCCCTGGACTTCCCTCATCCTCTCAATTTACTTCCCATGTGCGTATTCAGCACACTGTCAGAGGAGCCCCCAGAAATGCAGGGCACCACAAAAAGATGGAGTTTTGTCTAGACTTTCCACTCAGCGCTGGTAGGGGCGGCACTGTCAGTCACCTAATTTGCCAGGGAGGTGCCCCCACATTGGTGGAGGGCACAGGATTGCCTCCTGTGCTCAGCCCTCCTAACAGGGAGAGCTCCCCTCCACCATCCCAGGAGTTTCTCCTCTTTAATCTTCTCTTGTGTCCTTTCCAAGGTAGAGAACAGGTCTGCTGAGAGGCTGCACTTAACTGTGGCTATTGTTTTGTGGGTGAGACAATGGAGGCAGCTGTTGAAGCCAAATTGCAGGTCCACGAAGCCCCCACTCAGCCCTCCTGCCCTTTACAAGTAACGCCAAAGGATGCCATCCAGGAGTGGAGGTGAAGCCTCTGCTGGTCAGCGGGCTGGGCCAGTGACTCTGTTTCATGCTCCGTCTACCTTGACAAAAATGACTCCAATTCCTCTGGAAGTCTGCGCCAGTGTTCTCCAAGACAGGCCAAGAGAAACAGTGGGGTGGTTGTCCCTGAGGTCAAAAATGGCAGTGGCTGGAAGCATCCGAAATCTGGGCAGACAGCAAACTGTTGACCTTTGACTCTGCAGTGTGGCTGGTCAGATGAGAAAGAGGTGGACAGCAAAGACTTAGAAGGCTCTACAGGGACCCAGGGCACTGGGGGCCGCCTGCCACATGCTGATGGTGCCAGCTCTTTCTGTCCATAACAGCCCTGAGCTGTGAGGCCCATTTCACAGAGGAAGACGCTCAGGTCAGGGGCCTTAAGTGCCTCGTTGAAGGTCAGGCAGATTATAAATGAGAACATCAGACTCCAAACCCCTCCATATTTGGTTCTTTTCACCACAACCTAACACAACACTGCCAATTTAAGACAATGAAAATAACCCTGCCAAGGGTTTCCTCCATAAAGGGCATAAAAATTAAAGTAACAGCCGGGCGTGGTGGCTCATGCCTGTAATCCCAGCGCTTTGGGAGGCCGAGGCAGGTAAGTCACCTGAGGGTGGGAGTTCGAGACCAGCCTGACCAACATGGAGAAACCCCATCTCTACTAAAAATGCAAAATTAGCCGTGCGTGGTGGTGCATGCCTGTAATCCCAGCTACTTGGGAGGCTGAGGCAGGAGAATCACTTGAACCCGGGAGATGGAGGTTGTGGTGAGCTGAGATCATGCCATTGCACTCCAGCCTGGGGAACAAGAGCGAAACTCCATCTCAAAAAAAAAAAAAAAAAAGAAAAAAATTAAAGTAACAATAGTTAAAGCTTGGTGCATAAGGTAGCAAACAGTGGCACTTTCTTTTAAACTATATTATTCGGCTGTGAAAAATAATCAAAATAATGTCCCTCCACAGAGGATTACATAATCCATAGTCTACCTGTTACAAAACCCCATGCAGCCATTAAAAAGAATGAGATAAATCTATATGTGCTGACAAAAAAATCTGTGCAATATGTATTAAATGAAAAAGCAGCATGATTCCATTTATATGAAAAATTATATATGTGTGTGTGCTCATACACACATATATTTGCTTAAAAACATTCAAAAATAGTTTTTAAATATTTCAAAAAATGTCTGGGAAATACCAGACTATTAGTAGTAGCTATTAGTAGCTCGTTGATGGGCAAAGGGCGATTCAGCTTTTTACTTTACACAACACAGGACTTTTTTAAATAGCAAGGATGAATTACTTCATAATTTCAAAACAAAAACAAAACCTAAAAAATAAACTCTGTAACTAATCACCAGCTGTCCCCATGGCCTGAAGGAGCTACTGTGTTCTAGAGATTAAGAAAGATTCAACATTTAGGCTGGCATGGCAGCTCTCACACCTGTAATCCCAGCAGTTTGGGAGGCTGAGGTGGGAGGATCACTTGACGCCAGGACTTAGAGACCAGCCTGGGCAACACAGCAGAAAAAAAAAAAAAGAGAGAGAGACTCAATGTTTTGAGGAGAAAGAAAATCATTTGTGGATGATTTTCAGCCAGGTAAAACCTTCTGCCTACAATTTTTCTTTTCCCACATTTTCTCTCTGATCCTTAGTTTCTCTTCTGGTTAAATACTTAAATAAAAGGGCTCTTTTTTCTTTTTCTTTTTTTTTTTTTTGCTCAGGCTGGAGTGCAGTACTGCGATGTCAGCTCACTGCAACCTCCATCTCCCAGGTTCAAGAGATTCTCCTGCCTCAGCCTCCCGAGCAGCTGGGATTACAGGCATGCACCACCACACCCAGCTCTTTTGTATTTTTAGTAGAGACGAGGTTTCACCATGTTGGCCAGGCTGGTGTCAAACTCCTGACCTCAGGTGATCCACCTGTCTGCTGAGATTATAGATGTGAGTCACCACGCCCAGCCCAAAAGAGCATTTTTTTTTGCCTGAAATCTGCCTCTAGCTTGCTATATGTTTCCAGACACACACACAGGTGCCTGCCACCCAGTCTTCCTCAAAGAAATAAAAATACACATGTGCGGTTTAAGGACAAGTAAAGAGGACCAGTGTCGTGAGGTGGGAGAGAGCAGGGTTCACAGGATATCCTAGGTACGTTCTGGTATGGGGGGCATAATGGGGTGTGAGTATCCCCCAGGCCAAGTGAGGACTTTGGGAATCCTCAGAATTAAAACATGGAACAGCTAAGCTGAAATGACCCAGCCGATTCCACTGGCCTTCGCTGCCAGAGCTGCCTAGTCTTCATGCTTTCTCACTATACACATGGAAAGCTGTCACCTCTTCTCTGAGAAGGCAAGAAAAGCAAGCCTTGTTTGTTTCCAGCAGACTTGGCAGATTCCCAGGCCAAGATTCAGCACGTTGGCTAAGGGTTCAAAGAGCTATATGGGAGCTGACTCTAAACTTGGAGTTAGTCTAAGCCTCACCCTGCAGTGCTCAGCAGAGATGACCCAGAAGTGGGAGAGATGGGGCTGGGCGCAGTGGCTCACCCAGCATTTTGGGAAGCCGAGGAGGATGGATCACCTGAGGTCAGGAGTTCAAGACCAGCCTGGCCAACATGGTGAAACCCTGTCTCTATTAAAAATGCAAAAATTAGCCAGGCATGGTGGTGGGTGCCTGTAATCCCAGCTACTCGGGAGGCTGAGGCAGGAGAATCGCTTGAACCTGGGAGCTGGAGGTTGTAGTGAGCCGAGATTGTGCCACTGCACTCCAGCCTGGGCGACACAGTGAGACTCTGTCTCAAATAATAATAATAATAAAAAAATAAGTGGGGGAGACGGGTGCACCCACAGCACAGAAGGAGTCTTCCTTAGGCTGCATGGGTCTGGAACAGCCTCAGTGCTCCTAGGGAGAAGGAGGAGATGTCAGAAATGCCTCCTCCTGGCCAGGGAGGGAGCGGGTTAGGAGGTGGCAGGAAGGAGGAACTCCCAGCACCCACTATACATCCAAGAGCTGTTCTCCATGTTATTGGCTTTATTTGCTGACCTGGAATCAGCTTAAGTTTGAAGCTATTACCTGTTTGAAAACCACCCAAAACCAACCTTTTGCAGATGAGGAAACTGAGGGCCAGGGATGGGAAGTGCCTTTGCCTACTTGTTCCTTAGAGAGTAGGTATCAGGCAGGCTGGCAGGAACCCCTGTGAGTGATTTCTCCTCCAGTCCCAGCTCTGTACCTATTGAGTGGTTCCAGTGGCTGGATGCAGCCCAACCTGGTTACTGGGTATCTTTCAGTGGCCAGATCACTAATTTGAATATCTAACATTTCCCTGCCAAGGCGCTTTGTTCTTAAGAACAAAACTGTCCCCAAAACTCTCACTGCAGATTTTAAACCCAGCTGCTACAACAGAATAGAGGTACTGATTTTTCCACAATAACTGTTAACAACCTTTGAAACAAAAAACTGTGCCTTGACAAGGGCTGTAATTACTAAGCGTCTTTCTCCTAAGGTCACTTTTGCAATCAGGATTTTGAGCCTATCCTGATTTGTCCCTCCTCTCTCTGCTTGACTCCCCATAGCGCACAGAACAAAGCCCAAGCTCCCCTCCAGCATGGCTTAGTTGGAGGCATGGGCTTTGGAGTCAAACAGGCCTAGGTCGATATCCTGACCCAATCATGTACCTGGTCTTGGGCCAGTTGGGGTTAAGCCCTCTGAGCCTCGGTTTGCTCAGCTGAGAAGATAGGAGAGAATTCTTCGTGTTGCTGTGAAGATTAGAACCACGTGGCACATAAGAGCTCAAAAACAGCTGTAGCTGTAACCCATTGACAGATGACCAGATTAAGAGAATGTGGTCTATACACACCATGGAATACTATTCAGCCTTAAAAAGGAAGGCAGTTCTGGCCCCTGCTACAACATGGGTGAACCTTGAAAGCATGATGCTAAGTGGAAGAAACTAGTCACACAAGGACAAATACTGCATGCTTCCACTTATATGAGGTTCCTAGAGGAGTCAAAATCATACAGACAGAAAGTAGAATGGTGGCTGCCAGGGCTGGGAGGAGGGGAGATGAGGAGTTAGTGTTTAATGGGCGAAGGGCTTCAGTTGGGAAGATGAAAAAGTTCTGGAGGTGGATGTGGTGATGGCTGCACAACAATGTACATGTGGTTAATGCCACAGAACTGCACACTTACAAATAGGTGACATGGTCAATTTTACATTACATGTGTTTTACCACAATTAAAAATATTTTAGGCCATGTGCAGTAGCTCACACCTATAATCCCAGCACTTTGGGAGGCCGAGGCATGTGGATCACCTGAGCCCAGGAGTTTGAAACCAGCCTGGTTAACATGGTGAAACCCCGTCTCTATATATTCACACCTGTAATCCCAGCACTTTGGGAGGCCGAGGCGGGCAGATCATGAGGTCAGGAGTTCGAGACCAGTCTGGCCAATATGGTGAAACCCCGTCTCTACTAAAAATACAAACAAACAAAAAAATCAAAAAACTAGCCGGGAGTGGTGGCATGCACCTTAGACCCAGCTACTCAGGAGGCTGAGGCAGGAGAATTGCTTGAACCTTAGGAGGCGGAGGTTGCAGTGAGCCGAGATTGCGCCACTGTACTCCAGCCTGGGCAACAGAGGGCGACTCCGCCTCAAATAAAATAAAATAAAAATAAAAAATACACACACAAAAAGTGAGCCAGGTGTGGGGGCACACACCCGTAGTCTCAGCTACTCAGGAGGCTGATATGGGAGGATCATCTGGGCCTGGAGAGGTCGGGGCTGCAGTGAGCTATGATCACACCACTGCACTCCAGCCTGAGTGACAGAGTGAGATCCTGTCTCAAAAAAAATTTTTTTTAATGGGCTAAATACCATATGAGGAAACAAGGAGAAGAGGACTACCCACAAGCCAAGGAGAGAGGCCTCAAGAGAAACCAACTCTACAAATACCCTGATCTTGAACTTCCAGCTTCTAAAACTATAAGACTGTGAATTTCTGTTGTTGAAGCTGCCCAGTCTGTTGAGCTACCTAGCCTTTGTTATGGCAGCCCCAGCAAAGTAATACGCCCTCTACACCACACACCACACCCATAGTCTCACCATCGAGACTATCTCACACTAATGAAGGACATTGTGCTTTCATTCAGGCCAAAGGAAGCTCGTGGATTCCCACACACCAGGCTGTGGCACAGCAGGGCCCAGGCCTCCCTGTAGTATGTGGGATGCGACATGTCGAGGTCTCTTCAAAATGCCGCTGGGAGCTTTTGGTGAATGAGTCCAGTTATTGCCTGAATCGCAAAGCTCCTTTCACACAGATGCTGTCTCATCAATGAAAATAATTGTTGGAGAACAGTTACTCGTTGAATCGAAACTGGGATGGTTGTGGTCTTGCTGGAAACGGTCCCTCCTAAGAGGAGCAGAGGTGGAGGCTGGGAGAGGAACGTGGGAGACGCTCTCACATTCCTGATTAATTAATTCCTTCCATTCCTCTCTCTCTGGAGTGTGCAGGAAACATCTTTTATTCTCTCTGGATAATTCCTGCAAGTGGATGCATAGCAGATGTCTCCCACAGAAGAGGGCAGCTGTAGGCGGGGCACCAGGCCAGGTGACGTTGACTCCTGATGCTGCTCTCAGTGAATTCCAGTTAACAGTGGCAGGGATGCCCCAATATATGTATCAGCCACATCTGGGGGCATCTTTGAAAGGCATCTTTGTGGCACGTGTACTGATACCTAGAAACTTCTCAGATTCTTCAGAGCACATGTGGGGCCTGTTGCAGGACTCTTAGACCCTGGTGCCATAATCACCAGCCTTTCAGCCAGAGAATGAGGAGGGGCAGCTCTACCTGAGCATTGAGCCCCAAAACTCTGCAATTGCAGAGACACCAGAGAAGCCATCCCCCCAGGGTACAACATCCCCCGGCCCTTCACCACCCGAACACACACGGAAATGTGCCATTGCCTGGGAAGGATCAGCTGGGCATGGCAGCCAGTTTCACCTGAGCCCATTTGTAAAATCATTTCTGACTAATGCCACATAAAATTAAAGGGGACAGTGATAAAGCAAATAAGAAGGAGACAGGAAGGGGAAAGGCAAACACTAATGCTCCCATTGTTGCCCTTGGTGCCATACTTACTGGTTCTTGGAAGTAGAGCTGGTAATCAAATACTGGGTTGGCTTTGATACTCTCCAAAGGGGACATGTTGGGATTTGCTGGTATGAAGGGAGTATTCAAACTGGCCACCGCCCTACAGAAATAAGAGGCAGCAAGACATAGCCCCTGTAAGAAGACAGTCTTACAAGAGCCAGAAAGGACTTTGCAGTTCAAAACTGAAGCTCAGAGTGGGAACATTCTATGCACAAGGTCATACACTAGCAGTGAATGGGAGAATGGGATCAGAACTCAGGATTTTCGATTCCTAGTCCATTGGTTTTTTTCCTACTAAACTGCAGTATTTCTCACCAACTTGCCTTAGACACATAGGTGCGCGCGCGCGCGCGCACACACACACACACACACACACACACACACACACACACAGTACACATACTGTAGCAACCCTGGATAGAATATGGAGACACGAATCTCTCTCTAGTTTTAAAATATACATTCATTTTTTTTCCCTCCCTTTATTCACTCATTGTGTCTCCTCTGGATTGAGCATAATTCTATGGCATATACTAGAGGAGAGAAAATGTAAAATGAATAAAATATCGTTTTTATCCTCAAGGAGCTCATTATAATTTAATAAGGAAAAATAGAAAAACACACAGTGACCTTATGAGATGACTATGATATGAGCCATAGAATAGCACAAAATAGCATAGGAGTTGGAAGGAGATAAGGAATTCCTGAACTGGGCATCATGGAGGACCCTGTGGAAAAGGGAGCATTTGAACTTGGCTTTTCAGAATGGGGAGAGCTGGGGAGGAGAACAAGGCCTGGGAGGGGAACAACATAAGGTAGCCTGAGCAAATTCTAGAAGGGGGCAAAGCTTGCAGCTGTATTCAATGGAGCACACAGTCTGCGTGGCTAGAAGCCAAGCATGGAATGGAATATGTTGGGAAATAACAACAGAAAGGCAGTGGGGAGCCTAGACATGAAGGGACCTGAGTCTGAATTTGGTGCTGTAAGAACCAAGAAAACCATGAGGGCGTCTCAGAAGAAGGGAGGGTGGATCCGAGTTGCAGTCAGGATGATTAATCCAGCCCTGAGAGACCACATGGACACAGAGAGAGAGGTCAGGAAGATTAATCAAGCACTGAGAGACCATATGGAAGCAGACAGAGAGGCCAGAACCTGGGAATCCAGCCAGTAGACCACTGACTTATCACCTGAAGAGGGAATAGGATGCTAGCAAAAGGAATAGAAAAGACGGACAAGCATAGTGGCTCATGCCTGTAATCTCAGCACTTTGGGAGGCTGATGGGGGTGGATCACTTGAGGCCAGGAGTTCTAGACCAGCCTGGCCAATGTGGTAAAGCCTCATCTCTACTAAAAATACAAAATTTAGCTGGGCGTGTTGGTGCATGCCTGTGGTCCCAGCTACTCAGGAGGCTGAGGCAGGAGAATCACTTGAACCCAGAAGGTAGAGGTTGCAGTAAGCCAAGGTTGCACCACTACACTCCAGCCTGGACAATGGAGTGAGACTCTGTCTCAAAAAAAAAAAAAAACAGGAATAGAAAAGGGGGTGAATTTGAGGGGCAAACACAGCTCGTTGCTATCTTTCCTTTTGTTGACTTTAACCAGTACGTTGTGCAGTCTGCAGGGTAACTTTTTGGTGAACCCAGTTCTTAAGAATCAAGCTCTTATTTCCACTTTGAATGAGAGAGGGGACAGAGAAAGAGAGAGGAAGAAGCTAGAATATGCTATGTACCCACAAGAAATTTTTTTAAAAAATTTAAAAAGCTAGAGAGATGAACACAACAATACCATGAAAACTTTAACAATATTTTAGGAACATTTGATTCTTTTTATTCTTTGATATAATCCTATCATTTGAGCCAGGAGTGAAGCAGAACAAAGTTTCCTGGTAGTTCCAATCTCATAAACTTAGCCAAATACAAAATAACTGGGTTAGTTAGGGAAATTCAGATGGTGGCTTAGGATGATGTTTCTTTAACTTGCTAAGACCAGAGGCTGAAATGGGAAGTCAGACAGGTTTAGCTGCAGCTCACCAGCTCAAATGGCCAAAGAGACTACAGAGTCTCTGGGCCCAAAACCTGCCATCTGATAGCTCCCACTCAAGCCATGAAATGCTGGTCTAAGAATGATTATGAATGAAATGGTGGGGACCATGACATGCTGGGCTCACTGGACATTTGCACAGCATTTTCTGGTTGTGGAGTCAGGCAGGAGTTACCATTACCACTTTGTGGTTGAGAATGCCAAAGCCTAAGAAGCGAAGTGATGTGTCACACAGCTGATCAGGGCAGACCGAAGGCCACGCTTTCTGATTCTCAGTCCAGGACTGAAGACACACCTGTTGCCTCCCCTGCACCCCTCAAGCTCAAGTCAGGATCCTCCTGTATTCCCACTGGCCACTCGGGCCCTGAATTATTTGTCCCATTGCCTGTAAGTGGAACAGGTGCCGCTTCCTAACACATTAGCTCATTAGGCCCTTTTTTTTTTTTTTTTTTTTTTTTTGGAAACGGAGTTTCACTCTTGTCACCCAGGCTGGAGGGCAATGGCATGATCTTGGCTCACTGCAACCTCCACCTCCTGGGTTCAAGCGATTCTCCTGCCTCAGCCTCCAGAGTAGCTGGGAGTATAGGTGCACGCCACCATGCCCGGCTAGTTTTTGTATTTTTAGTAGAGATGAGGTTTCACCATGTTGGCCAGGGCTGGTCTCAAACTCCTGACCTCAGGTGATCCACCCACCTTGGCCTCCCAAAAATGCTGGGATTACAGGCATGAGCCACCACGCCCGGCTAGGCCCTCTTTATAATGTGTCACCAGACACTAAAGAGTGAAGACATCACCTTCCCAGACTACCTACTTGTTTTTGAGAAGTTTTCTGGGCTTAAAGATCTGAGGAACAATTCTCACAGGAGTTCAAGTCCAGCCTCCTCCAAATCTTTATTGCCCGAGGCCCAATTACCTCACTCTCTCGGGGTAGAAGAGAGCCATGTACCACACCAGCATGCCACCCCAGTCATGGCCAATGAACACTGCTTGAGAGAGGCCCTAGAGAAGGAAAAAGAAGGGAGCCGAATGTGGGGAGGCTTCTGGAACGGGGTGCTGAGAGGTTCGGCCATCAGCCAGCCCCTCGACACCAGGGTCTCCTCCCCCGACCCACAGCAGCTCTCCAAATGCCCACCCTTCAAGCCTCTCCTCCCTCCACCAGCCACAGACCCTCAACACAAATAGCCAGCCTTTTACATCTGCTTAGGAGACCAAGGCCACAGGCCATGGGTTCCTTCTCCCTCTCTACCTTCTCTCAAATCAAATTTTCTTTCGTTCTTTTCTTTTTCCTCCCTTCTATCTTAAAAGAAGTAAAACTTACCTCTTCATGTTCCATGTGCATCTTTTATCAAATGATTATGCTTCTACCCCCCACAACCCCACTTTTTTGGAAGCTCTCCTCCCTTAAACAACCATTAAAAGTCCCAAAGCATCTTTAATCTCTCTCTTTCCGCTGCTGGTATTGAAAATGACAACGTCAACTCCCCTTTATGGAAGAGCTATAGCCACGTGTCACTTAACAAGGGGGACACGTTCTCAGAAATGTGTCAGGTGGTTTTGTCACACAAACATCACAGAGCGAAACCTAGATGGCAGAGCCTATCCACACCTCGCTCCACACTGACCCCACTGGCAGCAACCGCAGAGTCACTCTCTCAACAATAAGGGACACGCTTCTAGACAGAAGTCTGTACAGAGTCAGGACTGGGTGGCCACTCTGGGCCATGCCCTGTTCCCTGTCCCCATCACACACAAAAGTTCCAAACCTAATCCCAGGAAACTGAGAATCTGCAGAGGGTAGGGACCATGATATTCTCAGGGTCTCTTCCCTGCCGTGTCAGGCACAGCGCCCTGCTGGTGAACCAGAGGTCAGCCTCCTAGATCCTCTCTGACTCCCACATCCAATTAAGAGGCCTTAAGTCCCACAGCTCCATCATCCTTCTCTGTCCTCCACTGCTGCTGTTCTGCCTGGGCCTGACCCCTCCGTCCATTCTGCCCCTCTGACCTCACTTGGGGGAAGGGGACGCTGTTATACCATGCAGTCTTGGGAGTGGGAAGTGTACTCTGCAAAAGCGCATTCTCAGCTCACCACTGCTGATTTGCTTTCATTTGGTATCATTGAGTTTGACATTCATGACAATGTCAAATGCAAACAGGAGGTTTTAGGAGTGTCAGAAGGGATGAAAGTTTAAAGAGCTGAGAAATATTAGCCTATGGGGTATTTTCCAAACTTCTCTAATGGATACTCAAGGCTGTCCTCCCTGGTCCCATTCCCTGGAACCTGCCTTTCATTAAAAGACAAATAAACAAGCTCATCTCCATCCTGTTCTCCACGCAATCCTTGCTCTTTGTCATTGTTTTTGTGATTTTCCCTGCCCATGCCCACTCTGCCCTAAACTGCCCCAAAATGGGCCCTCCCTGCCCGTGCACCTCTGCTCGAGGCTGACGCCTTTTCTTTAATTACCCAGGCCCCAAAGGAATTCTCCAAAGATATCAGTTCAAAATAATGACTTACCAGTTTATCCAGGAAGGTTACCATCTCCTAAGGAAGAAGACACACACAGGCAAAATCAGCAACCACACCCGCCTGCCTCAGCCTTTATGATGGGCTGAACTGCGTCCTCCCCAAAACTGCTGTGTTGAAGTCCTAACCCCCAGGGCCTCAGAATGGGACTGTTTTTGAAGATACAGCCTTTAAGGAGATGATTAAGGTAAAATGAGGCCATATGGGTGAGCCCTAATCCAACGGGTCTGGGAGTCCTGATCAGAGGAGGAGATTAAGCCGGGCACAGTCGCTCAAGGCTGTAATCCCAGCACTTTGGGAGGCCGAGGCGGGCAGAACATGAGGTCAAGAGATCAAGATCATCCTGGCCAACATGGTGAAACCCCATCTCTACTAAAAATATAAAAATTAGCTGGGTGTGGTGGTGCACGCCTATAGTCCCAGCTACTTGGGAGAATGAGGCAGGAGAATCACTTGAACCCGGGAGGCAGAGATTGCAGTGAGCCGAGATCATGCCACTGCACTCCAGCCTGGTAACAAAGTGAAACTCCATCTCAAAAAAAAAACCCAAAACAAAACAAAACAAAAATTAGCTGGGCACGGTGGCCGGCGCCTGTAATCCCAGCTACTCAGGAGGCTGAGGCAGGAGAATCGCTTGAACTCAGGAGGCGGAGGTTGCAGTGAGCTGAGATCGCACCACTGCACTCTAGCCTGGGCAACAGAACAAGACTCCATCTCAAAAAAATAAAAAAAATAAAATTAAAAAAAAAGGAGAGATTAGGCTGGGCACAATGGCCCGCACCTGTAATCCTAGCACTTTGGGAGGCTGAGGCAGGAGGATCCCTTGAGCCCAGAAGTTGAAGACCAACCGGGGCAACATAAGGAGACCCTGTTGCTTATTAAAAAAAAAAAAAAGAAAAGAAAAGAGGAGGAGATTAGGACACAGACACGCACAGAGGGACGAGCACGTGAGGACACAGGAAGAAGGTGGCATCTACAAGCCCAGGAAAGGCCTCAGAGAAACAACTGTGCCTTTGTTGGCCAGACCTAGGCCAGACCTGTGCAGACTGTGACCAGCATGGAGTTCCTGCTCTAAGACAGGTGTAAGCACCATCCTGGAGAGGAGCCCCTCACTTCAGTGCTGGCACCGGAGGCCGAGACCTTGATCTTAGACTTCCAGCCTCCAAAACTGTGAGAAAACAAACGTCTATTGTTGAAGTGCCTAGTCTGTGGCGCTTTGTTACGGTAGCCAGGCTGAGCAGTGCAGCCGTCCATCGTTCATCAGTCTTCACGACATCACCCTTCCCTTCCCAGCATCCTCTCAGGAACCAAGCTGACTCCAAACACGCACAGTGAATTATTCAGTGTATGCCAATACATATCCCTAACTATCCCATCACCATTGTAAGACAGCAAGCCTGGGCTCTTTACTGGAGGGGGACGGAAGACAGCTGCCCTGTAGAGCTTGCCCTTGTGCTGCTGCAGGGGAGCAGTGAGAGGCTCGTTCCACCCTGGGGACAACACATTCCTGCCCCCACCACCCACTGTCCTGACACAGAAACTGGCTTCTTTTGCTAAGCATCGTCTTTTGAGGGATCATTCCCACTGAAGCTTGCACCAGCACGTCATTCCTCTGTATAGCTGAACAGTGTCCCACTGCAGGGATGGCCCACATTTTATTTATCCATTCATCAGCTGATGGACATGTGGGTTGTCTCCATTTTTGGCTGTTAGGGATAATGCTGCTGTGAACATTTGCATCTGGGTATCTTTGTGGACCTATGTCATCGATTTTCTTGGGTAAATACCTAGCTGTGGATGTACTCATGATTTTTCAAAGGTGGAACAGGAGGATGGGAGCACCATCTTGTTTGTTTTTGGTAAAAGGACTTTCTTCAAGAGACCAGTTCTCCTAAGTGACCCAATGTCCCTGTCTCAAGAATGGATTTTGATGGAAATAAGCAAGGTCCAGGTTAGAGGACAACAGCAGGATAGGGGCTCCTGGGGTCACTGGTGAGACCTTGGTAGGACTTTGGGGGAGACACTTGGGATCAGAAGCAGCAGAGTGCAAGAGGCAAAGACTGGAAAACTGAGGAAGGAGGAGCAGCCCTGCCTGGAAATGGAACTTTTACCCATGATTGCTTCTGAGATGCCAAAGCCAGCGCATGAAGCTGTGGGGCACACATGAGGGGGAGAAGCCCCCACAGGGCTGTGACTCAGAGATGGAGGCTTTTGTAATCGTAGTGTCACCAGCAGCATTACTAGTTCCCCAGCCAACCTGGGGGCTGTTTCCTCCCCTGGGCTCCCCCAGCTTTTGCTTTTGCTCCTGAGCTGCGTGGAGGTTTGGGACCCAGTCTCTCCTCCCCTTGGCCTTGGCCTCCCCTGCCAGCACTGAAGTGAGGGGCCCCTCTCCAGGATGGTGCTTACACCTGTCTTAGAGCAGGAATTCCATGCTGGTCACAGTCTGCACAGGTCTGGCCTAGGTCTGGCCAACAATGTCTTTACCAGAATAAAGTGACTTTTTTCAATGCTTTAGATGGTGAGGCAATCGAATGCAGTACTGCAGGCTTCCAACCTGGCTCTACTGGCTACTGACCTCAGGCAATTACCTTTAACTTCCCATGACTCAGTTTTCTCTTCTGTCAGTTGCTTGGAGGAAGACCTGACACACAGTCGATGCTGCATACATGTGGGCTATCATTTGGAAATACTGTTCAACTTTCAGTAGGAATTTATACCCAGAGGCTGTGAAATGATGCTTCCCTAAAATTTGAATGGATACCCCAGCTTCGGGTTTATAGCAACAAAAATCGCAGGATGGGGAAGATGTTACCCAAGATTCTTCTTACCTTACATAACACTTCCATGCAATATTCTTCTATTTCTGCAATTAAAAATAAAAGAAACATATTTAATTCACGTTACTTAAAATATATCAACACATCAAAAGGACCTTTTTGCAAAGAAAACCAAAAACCAAACAACAACAACAAAAACCCACAAAAACTTACTAAATCCTTAGACTGAGGTAGACTCGAGTGTTTGCTTTTGCTTTTGTTGCCTGTGCTTTTGATGTCATATCCATCTGTGAAATCATTGCCAAGACCAATGTCAAGCTTTCCCCCTGTGTTTTCTTCTAGAAGCTGTACAGTTTCAGGTCATACATCTAAGCCTTTCATCCATTTTGAGTTGATTTTTGTGTGTGGTGTAAGATAAAGGTCCAATTTCATTCTTTTTCATGTTTCCCCACCACCATTTGTTTGAAGAGAGTGTCCTTTCTCCACTGTGTATTCTTGATACCCTTGTCAAAGATCAGTTGACCACATACATGTGGATCAACTGCTGGGCTTTCTATTCTGTTCCACTGAAAGTATGTCTGTCTTTATGTTTGTATCACACTGTTTGTATCATACTATAGACTTATAATGTAGTTTGAAATCAGGAAGTGTGCTTCAAATGCCTCCAGCTTTGTTATTCTTTCTGAAGGTCGCTTTGACTATTTGCAGTCTTTTGTGGGTCCATAAGAACTGTAGAATTGCTGTCTCTATTTTTGTAAAAAATGCCATTGAGATTTTGACAGGGATTGCATTGCATCTGTAGGTTACTTTGGGTCATATGAGTACCCAAATCAATGGGTAGTATGATTTAAAAAATAATAGCAATTTTAACAATAACAATATTTTAACAATAGCAATTCCAGAAAGCAAAAAGAAAAAGAACAACAAAAATAGAGAAAATACAAGAAAAAATTATCAAAGAAATAATTCATGAAAAGTTACAAGAACTGAAAGATAAATGTATCCAGCAAAGTGGGTCTCTACTAAAAATACAAAAATTAGCCAGGTGTGGTGGCACACACGTGTAATCCCAGCTACTAGGGAGGCTGAGGCAGGAGAATCACTTGAACCCAGGAGGCAGAGGTTGCAGTGAGCTAAGATCACACCATTGCACTCTAGCCTGGGTGACAGAGTGAGACTCCGTCTCAAAAAAAAAAAAAAAAAATAGGAAGGAAATTGTGGTGCCGTCTATAACATGGAGGAAACTTCAGGACATTATGCTAAGTGAAAGAAGCCAGACACAAAAGCACAAATACTGTATGATTCCACTTATATGCAGTCTTTAGAGGAGTTAGATTCATAGAGACAGAAAGTAGAATGGAAGTTGTCAGGGGTTGGGGAGAGGAAGAACTGAGGACTGAATACAGCCTTTCAGTTTTGCAAGATGAAGAATGTTCTGGAGATGGATGGTACATTCTATGTCCGCCATCCCCCATGATCAGTGGGAGATCCCTTGGAGCATGAGCCTTAGGGGCTGCTGTATTCATTCAGAGTGTGGGGGGCAGGGGCATCTGAGGCCCAAAGTGCAGAGACACAGGGCACCGTAGGAGAGGAAAGAGGTGAAGTCAGACTCTCTTAAGGGGAAGGCTACTCTGATCTGGGACCAGGGAAAGCACCGAGGCGTGGAGCGCTCAGGCAGGTAGAAGGCAAGACCAGCATAAGACAGCTGCAAGACAGCACACCCACCGGGAGGAGCAGATGACTCTCCATAGCCTTTCATGTCCATAGCTAGGACCCGGTAACCTGCCTGGGCCAGAGCAGGGATCTAGAAAACAAACAGGCACACTCCAGCATGGTCCCATCAGTCCTAGGCGGATACTCCCTCTTTGCTTCCCTCCATCCCCTTCTTCCTGTAAATGGATCAAACCAAGAGCCACAGGGCACTACCCGGTAACTTTGCCATGGAGCTGAAATAAGCCCATTTATACAGGGCTGCTGTGGACGGTGGTGGGGCACGGGAGAAATGCCACATCTAAGACAGCATCTTCCCTGGCAAAGCTCTTGCAGCTTTCTATACTCATTACAGAGACTTCCCAGCAGGGGGCATGGAGTGTCTTAAAGAAGTCTGCCCTTTTCTAATCTGCAAAAGTGCCTCGTGGCCTAACATAGCCCTGAGGTCTGGAGTCACCCTCCTGCCCCAACCTGGTCACACTTTGGAGACAATGCTCCACTGTCAGGTTTCAGCTTCCTCACGACAGTCCACGTCGGACCACACCATCTAGACTCCCCCAACCTCACCCTGACTGGCTGCATCTTCCCCAGCTTTCTCACCTGGTACCTCCAAGAATACCAACTCTCGGGAAATCCATGGCAGAGGCACACAGCAGGGCCGGAGCCCAGCTCCACAAAATGCAGACGGACCCTGGGCTGTGGAAGGGAAAGAGGAGAGGGCAGCGACCAAGCACCAGGCCCAGTGGACCCAGGCCCCACAGCGTCTGCAGAATGCCAGGGCCGTTTCAGTCCGTTGCTGGATTGTGCATGACCCAGATTTCTCAGTGAAAGACCCCAGTGTTACATGAAAATGGCTGAGAAGAGGCCCTGGCCAACCTACTCAATAAAAACAGGTGGCTCTCACCATAACCTAAGAATTCTGCAAAGATTATGATGTTGGAAAACAAAATAAAACAAAACAACACACTTCTCCTTCCTCTCTACAAGGCCCCCATACTCTCACAGTTTCTGATGCTGTTGTGATGTGTTTTCAGTATATTAAACAGGGGGCTGATACTGTGCAGAGCTTAATATTCATGGTCACGTGCAGAATACTGTTGCAAGACTTTTCCTTAGTTCAGCTGAAGACGGGGTTCTTGTTCCCAAGGTCATGAAAATATAGGCTCGCAGTTTGAAGCATGAGTAAAGAGCAGGGTTTTCTTGGTGAAAAGGAAAAAAACGGGGAACAGGGACTCTCTGCAAGGCCAGAGTTCCCTGCCACAGCACTTCCCGCCTCGCTGTTGGAATCCCAGTTTCCACACAGGAGGAGGAGGGGCCAGGCTCCTCCCTGCTGCAAAGGGCAAGAACTTCCTGAGGCTCCACCCCAGTGCACAGGCTGTTTGGAGTTTCTCTGGGGACCCCCTCCCACCTGGCTGTCTCAATACTATAAGTGTTTCATTAAGAGCTGTTTACTTCTTAAATATGAAATCTGTTCAAGCTTTGCCACACCCATAGTCTTTTTGGGGGCTACGGGTGTGGCAGAGACTGTGAGGGCTTGACAAAGTCTGTGTTCCCATCTTCTTCCAGACACATGGTAGCATCTCGCAGAGCACCTCCCCCTCCTACAGTCGGTGTGGACGCACAAGTGAGCTCCGGCCAGTGTCTCCCAAGCAGAGGAAAGGTGCTACATCCGGGGGTCACAGGAACCTCCTGTGCGTGGCCTCCCTCCCTTTGCCTATCTCTGCCTGAATGACATGGGCCTCGAGGAAGGTGGAGGCAGCAGAGAGAAGGAGTCTGGTTGCTTGAATGGCTGTGTGGACAGAGCCCACAACACTGCACTGTGCTGTAGGCGAGAAATACACTTGGTGTGAAGCCACTGAAAGGGACAGGGTGTTTGTTATAGCCACTAACCAGCCTTGACTGTTATGGTGGGGTCCAGCCAAATGAACCAAATAATCAAAGTGCCCTGTTCTTACCCCAATTACATATCTCCACGATCCTAAAGGAAATGCAGGAGAACAATCAGAGTCACATTATAGAAATTCACGTGGAACAATTCCACTTGGCTGTATGTTAGATGACTCCAAGCTGTGCCCCACACTGGAAGTTTCTTTTTTGGGCAGTGTGGGGGACATGGTCTCACTTTGTTGCCCAGGCTGGAGGGCAGGGGCATGATCATAGCTCACTGCAGCCTCAAACTCCTGGGCTCTAGCGATCCTCCCACCTCAGTCTCCCAAGTAGCTGGGACCACAGATGCATACCACCACCCCAGCTAATTTTAGAGATGGGGGGTCTCACTATGTTGCCCAGGCTGGTCTCGAACTCCTGGCATTAAGTGATCCTCCTGCCTTGGCCTCCCAAAGTGCTGGGATTACAGGCATGAGCCACCACACCTGGCCCCACAGAAAGTTTTATTCATAATTCCCAACAAGCTATTTTGCTCAAGAAAACATTAGGTGGGCATCTGGCAGACCCTCTCACAGACTACAGTGTTTATCAGAGTTTGTTCCATAGTCTTTCCTTCAGCACTTGGCAAAAGTTGACATTAAATTTGATCTACCTTACACTGAGAAATGTTTCACACTTATGTCTGATCAAAAACGATCCTAGTTCGCCTGTGTTCTAGCACAGATCCCAACTAAACAGCTCACTCTTGAGCTTTATCATCTCATCATGAAGCTGTGGATACTGAGGCTCACAGCTTCATATTGACTCAGCTGAGTAGCCCAGCAAACGCATGTCCTTTCCCATCTCATTTTTTTTCTGTGTTAAGAAAAATGTCCATAAAGCCAGAACACAGAAAGATCTATTATCAACCCAGTTTAGGATTCAGTGGCAATCAATACAACAGCCCCCTGAGAGCCTGGCGCAGCTGGGACTCCCCAGAAATTCACTGCCAGCTCTTAAATATGGGGTGGGGGAAAGACAAGGTGGGGTAAAGTGATTCTGATCACACTCCTTCAAGGTCAAATAAATAATCTCTTGAAACTGGCTGGATATGCAAACCCTAAGGGAATTATGAGAATAACCCTGTCCACGGTTACAATCCAGCCCCCAGCCCTGGGCGAAAAGCCCCTCACTCCTCTTTACCACCAGAGAGATGAGACCAGAAGGCCCTGATTAAACACTCACCCCTTCAGGAGAACCCAGAGTTATAGAAGGGATGTCAGTGGCGCTGAGCAGTAGCTTTAAGTCCCAGAAAAGCCTTTTCTTACTATGCAAACCCACTCGTGCCTGGATGCCCACTTTACATTTGTGGTGGCTGCCTCCACCCTGGCAGAACCCATTCTGAGCACAGATCCCATTCTGAGCAGGCACCTCATCCTTGCTGTAACCAAACCACCGAGGTTGTGAGTGTAAAATCCCTGGGACCATGGAAGACCCTCCATTCATCTCAGAATTTCTCTCTGAAGGTTCTCCTCCAGGACAGCAAGGGTCCCCAAGGTCTCCAAGGTCAGCACAGCCATAGCCTCCAGTTCTCCTGTTTGTCAGCTGCTGTTTATGGAGTACGTGGCTGTTGGATACTATGCCCCATGGTCTGCATACAACATTTCATTTAATTCTCACAGAAATGGCATGGAGAGATATTATTGTCATTTCATTATGAAGTTGTGGATACTGATGCTCACCGGGATAAGATGCTTGTCCAAGGCTGCAATGTCAGTTAAGTGGCAAAACCAAGATTCCAGCTGGGTTTATCTGCCTGCACAGTAGCTGTCTGGCCTTTTTTGCTGATGAGTGGACCCACTGCTTTAGATCCTTTCATATTTAAATGAGGCCAATGACAAATGAGGAAAGATCCCAAAGTGAATCCATGAGGACGTACTAAACCCCTGCTCTGTGTCAGCAAGCCAAGTTAGATGTCTCAGCCAGGCCACGAGCCAGGGCCCTCTGTGTGTGGCCTTGGCTTTATGATAACCCTTTAAAACAAAAAGAACATTTTAATGACCTTTCCCTCTCTTTGCCCTCAATGTGGGCTCCTTGAGGACAGGTCTGTCTTGATCGTCACTGCACCCCTTGTATCTGGCCTGTGCCTGACACAGAGGAAGTGTTCGATAAATGCCTGTTGAATGAAAACATGCTCTCCTCCAACACAGGCCAGCTGTGTGCATGCTTTAGCCTCCCAGGCTGCCCAAGCTCCCTAGCCTGCTGTTCTATGGGGGTTTGGCCACATCAGTCACACTGCTTTATAGAATCCGAGACAGGGTCTGTCTTTCACTGATTTCTGAGGAATGAGATTTGTGGGAAATAACATTTCCTTATAAATAGTGGATGTTCAACCACCCTCGATATTTAACAAATGTCACTGCTGGTCCTTTTTTTTTTTTTTTTTTCTTGAGACAGGGTTTCACTCCGTTGCCCAGGCTGGAGCACAGTGGTGTGATCACAGCTCACTGCAACCTCCACTTCCCAGGCTCAGGTTCAGGTGATCCTCACAGCTCAGCCTCTTGGGTGTCTCTGCTGGTCGTTTTAGGTGACCTGGTGGGAGAGCACTTAGCCGACTGAGAGACAAAACTGACTCACCTTTACTGTCACGTACCCATGGCTCATGTCACTTGGATTGCAAGAGGTCGGCAGAGGGGCCGGGGTATTGAGAAGCTGTAAGCAGGAAAGGTATAGTGAGAGAGACAGCAGCAGCCTCCTTCCGTGAGAGGCTCTCCTGAATACTGGTGCCAGGGGAGGCCTTGGAAATCACCTTTTCCACTCCATCCTGAGCCCTCCTGGTGGCTGACCAGCCCATCTCCCTCTCCTGCCAGCACAGCCAGACTCCATTCTCCCTCCTGCCTTCCAGTTGAGTGGAGCCCCAAGACTGAGTTCTGGCCAATGGATGCAGATGGAAGAGTGCAGCCTCCTACCTGGCACATTAAAACCCCCAAATGATTCTCTACATTCCTCAACTCCCCATCTTCCAGCTGGGTGTCCAGTGTGACCTCAAAAACCACAGGTAGAAGACAGTGCATCCTCCATCATCCTGAGTCCCTGAATGACTGCATGAGGCGAAGCCCCTGGCCACTGGCCACTGAACTCCATATAAGCAAGAAGCAAAAATCACTTGCTCTAAGCGAGAGAATTTGGACTTTAATTAATATTATTTGCTTCTGTGGCAGCTCCTCCGATGGTCGCCCAGGCTCATGTGGGACACCATGCGAAGCTCACACAGCAGTCACTCCAGCACAGCTCTGCTGAAAGGTCTCTCCTTCAAGTCGGCCAAAATCAAACTCTCTGGGCCTTTGTATTAGTTTGCTGTGGCTGCCATGACAAAATACCAGTTTATGTGGTTTCAAGAACAGATATTTATTTCCTCACAGTTCTGGAGGCTGGAAGTCCAAAGTCAAGGTGCTGGTGGGGCTGGTTTCTCCTGAGGCCTCTCTCCCTGGCTTGCAGATGGCCATCTTCTCCTAGTGTCTTCACATGGTCTTTCCCTTGTGTCCTCATGCCCTGGGTACCTCTCTGTGTGTGTCCTAATCTCTGCCTCTTCTCCCTTTTTTGGGGGTCTCTGCTCTGTCATCCAGGCTGACATGCAGTGATGTGATCACAGCTCACTGCAGCCTTGACCTCCTTGGCTCAAGGGATCCTCCCACCTCAGCCTCCTAAGTAGCTGGGACTATAGGTGTGCACTACCACGGCCAGCTATTTTTTTTTTTTAAAGACAGGATCTTACTATGTTGCCCAGGCTGGCCTCGAACTCCTGGCCTCAAGTGATCCTCCCACCTTGGCCTCCCAAAGTGCTGGGATTACAGGAGTGAGCCACGGCTCCTGTGCTTAATCTCTCCTTCTTCTAAAGAGACCAGTCAGATGAGATTAGGGCTCAGCCTTGTGACCTGATTTTAACTTCATTACCTCCTTGAACGCCCTTTCTTCAGACCCAGTCACATCCTGAGGTATTAGAGGTTAGGACTTCACTGTATTAATTTTGGGGGACACAGTCTAGCCCCTAATAGCCTTCCACCGGCAGGTGCCAGGCCTGTTCTCAGGAGTCCGTGAGGGCTTAGACTAACCCATCTCAGTAAATAGGAAATTCCTGAACAAGGAGTCCTTATGGTGGCTTTTGTACCTTACTGGAATCAGTTTCCCTGAGGCAGAAATGACAAGGAGCCCACTACTGAGGACACGTATGTGAATATAGCCTTATGCCTGAACTCTGCTGCTGGACACGCTGTGAATCCTACTGCTGGATTGGTCACTTTTAGTCCTAAAGGCGTAACCCAACGAAAAATTCATTCTCCTCAGTGACTCAGTTTTGTGACCTCTAAAATGGGGACGTAAGCTAAGAAATCTACCTCCTTTATAACTATGGAAGACTCTGCAGAGGGGGACACAGGAGGTGAGTCCTCCCATCTCCATGGCATCTGGAGAAGACAGGGGCAGGGAGGGACTCAGTGTGATGGGGGAGGGCAGGCTGCTGTCTCCTGATGGCCATGAGCCCATGGTCGGGCGGGAGCCAAGGCCTGTGAGCAGGGCCGGTGCCCCTTAGGGTCCCTCCTGCCATGTGTCCTCAGTTTCCTAGGTCATACACCAGGGGATGCCCTTGCTTTTGGGGGTGGGAAAAGTGGGGGGTTCCTACTTTAATAATCATCTTATATGTTTGTGCAATTTACAAAGGCTGTTCATGACTGACGCCCACTGCCTTCCTCTGAGAAACAGACGCAGGCTCCCCTGTTTAAGAAGGGGTGATTTTTCTGTGGGGATATAAAAGGGTATAACTGCTGTGAAAAACAGCACAGCATTTCCTCAAACATTTAAAAATAGAATTTTGGCCAGGCACGGTGGCTCACGCCTGTAAACCTCGCACTTTGGGAGGCCGAGGCAGGTGGATCACTTAGACCAGCCTGATCAACATGGGGGAATCCTGTCTCTACTAAAAATACAAAAATTAGCCAGAAATCGCTTGATCCTGGGAGGCAGAGGTTGCAGTGAGCCAATATTGTGCCACTGCACTCCAGCCTGGCCAACAGAGTGAGACTCTGTCTGAAAAAAGAAATAATAATAAATAAAAGAAAAGAAAAACAGAATTTCCATATGATCCAGTAATTCCACTCGTAGGTATACACACAGAAGCATTGAAAACAGGGTCTCAAAGAGATACATGCACACTCACATTCATAGCAGCACTATTCCCAATAGCCAAAAGGCAAAAGCAACTCAGGCGTCCTTGGATAGCTCAGTGGATAAACCCAATGTGATCTATCCATACAGTGGAATAGTTAGTATTCTATCCCAAAAAGGAAGGAAACTCAGACCCACGCTGCAACATGGGTGAACCTTGGAGACATTATGCTAAGTGAAATAAGCCAGTTACAAAAAGACAAATATTGTGATTCCACTTACATTAGGTCCCTAGAGGAGTCCAATTCATAGAGAAAAAAGCAGGATGGGGGTTGCCAGGGGCCAGGACACACAGTCTACAGCACGTCTGCTGTAGGTAGCAGCTGAAGGTGCTATATAAGACACAGCCCTAGCAAAAAAAAAAAAAAAAAAAAAAAAAAAGCAGGATGGGGGTTGCCAGGGGCCAGGGCATGCCATTGAATGGAAAGTTGGTGTTTGATGGTCCAGAGTTTCATGTGAGGGAGATGAAAAAGTTCTGGAGGTGAGTGGTGGTGATGACTGCACGACAGTGTACATTTTCTTAACATCACTGAACTGTCCACACACACACGTGCGTGCGCGCACACACACACACAAAGATGGCAAATTTTACGTTACATGCATTTTTCCACAATGAAAAAAATACAAGGGGGATGATGTTCATTTTTCCTTCTATCTTCCTCTTCCTCCTACCCCTGAGACAAAGAGAAGTGAGATATAGTTTTTACTTTCCCAGTTTCACAGGACAGGTATCTGTGGCTCAGGTATGCTGAGGGGACAGACCTAGCCAGGGGCACAAGCACATGGGTTCCCTGAGCCCAAGTCTGATGTGCTTTCTTCTCTGTTGCCTGGGACTTGCAGGTTTGTAGAAGGACAAATGAACAAAGCTTGGGCAAGATGCTTTAAGGTTATGGAGTCACTGGGTATACATTTTAATTTATTCACTAAAGACAAAAAAATCAGTCTTGTCATGGGCTAAACTGTATCACTCTCAAAATTCACGTTAAAGTCTTAGTGCCAATACTTTTTTGTTTGTTTGTTTTTGGAGACAGAGTCTCGCTCTTGTTGTCCAGGTTGAAATGCAGTAGCACGATCTTGAATCATTGCAACCTCCACCTCCTGGGTTCAAGCTATTCTCGTGCCTCAGCTTCCCGAGCAGCTGGGATTACAGGTGCCCACCACTATGCTTGGCTAAGTTTTTATATTTTTAGTAGAGACGGGGTTGTAGCCATGTTGGCCAGGTTGGTCTCGAACTCCTGACATCAACCGATCCGCCCACCTTGGCCTCCCAAAGGGCTGTGATTACAGGAGTGAGCCACTGCACCCAGCCTTAGCCCCCAATACTTTAGAATGTGACTGTATTCGGAGATTAGGCCTTTACAGAGGTAACTAAGGTTAAAGGACGTCATTAGGGTGGGACCTAGTGCAATCTGACGGGTATCCTCATAAAAGGAGGAAGTTAGGAAGCAGAAAGACACAGGGAAAAACCAAGTGAGGAAATAGGGAGAAAGTGGCTGTCTTCAAGCCAAGGAGAGAGGCTTCTGGAGAAACCAACCCTGCTGGCACCTTGATCTTGGACTTCCAGCCTCCAGAACAGTGAGAAAATACATGTCTGTTGTTGAAGCCACACAGCCTGTAGTACTTTGTTATGGCAGCCCGAGCAAACTAACCTACTTCCCTTTGAGGCAATGGCTGTGCATCCTTGGACATGTGGCAGCCTCAGCTGAGTGCCAGCTTTCTCCTGCCTCTTCTCCCCTGTGCTCACAGGATGAGGGTGCTGCACTTCTGCAGAAGGCTGTGGACTCAGTGAGATCAGCGATCTCAGGTCAACCCCAAAAAAGAAAGGTGCCTCAGAACTGGAGGAGCAGGCTAATCCCCAGGCAACCCCAGGGACATCATGATGGCTGTCCCAACCACCTCAGGGACGGACAGGCTTTTCTTAAGAGGCTTCCCTCTGAGCTGGGTGGAACTAAAGGGCTGCACCTGAGTGCCAGCGGCATGCTCGACATGCCAGGTAGGGGCCCTGATCCTTAGGGTAAACGTTCTCCATACTTACTCTCAAAAGTGAGGTCAGGATGACCTTGAACATCCCACTCTTGCTGCCAGTTCCCCGGCCCTGGCACTAACACTAGTATAAATTCTTGTCTCCCTGTTCACTGACTGCAGAGAAAGAGGCAAGATGCTCCTTAGGGACATCGTGCTGACTGCACAGTGGGTGATGGACTCCCAACCAGCGGTGCCCAGGAGTCATTCATGGACTCCACGGACAGCAGCTTCTCTGCTCGTGGTTTTCTCCTGAGTCCAGAAACCACAGATGAGTCCAGGAAGCTTGGCTCGCTCAGAAGTCAAGTTACCTGGATTCCGGTCACTTTCTCCAGTTCTTTCAGGGCCGTGTCAGTGTCCTGGACCAGGATGGTGACCATTCCCAAGTCACGGGCTGGCTTCAGATTAGCCCCGATGTCATCCAAAAAAACGACCTGAGCCCAAAACAGCATGGGAGAATCTCAGAAAGAAACTCACCAGAATGCAAACAGGGGCTATTTTATGATGAGGAGATTAAAAACTCTTTTTCTTTTATAACCATCTACTGCTAAAATGGAAAGCATTTAATTACACAACATACGCATGAAAACAAAGGCACATATGACCCCACACAGACCTACTGGCTTCAGCCACTTCTGAAATTGCAAGAGGGTTAGGAGAGGATACACACTTATCAAGGTGACATTAAAATTCTTCTGGGAAAATCAACAGGCATAAGTAGACCAAAAAATGTATCTGGAAAAGAACTGTAGTGAGGGCAGAGAGTCAAACAATTGATGAAGCTACAAAAGGTAGAAATTTGGCACTAGAAAAGAAACAGACATGTCTATGAAATAGAACCAAATACAAATAAGAATTTAGTTTCTAAGAAAAGTGTCATGTCCAATTGGTAAGGAAGATTGTTTAATGGCCTTGGTATGACTGGTTAACTGTTTGGGGGAATAAAATGGATCCTTACTTTATATCTTACCCCCAAATAGATTCTTAATGAATCAAAAATTTATATGTAGTAATAAAGAAAGTGCTAGGCTTGATGGCTCACACCTGTAATCCCAGCACTTTGGGAGACTGGAAGGATTGGTTGAAACCAGGAGTTCAAGATTAGCATGAACAATATAGTGAGACCCCCGTTACAACAGAATGTAAAAAATTAGCCATGCATGGTGGTATGAACCTGTGGTCATAGCTACTTGGGAGGCTGAGGCAGGACGATCACTTGAGCTCAGGAGTTTGAGGCTGCAGTGAGCTATGATCGCTTCACTGCACTCTAGCCTAGGTGACAGAGTGAGGCTCTGTCTCTAAGAAAAAATAAATTAATTAGTTAAACAATAAATAAATAAAAAGAGAAGAAAAATCCTGGAAGTCATAGAAAGCATGGGTGCATGCATTTACCATCTTGGACAAGGGAAGTCTAGAATTCTAAGCAGCTCATCCAACCTGGAAGCCATCGATAGGAAGACTGATATATTCCTGTGCAGGCTTAGATTGGGAGCCCTGCTCTGAGGCTGACTCCAGGCACTGAGAAGAGAAGAAGCAAAGTCCAGGAGGTGAAAGGGGAGGTCCCAGGATGCAGCATGGTGAGGACTCCAAGGCTAGAGTTCAGGGTTTGCTCTGGTCAGCTTGTGGGGAGGTGGGGGGTTGGAAATGTGAGGGAAAGGAATTTAATCTCCATTCAATCACCTTTTGTAGATTAAAGTAGAGACACACAAAGAGAAAAGAGCTTTAGGACAGGTGATCTCTGGAGACAGGCTCAGGGCACAGGGTGTCTGGTGGGAGAGCATGGCAATACCGGAGCCTGTCCTCACTCACCCTTTGTGGGGATGAACCTGACTACTAGTCTTGTGGCCTTGCAAGTCTCCCAGGATCTCCATTTCTTTGTAAGTAAACTGAGGCAGCTGGGCTAAAACAGCTTTTGCTGATGCCTGTTTTGACCAAAGTTCTGTAAGAGCTATACAATGGAGCCAAATGCCCACCTCTGGGAGAACTTTCTAGATCAAAGAATGGGTAACAGTCTTCTAGGAGAAGACGTGGTCTGGGAGAAGTGGACTCAGAGCTGTCCTGCCAGGCCCAAGATGCATCCCACCTGCTCACTCCTCAGTTTTTCCCTGGTTGCAATATCTCTGAACATCCTTCTCTGCCATAAGGAAGTGTCTCCGTACCTCACTGGGGCTGGCCTTCAGGGTGTCCAGCAGAAACTTGTAGATCTGAGGTTCAGGTTTGACCATTCCCACCTGACACGACTCTATCAGGAAGTCAAAGTGCATCTTCAGCTCACACATCAGCTGGGCCAGGCCATCTCTCTCAGCACGGTCGTCCAGCCAGGTGTTGGTGAGGATGGCAGTAGTGAATCCTGAGCAAAAAGCCACCAGTAGATAGACCAGCTACAGACCTTTGCCCTGAAATGCTCCAGATACCCCCAAGGGACTCCAATGATGGGCCAAGCAGGTTGTGCTCACTTTTATTAATCTCTTATGCCCAACTTTCAACTGACAAATTGGAAAAGAATCATCTTGACCCATGAACACCTCTGACACAGACACAAGCATGAGCTGGGTTCATTCAAGGCCCTCAGAAGCCTAGATGGAGAAACTACCCTCCTTCCTCCTTGACAACAGTGGAGCAGCACTTATACATTCATCAGCTCATTTTGATCTCTACCACCTCAGGGGTGGACAGGGCCAATCCTACCCTCCCAGATTCACAGATCAGCAAACAAGCTCAGACAAGTTACGAGCTGCCCAGAGCCACATGGTGAAGGTCCAGCATTCTTTCTAGTCCATGCTACTGAAAACACTGCTTGACTAAATTCCAGAATACCTGCCTTGGCAATCAGGGACTAGGTTTCTATTTCAAAACTAGAGAAGTGTACATAGAAATAGGATTATCCCCTGGCTTTATCTGCCTAACCAGCGAGGGTGAGAACTAGGCAATGCTGGAAAGAAGACACTGAAGAGTTGATGGTGAGACTCTTCCCACGCAATAGGAGGGAAGAGTTGCAGACATGGGATGGCTCAGCCACAACCAGGTAAGTCTACTGATAAGAGGGTGGAATAGTTTCAATATGCCTATGACAAGAGTCAGGTGTTCACACCAAGTCAACGCCTATGGATGAACTTGACCTCATGTCTTAGACTATGTGACATAATCTGAGCCCATGTCAGCCAACTCATAGCTTGGACACTCTGATACCCAGAGGCTAAGAAAATCACAGTTGCTAAAAAGGCCTTGTTTCTTAATCACTGTGACAAAAGATCATGTCATTTGGGTCATTACTAAAGTGCCATTGAAGGGGAGAATGATGTTCACAAGGCAGTCATGGGCATCAATTGCTTTATTAAGTAAAATCCTGCCATTTTTCCAGCTTTTCTAATAGTGCTGCTTTTGCCATTGGATAAAACTTGCTTTGGGGCCATGTTTAAAGAGGCTTTCCATCGTGGCTCAGAAGATCTGTGATCTCAAAGCTCACTTCAATGGATTCTGACCTAATGCTCCCGAGGGTTCTGGGTGGTTCGGCCTGAGATTGGCCAGTATCAGATCCTTACCTTTCTTCCTGAGCATGAGAGCTGCCTGGAGCATGGGGCGGTTGATCTTTCTGGCTGAAATCGCCTTGTCAAAGATTTCTTTTATGGAGAAATTCTTGGGGAGGCAGACTTTAGCGGTCTCGGAGCACTTCCTGCAGTTTTCTTCCATGAGTGGTATCCACTGTCAAAGTGAAGTGAGGGGACAATTTGTATGGCCACTCAGAAAAGCTCTGGCAGGGTCTACTAAATCTAAACATATACATTCCCTGTGACCAAGCAATTCCACTCCTGGACACATACCCACTGGAAATGCCAACATATGTTCTCCAAGAGACATGGCCAAAAATGTTCATAGCTATACTCTTCCTAGGAGTCCCAAACCAGAAACGACCCAAATGCCCACTAACAGCAGAATGGATAGATTGTATTATATTCACCCACAGTCATAGCAGTGCTATTCCTAAGAGCCCTGTCTTAGCCCATCTCAGCTGCTATAACAAAAGACCAGAGGCTGGGTGGCTCATAAACAGCAGAAATTTATTTCTTACAGTGCTGAAGGCTGGGAAGTCCAAGATCAAGGCTCCAGCAGATTTGGTGTCTGGTTAGGGCTTGCCTTCTATTTCACAGATGGCACCTTCTTGCTGTCTTCACATGGTAGAAGGGGCTCGATAGCTCTCTGGGATCTCTTTTATAAGTGCACTGATCTCACTCCTGAGGGTTCCACCCTCATGACCCAATTACTTCCTGAAGGCCCCACCTCTTAATAACATCACCTTGGGGGTTAGGATTTCAACATAGGGATTTTGGGCGGGGGGCACAAACACTTGGACCATAGCAAGCCCCAAACTGGAACTACCCAAATGTCCACTGTTATGGGCTAAACTGTGTCCTCCCCAAAATTCCTGTGTTGAAGTCCTAGCCCCCAGAGTCTCATGATGTGACTATATTTGGAAATCAGGCCTTTAAAGAGGTACTTAAGGTAAAATGAAGTCATTATGACGAATCTTAATCCAATATGACTGGTGCCCAAATAAGAAGAGGAGATGAGGACATAGACACACACAGGGATGACCATGTGAGGACACAGGGAGAAGACAGCCAAGAACTTGCTTTTTTTCCCCTGTCTCTCTGCTTTCTACCATGTGAGGATACAGCAAGAAGGTGGCCATCTGCAAACCAAGAAGAGAGCCCTCACCAGACACTGAACCTGCCAGTGCCTTCATCTTGGACTTCCCAGCCTCCAGAACTGTGAGCTATAAATGTCTGTTGTTTCAGTCACACAGTCTATGGCATATTTGCTGTAGGTAGCAGCTGAAGGTGCTATGTAAGACACAGCCCTAGCAAACTAATACACTCACTAATAGCAGAATGGATTGTTATATATACACATCATCATAGCAGCACTATTTGTAATAGTCCCAAACTGAAAACTACCCAGAACCCCATCAATAGAAGAATGGATAGATTGGGGTATATGAATGTGATGGAATGTCATGCAGCAATGAGAATAAAATGATCTATGGCAGCATGCAACAACGATGAGTCTCACTCATACAATGTTGAGCAAAAGATGCCAGACGCAAAAGAGCTGATGTGCACAATTCCATTTACATAAAGTCCAAAACAGGTAAAAGTGATCTATTGGGATAGAAGTTAGAATGGTAATACTCTTGGAGGGATGGTATCCAGAGCGGGGTTATGTGTTGCCTACAGCGCTGAGAATGTTTTATTTCTTGATCTGGGTGCTGGTGACAGCAGTATACTTAGTGTGTGAAAAGTCATCAAGCTGTATGCTATGTGTACTTTTCTGTCTGTATAGTATATACACATGAAAAGTTAAAAGATGACATTCACTCCCAAGATAAGACTTTTTTTTTTAAGACAAGTCAAGTGTAAATAGCCTTAGCATGATATAATTTAGTTTTCCAGGCTTCTTCCCTCTAGCCATGCCAGTTTCCTAGAAGTTACACACAGACTATCAGAAGCCACCAAAGGAGTCTGAATGAAACGCAGGATTTTCATAGCAATTACTAGAAATTCACTCTAAATTCTGTATGTTCATTGAAAATATAGGCTGGGCATGGTGGCTCATACCTGTAATCCTAGCACTTTGGAACACCAAGGTGGGTGTATCATTTGAACCCAGGAGTTCTAGACCAGTCTGGGTAACACGGTGAAACCCCATTTCTAGCAATAATAATAATAATACAAAAAACAGCTGGGCATGGTGATGTGTGCCTGTAATCCCAGCTACTTGGGAGGCTGAGGTGGGAGGATCATCTGAGCCCAGGAGGTAAAGGCTGCAGTGAGCCATGATCATGCCACTGCACTCCAGCCTAGGCAATAGAGTGAGAACCTGTCTCAGAAAAAGAAGAAAGAAGAAAGAAGAAAGAAGAAGAAGAAGAAGAAGAAGAAGAAGAAGAAGAAGAAGAAGAAGAAGAAGAAGAAGAAGAAGAAGAAAATATATAGCATTTCCCTCTTTCTTACCTTCCAACAATATTACTGAGGTTTTTTTATGGATTAAATAAAAAGTCAATAATTCAATAATGTTCTTCCCAATAGTTTCATCACAGTTTTCGTTCACCATTTGCCACAATATATTAGCAAGTATGTTTTAAGGTGACTGCAATACTCCCATTAATACCATTAAAACAACATTTGTCTTCACAGAAAAGGTGGGTGTTTTCTATTATGGTGGGCCCCAAGTTCGGGGAGATGGGCACACAGGCAGAGAACGTTCATCCAAAGGGCTCTGTGTGGTGATGTCCCCTCACCTGGGAAAGTGTGATCTCTCCTTTCATAAGCCGGGTAGTGGCACCCTCTGGTCCCCCTTTCTGGAAAGCATCATTCAGAAGTCCTCTGGAAAACACAAAGAACATCAGGAACATTCTGTGGATTTTGTCATGGCAGCACATGGAAACAGACACTGTTCATATTCATTGAGAAGCAGCCACTAGAAAGGGATACTGCCAGGAACTGGAAAATGCAAACGCAGTTCAAATTGGGATCTTTGCGCGCAAGGAGCCATCCAGCTGAGGACATGAGACCATACAGTAAATCACAGTATGTTCCACAGAGAAGCTGCCCATGGGAAACCACCTAATAGCAGCTTCACCCAGAGGCGCTTCCTACTTTACTATATAACGGTCAGAACCGAGAGTGGGCACGCGGCCATTACTGTCCTCGTGTGCACCAGGCATGGTCTCAAAGAACTTTTTCATGAGTTCACCTTCTTCAAAAAGAATGGAATATGTTTTTTGTGGTTTCGATTCTGCCTCTCTAGTTTCTATTTTATCTTAATGTCATCTTCTAACCTTTAAAAAGTTTCCTGTATTAGTCTGTTCTCACACTGCTATAAAGACGTACCTCAGATCGGGTAATTTATAAAGAAAAGAGATTTAATTGGCTCATGGTTCTGCAGGCTGTAGAGGAAGCATAGCTGGGGAGGCCTCAGGGAACTCACAATCATGGCGGAGGGTGAAGGGGAAGCAAGGCACGTGTTACATGGTTGGAGCAGGAGGAAGAGAGAGAAGAGGTAAGTGCTACACACTTTTATAAACAACTAGATCTCATGAGAACTCACTCAACATCACGAGAACAGCAAGGAGGAAATCCACCCCCATGATCCAATCACCTCCCACCAACCCCCTCCTCCAACATTAGGGATTACAACTGGACAGGAGATTTGGGTGGGGACACAAATTCAAACCATATCACTGTGTTAAGGCTGGGTTGTATACCCCCATCCCAAATACATACATTGAAGTTCTAACTTCCAATACCTCAGGATGTGACTGTATTTGGAGAGTGGGTCTTTAAGAGGTAATTGAGTTAAATAAGATCATACAGGTGGGCTCTAATCCAACAATAGGACTGGTGCCCTTATAAGGCGATTAGGACACAGACACACACAGAGAGTCAACCATGTGAGGACACAGGGAGAACACTGTTAACAAGCCAAGGAGAGAGGCCTCAGAAGGAACCAACCCTGCTGACATCTTGATCTTGGACTTCCAGCCTCCAGAGCTGTGAGAGAAAACATTTCCATTGTTGCCATCCAGTCTCTGTTTGCTGTTACAGCAGCCTCAGTAAATAAATACACTGAGTAACAGAACAAATGTATTTATGTGTACGAATGCATTTGTTCTATTACTCAGGTCTGGAAAGTAATTTTAACTGGCTTGCCAATCCCAGATGAATTCCAGTTGAAGTGGCAAGCCAGTTAAAATTACCAGCCCTGAGTAACAGAACAAATATCCCCATCCTGGGAGCTTTATTTCTGATAATAGTCAAGTATACCTTTTATCAGACACCCTCTTGCAGGTAACAGTGGTCAGCTCTGGACCAACTATATGGAGACATATACCTAATATCTGTGGCCTTGCTCAACTTTTCAATGTCAGCAATGGTTTTCCCATACCTTTGCCAACAGTTGTTGGTTTTTTAAACAGCTTTGTTAAGGTATAATTACTGCTATGGTTTGAACGTTTGTCTCCTCTGAAGCTCATGTTGAAATTTAATCCCCATTGTGGCATTAAATTAAAATTGAGAGGTGGGCCTTTAAGAAGTGATTGGGTCATGAGGGCTCCACCTTCATGGATGGATTAATTCATCCATAGGCTAATGGGTTAATGAGTTAATGGGTTATCATGGGATTGGGACTAGTGGCTTTATAAGAAGTGGAAGTGAGGCCTGAGCTAGCACACTGAGCCCCCTCACCATATGATGCCCTGTGCTACCTTGAGACTCTGCAGAGAGTCCCTACCAGCAAAAATGCCCTCACCAGATGCAACCCCTCAACCTTGGAATTATCAGCCTCCATAACTGCAAGAAATAAATTCCTTTTCTTTATAAATTACCCAGTTTCAGATATCCTGTTGTAAGCAACAGAAAATGGACTAAGACAATTACATAGCATTAAATTCATGTAGTATGACAATTCAATGATTTGCAGTAAATTTACAGTTGTGTAAGCATCACCACATTCCAATTTTAGAACATTTCCACCTCCTCCAAAAGACTCCTGGTCCCTTTCAGTATCTGCTCCTCAGTATTAAGAAGCAATGCAATATTCAACTTAACAATCCTATTGAGCATCTTAGGTATGTGAGGCATTGTGCTATGTGCTGTGATGCAAAAGTGGAAAAATATGATGCTATTCATAGGAAGCTCACAGAAGAACAAGGGAGGCAAGGTATAAACAAATAACTACAAGACACTAGGTGAGTGGGAAAACAGGGGAAAATTATTTCTTCTTCTTAGAGAATGGGAGATGATAAAAGAAGAGGAACTAGGGAAAGAATATAACTATACAGGAAGAAGATACCACTGAATCTATAAAACAAGGGCAGGTGGTCATTAAAAAAAAAAGCAACTTGATACAACAAGAACATTCTTGGTATTGGAAACATGAGCTTACCTCCATATCCTAGCCTAGCTCCAGCTCCTCTTCCTGTTAATGATAAGCCTCCTCTAATCTCCCCCACTCAGAAGGAAACAAGCAAAGAAATCTCCAAGGGACCATAAAACCCCCGGGCTATCGGTTATGTCCCCTTCAAGCTGTAGGGGGAGGGGAATTTGGCCCAACCTGGGTATATATCCCCTTCTCCCTCTCTGATTTAAAGCAGATCAAGGTAGACCTGGGGAAGTTTTCAGATGATACTGATAGGTATATAGATGTCCTACAGGGTCTAGGGCAAACCTTCGACCTCACTTAGAGAGATGTCATGCTATTGTTAGATCAAACCCTGCCCTTTAATGAAAAGAATGCGGCTTTAGCTGCAGCCTGAGAGTTTGGTATCTTAGTCAAGTAAATGGTATCTTAGTCAAGTAAATGACAGAATGACAGCCAAAGAAAGGGACAAATCCCTACCGGTCAACAAGCCGTCCCCAGTATGGATCTCCACTGGGACCTAGACTCAGATCATGGGGACTGGAGTCGCAAACATCCGTTGACCTGTCTTCCAGAAGGACTAAGGAGAATTAGGAAAAAGCCCATGAATTATTCAATGATGTCCACCATAACTCAGGAAAAGGTAGAAAATCCTACTGCCTTCCTTGAGCGGCTACAGGAGGCCTTAAGAAAATATACTCCCCTGTCACCTGACTCCCTCGAGGGTCAATTGATTCTAAAAGATAAGTTTATTACCCAATCAGCCGCAGATATCAGGAAAAAGCTCCAAAAGCTATCCCTGGGCCCTGAACAAAATTTGGAGGCATAATTAAACCTGGCAACCTTGGTGTTCTACAATAGGGACCAAGAGGAACAGGCCAAAAAGGAAAAGTGAGATAAGAGAAAGGCCGCAGCCTTAGTCATGTCCCTCACACAAACAAACCTTGGTGGTTCAGAGAAGACAGAAAACAGAGCAGGCCAATCACCCAGTAGGGCTTGTTATCAGTGTGCTTTGCAAGGACACTTTAAAAAAGATTGTCCAACAAGAAACAAGCTGCCCCCTCACCCATGTCCACTATGCCAAGGCAATCACTGGAAGGCACACTGCCCCAGAGGACAAAGGTTCTCTGGGCCAGAAGCCCCCAACCGGATGATCCAACAACAGGACTGAGGGTGCCCAGGGCAAGTGACAGCTCATGTCATCACCCTGACTGAGCCCCAGGTAAGTTTAACCATTGAGGGCCAGGAAATTGACTTCCTCCTGGACACTGGTGCAGACTTCTCAGTGTTAATCTCCTACCCCAGATGGCTGTCCTCAAGGTCTGTTACCATCCAAGGAATCCTGGGACAGCCTGTAACCAGCTATTTTTCCCACCTTCTCAGTTGTAATTGGGAGACTTTGCTCTTTTCACACACCTTTCTTGTTGTGCCTGAAAGTTCCACACCCTTATTAGGGAGGGACATATTAGCCAAAGCTAGAGATATTATCTCTATAAATATGGGGAACAAGTTACCCATTTGTTGTCCCCTACTTGAGGAGGGAATCAACCCTGAAGTCTGGGCATTGAAAGGACAATTCGGAAGGGCAAAAAATGCCTGCCCAGTCCAAATCAGGTTAAAGACCCCACCACTTTTCCTTATCAAAGGCAATATCCCTTAAGGCCTGAAGCTCATAAAGGATTACATGATATTTTTAGACATTTAAAAGTTCAAGGCTTAGTAAGAAAATGCAGCAGTCCCTGCAACACCCCAATTCCAGGAGTACAAAAACCGAACGTTCAGTGGAGACTAGTACAAGATTTTAGACTCATCAGTGAGGCAGTAATTCCTCTATATCCAGCTATACCCAACCCCTATACCCTGCTCTCTCAAATACCAGAGGAAGCAGAATGGTTCATTGTTCTGGACCTCAAGGATGCCTTCCTCTGCATTCTCCTGCACTCTGACTCCAAGGTTCTCTTTGCCTTTGAGGATCCCACAGACCACACGTCCCAACTTTCGTGGATGGTCTTGCCTCAAGGGTTTAGGGATAGCCTTCATCTGTTTGGTCAGGCACTGGCCCAAGATCTAGGCCACTTCTCAAGTACAGGCACTCTGGTCCTTCAGTATGTGGATGATTTACTTATGGTTACCAGTTCAAAAGCCTCATGCCAGCAGGCTACTCTAGCTCTCTTGAACTTTCTAGCTAATCAAGGGTACATGGCATCTAAACTGAAGGCCCAGCTCTGCCTACAAGTCAAATATCTAGGCCTAATCTTAGCCAGAGGAACCAGGGCTCTAAGCAAAGAATGAATACAGCCTATACTGGCTTGTCCTTGCCCTAAGACATTAAAACAGTTGTGGGGGTTCCTTGGGATCACCAGCTTTTGCCGACTATGGATCCCCAGATACAGCGAGATGGCCAGGCCACTCTATGCTCTAATCAAGGAGACCCAGAGGGCAAACACTAATCTAGTAGAATGGGAACCAGAGGCAGAAACAGCCTCCAAAACCTTAAAGCAGGCCCTAGTACAAGCTCCAGCTTTAAGCCTTCCCAAAGGACAAGACTTCTCTTTATACATCACAGAGAGAGCAGGAATAGCTCTTGGAGTCCTTACTCAGACTCGTGGGACAACCCCACAACCAGTGGCATACCTAAGTAAGGAAACTGATGTAGTGGCAAAAGGCTGGCCTTACTGTTTATGGGTAGTTGCAGCAGTGGCCATCTTAGTATCGGAGGCTATCAAAATAATACAAAGAAAGGATCTCACTGTCTGGACTACTAATGATGTAAATGGCATACTAGGTGCCAAAGGAAATTTATGGCTGTCAGACAACTGCCTGCTTAGATACCAGGCGCTTGTGTGTGGCCCTGAACCCTGCCACTTTTCTCTCAGAGGATGGGGAACCAATCGAGCATGAATGCCAACAAATTGTAGCCCAGACTTATGCTGCCCGAGATGATCTCTTAGAAGTCCCCTTAGCTAATCCTGACCTTAACCTATATACCAATGGAAGTTCATTTGTGGAGAATGGGATATGAAGGGCAGGTTATACCATAGTTAGTGATGTAACAGTACTTGAAAGTAAGCCTCTTTCCCCAGGGACCTGCACCCAGTTAGCAGAACTAGTGGTGCTTACCTGAGCCTTAGAACTGGGAAAGAAAAAAAAATAAATGTGTATACAGATAACAAGTATGCTTATCTAATCCTACATGCCCAATGCTGCAATATGGAAAGGGGGTTCCTAACCTCCAGGGGAACCCCCATTAAATACCACAAGGAAATCATGGAGTTATTGCACGCAGTGCAAAAACCCAAAGAGGTGGCAGTCTTACACTGCCAAAGCCATCAAAAGGTGAAGGAGAAAAGGCAGAAGAAAACCATTAGGCAGACACTGAGGCCAAAATTGCTGCCAGGTGGAACCTCCCATTAGAAATACCTACGGAAGGACCCTTGGTATGGAACAACCCTCTCCAAGAGATTAAGCCCCAGTATTCCCCAACCGAAACAGAATGAGGACTTTCATGGGGGCATAGTTTTCTCCCCTCCAGGTGGTTAACAACAGAAGAGGGAAAGGTACTCATGCCCGAAGCCAGCCAGTGGAAAATACTTAAGACCCTCCACCAAACTTTTCATATGGGTATTGAGAACACTCATCAAATGGCCAAATCCCTATTTACAGGGCCAAATCTCCTTCAGACCATCCAACAAGTAGTCAAAGCCTGTGAGGTGTGCCAAAGGAATAATCCCTTGGTCCATCATAAGGCCCCTCTGGGGGAACAAAGAATAGGGCACTATCTAGGAGAAGACTGGCAGTTAGACTTCGCCCATATGCCTAAGTCAAGGGGATTTCAATACTTGTTGGTCTGTGTTGATACCTTTGCAAATTGGATGAAGCCTTGTCCTGCAAGACAGAGAAGGCTCAAGAAGTGGTTAAAGTCCTAATTCATGAAGTAATTCCTAGATTTGGGCTTCCCCAAAGCTTACAAAGTGACAATGGTCTGGCTTTTAAAGCCATGGTAACTCAGGGAGTTTCCAGGGCACTAGAGATACAATATCACCTTCACTGTGCCTGGAGGCCACAATCCTCAGGAAAAGCCCATACAAGACCTTGTGACCACGAATACCGAATACCATCTTAACTTTCCAAGCCCTTTTATGCATCCAACACAACCTGTTATCAGGCCTGCCCCTGGGGCACCTACTATCCCATCAGTGTAATTACACCCTATAACTTCAAGCCCCAACTGATCATAGTAACTCCTGAGTCACCCAAACACCTCCATTCAGATGGCTTGTCTGCTTCTCAGGGCCCCCCAAAATCATCACCTCCTCCCTGTTTAACAAACAGTCTGGGTTTTGTAATGGCAAACATACTCCCTGCATGACCATTCACCCCTGGACCCCCTGCAGCAGCGCCCCCACCACTAGTGTATGTCTTCTTATCCCCTCTTTCAATTACTCTCTTGGATGGTTCCTAGTAGATACAAAACGGTTTTTTCTCCAATGGGAAAATAGAGCACAGGGAGCCACTCAGTCTGCTCCCAACACCCTTTCCAGCTGCTCACCAGAGCTACCTTGGCAAGTACTCTAGGAGTGTGGGAAAATGAAAACAAACTCACACACCTTTTTAACATACACAACCAGTTTATTCTACCCAGCCAAGGCATATTCTTCTTATGTGGAACTTCAACCTATATCTGCCTCCCACCAGCTGGACAGGCACCTGCACCTTCTCCTAAGTCCCAACACTAACAATGCCACAGGAAATCAGACCCTATCAGTGCCCCTCAAAGCTCAAGTCTGTCAGCCCAGGACCATACAACTAATACCCCTACTTATAGGGCTAGGAATGCCCACTGCTACAGGAACCAGAATAGCCAGTTTAACTACTTCATTATCCTACTACCATACACTCTCAAAGGATTTCTCAGACAGTTTGCAATAAATAAATCTATCCTTACTCTACAATCCCAAATAGACTATTTGGCAACAGTGACTCTCCAAAACCGCTAAGGTCTAGACCTCCTCACTGCTGAGAAAGGAGGACTTTGCACCTTCTTAGGGGAGGAGTGTTGTTTTTAAACTAACCAGTCAGGGATAGTACAGGATGCTGCCTGGCATTTACAGGAAAAGGCTTCTGAAACCAGACAACACCTTTCAAATTCTTATACCAACCTCTGGAGTTGGGTGACTTGGCTTCTCCCCTTTCTAGGTCCCGTGACAGCCATCTTGCTATTACTCACCTTCAGTCCCTGTATTTTTAACCTCCTCCTCAAATTTGTTTCCTCCAGGATCAAGGCCATCAAGCTACAGATGGTCTTACAAATGGAACCCCAAATGAGCTTAACTCACAACTTCTACCGAGGACTGCTAGACTGACCCACTGGCCCTTTGACTGGCCTAGAGAGTTCCCCTCTGGAGGACACTACAACGGCAGGGCCCCTTCTTTGCCCCTATCCAGCAGGAAGTAGCTAGAGTGGTCATCACCCAGTTCCCAGTAGCAGGTGGGGTGTCCTGTTATGAGGGAGGATTGAGAGGTGAGGCCAGCTGGACTTCCTAGGTCGAGTGGGGACTTGGGGAACTTTCCTGTCTTACAAGAGAATTGTAAAATGCACCAATCAGCGCTCTGTAAAACGCACAATCAGCAGCATTCTAAAAGTAGCCAATCACGGGGAGGATTGAAAAAAGGGCACTCTGATAGGACAGAAATGGAACATGGGAGAGGACAATAAGGGAATAAAAGCTGGCCACCCCAGCCAGTAGCGGCAACCTGCTGGGGTCCCCTTCCATGCTGTGGAAGCTTTGTGCTTTCGCTGTTCACGATAAACCTTGCTATCACTCACTCTTTGGGTCTGCGCCATCTTTACGAGTGTAACACTCACTGCGAAGGTCCACAGCTCCATTCTTGAAGTCAGCAAGACCACGAACCCACCGACAGGAACCAACTCTGGACACAACTATAGCCTCCAACTCCTGGGCTCAGGCAATCCTTCTGCCTTAGCCTCCCAAGTAGCTGGGGCTACATGCATGCACTAATGTCTAGCTAATTTTATTTTTATTTTTGGAGAGACAGGGTCTTGCTCTTTCACCCAGGCTGGTCTTGAACTCTCAGCCTCAAGTGATCCTCCCACCTTAGCTTCCCAAAGCACAGAGATTACATGCCTTTCCCTCAAGCTACTTGCCATCTCATCTTCCTTACTATATTAAAAGCAAAGGCTCCGGACATGGACTACTGGGGTTGGATTTCTGGCTCTGCTCTTTAACAGCTATGTGATTTGGACAGCTGGTTTCTTTCTGTGCCTCAGTTTCCTCATATGTAAAAGGAGGATATGAACAATGGCTTCCATGCCTGGCCTTCTTTTTCACTTTATAAATAAGTATACTTCTCTCCTTTCTGAATGTGGGAATAATACATTGTTTATAAATTTAGAAGTTGGAAACTACAAAAAAAAAAAACACAAAAAAAAGAGAGAGAGAAAGAAAATCATTACATTATTCCTAATCTCATTTGATGTACTTTGGCCTATTTCTTTCAGGCACTTTTCTGCATGTACCTTTTTTCCATAGCTGAAACCATATTGTATAAATAGCTTCAGATTCTGGTGGGGTGGTTTTTTCATGTAGTAGAACAGGTGTTTTCCCAAGTCCCTGAGCTCTCACTCTGCACACCCCATCTACCATTTCCCAGTGATGTGGCTTTGGGCGGTTGCTGCAGTTTGCTATTACACAAGTAAGCATGCAACCCACACCTGGGGAGAGAACTTTCTTCTCTCCTGAATCTCGGCTCGCATCTTTAAGCGCCACCCCATTAGACAGGAGGCAGCAGAAGCACAAAGCTCCATGAGTAACTCCTCTCCCTTTTGGAAAAGTTCACAGAAAGCAATTTTGGAGACCTTGGCAACGTTTAATTATGAACATTTAGAAAGACAACGGATCTCCTCATATGCACTGGGACTTCAGGGCCAGGTCTTCAGTTTCATGATTCGCATGATTCGCAGGGCTCCGGCACAGGAGCAATCTGAAAGCTGGGCTGCAAGCCCAGCGCGGTCTGCCTCCTGAGGCCCCGACCCACTGCGGCGGCGGCGCTGGGCCCCCTTACCTGGGCAGCGCCAGGGCCTCCTCCGTGCGGCCGAGGACGCCGAACACCGCTGGCAGCGCCAGCACCCCGTCAAGGTCGAAGACGGCCGCGCGCAGCGTCATGGCGGCGGGTCTGCAGCCTAGCACCCGGACACGCAGCTAACCTGGGAGATGCGCGAAGGCCAGGGCGCATGACCCGCCCAGCTTGGCCCGGCTCTGCCCCGCCCCTGCCCTGGCCCCGCCTCCTCCCCACACCCCCTTAACGGGACTCCGCCCTCTGCCCGGGTTAAGGCTGGACTCTGGCCGGGAAAGAGGCAGGGGGAGGGGCACAGGAAAGGGAGTCAGAGGGAGAGGAAGAGGAGGCCGGGAAGGCGGGGACCCCAGGCTAGAATCTCGCCTCTGGATGTAACGCTTTCTACTGTCTCAAAGGAAAGTCCAAAGTCTCTTATGCCCCCTCCCCACGCCCCTGCAGTAGCTGCTTGAAGAGGCAAACCCAGGCCCGGGCCTTCCTGGACGGACTGACAGCTCCCTGCGAACTTGCTGGACTTGGAATGCCTGGGAAAGAGGCCACAGACTCTGTGTGTGTGTGTGTGTGTGTGTGTGTGTGTGTGTGTGTGTGTGTGTGTGTGTGTCAGCACATCCAGTGACTTCTACATTCAGAACATAAGACCGTGTTGGGGGGCGGGGGAGGGGCATATCCAGTGACTTTTCTAGATTCAGAACGAAGGATCACAGATCCCTCACTATCCTGACCACTCCTCTAGGCACGCTCTTCTTTGCCAAGGCAAATGTGTTTCTAGAATAAAATATGATGTTCCAGCTATCGTGTGCCAGCCCAGAATACTTCGATTTCAATCTCTTGTGGAATGAAGCTTAGAAGAACTAAATGTAGGCTATTATTTTCCTTTTGTACATGCTACTTGTAATAATTCTGTCTTAAAATGTGCGAGGTTTGTTTTTAATCACCGATTTCCACACTATTGGCTCGTTTATGTTCCTAGAAAAACTAAAACTTTGGCTGGGAGTTCTTGAGCTGTTGTAGTGCAGCTCCATGAATTAAAAACCGTGTCTTTGGTGGAGACCAAACAGAGTGAGTGAGGTCTCCAACAGTGGAGAATTTACTCTTGAATGTGTCTCTGTGGATTTATCCAAGATACCCTCCACCACGGAGCTTCAAGAACCTTGTGAGGGGTTGTCAGATACCTCACTGTAACTGGGAGGTCTACAACAGTCTCTGGATCTAGCAATCAACAACAGGATTGACCAGAGCCGTGGGTTTCCTCTGGGCTGTTTGCCCTTAGCAAGCTATGCTGTTGCTTCCTTCTCTAGCTTGGTAACCTCTTCCAGGCTCCTGCCTGGAGCAGTTATTAGTGTTTTCTGAGATTCTTGCCAAAGAAGCAGAGAGTGGCCAACACTGCCAAATGTTACAGGAAGAACTGAAAAAAAAGCTGTCCAATTTTGGACTTGGATGACACCGGATGTTTCAGAACACTTTTTGTGGGCCCTTTATGGTAGAAACTGGATTACTCTGGATTTGAAGACTGAAAGATAGGCAGAGAAGGGAGTACAGCAAGCTAGTTTCTCATGAAGTTAGTTGATCTCAAAGGTATAATTGAATTTTAAAAAATAGAAAGAAAATTGCAGCCTGACCTATATAGTATGAAACCTGTTAAATCTCCAGATTGGGCATGGTGGCACACACCTGTAATCCCAGCACTTTGGGGCTGAGGTGGGAGAATTGCTTGAGGCCAGGAGTTTGAGACAAGCCTGGGCAACAAAGCAAGACATTCTCTCTATAAAAAATAAAAATAAAATATTAGCTAGGCATGGTGGTGCATGCCAGTAGTCTCTGCTATTCAGGAGGCTGAGGTGGGACGATCACTTTAGCCCAGGAAGTGGAGGCTGCAGTGAGCCATGATTGTGCCACTGCACTCCATCCAGCCTGGGTGACACAGCAAGACTCTACCTCCAAAAAAAAAAAAGAAAGAAATTAAATCTCCAACTTAGAGTTTCCTTTGGGCTCCAGACTTGCCAACTTCTTACTCAACATCTTACTCAACGTCAATATCCAACTTCTTACTGAACATCTTCTCTTGAGTGTCTAACAGGCATCTCAAATTTATCATGGCTAAAACAGAACTCTCTCTGCATTTCTACTTCCCACGCCTGTTCCTCCTAGTGTGTTCCCTATCTTACAAACTGGCATCCCCATTGACTCAGTGGCTCAGTCCCGAGACCACGGAGTTGCTTCCAGATCCTTGGCTCCCAGCCAAACCATATGTTCGTGTTTCTAGCGGTGGCCTGCTGATTGAGGCAGAGATAGCAGCTTCTAGTTCTATGGTGGTGTTTTCTGGGAGTCCTTCCTAAAGGCTCAGTCTGGAGCTCACTCCTCCATTCCGTTCAAAGATTGTGTAGGCTTGCAGTCTCTCATCTTAAATCCCTTTCTTCTGTTTCTATTTAAAATAACTACAGTGATTTCTGTTGCCTGCATCTGAATTCTGCATCTAGCACAGTATTGCTTATGAATACGTAAGTATATTTATACAAGCAGTAAAGTGTAGAGGAACGACATACCTACAGAACTAGATTTCATAAAGCCCCCTTTTGAGAAGAAAAATTTAAAAACATAGAAATATGAGTTTTACTTTCCTCTTTGGTTAAGAGAAAGCCATGAAGCTATCACATGGACTTTTATTTATTCAGGAGCAGTTAACTTGTAAATAGCTCTGGTGTGGAATATTTTTATAATGCCTTGTGAGTTACAGAGCTTTCTGGCTGAATTGCTTAGGCAAAGATTAAAGGTCTCAATTGCATTTCACTGCACTTTGCCCTTTTTCATGGTCGTGCTTCTCCTGTGTTTTCTGCTACTAAGGTACAGAGAGATAAGGGCTTACCCAGCAGGGCTATGGGAACTGGGTGGCTTTTTGAAATGTAAATCCTAACCCCTATGTCTTCTAATTTTAATATTTATGAAATATGTTTTAGGTGATAGCATGAATCATAAAAGATGGCTAATGTAGTAGTGAAAATTTATAAATTACACCTGATTTCAATCACTAAATTCATAATGAATGTACACTGACCTCATTAAGGTTTATTTTGGGTTTTCTGCCATTCCTGTGCCTTCTGCAACTTCCTGCTAGTCCTTGATTGTCAAACCCTATTTTATAAAATCTGTTTAACCACTAGGGGTTGGGAGGGAGGACTTTACACTGCTGCTTCTCTCTACTGTAGATACTCATGGAGTTCAAAGTAAAGCTACCTCTGGCAGTTTTCTAAACCTACAAACCACTTGAAGTTTTGTCTTTTTTTCAATGCGGCAAATGAACGAGCGTCTTTCATTCCATCAGCAAATATGTATCAAGCATCTTCTATGTGCCAGGCACTGTTCTAGGCACTTGGGATCAATTGTTAAATAAATCAGACAAATATAGGGGCCGTCAAGGATCTTCCATTTTAGTGGAATAATGAATTCAAATGGTAGTGGCTGGTGGCTTCTGGAGCAGTGAGAAGAATGAGATTGGGAATAGTGGTGGTGGCTACTTGCCGTTTTTCTTATTTGTCATTTTCCAGCTTCCTAACATCTATAACCTTTTCTTACATACAGAAAATTCCAGCCGGGCATGGTGGCTCACACCTGTAATCACAGCACTTTGGGAGGCTGAGGTGGGTGGATCACCTGAGGTTAAGAGTTGGAGACCAGCCTGGCCAACATGGGGAAACCCCGTCTCTATTAAAAATACGAAACTTATCTGGGCGTGGTGGCACACACCTGTAATCCCAGCTACTTGGGAAGCTGAAGCAGGAGAATTGCTTGAACCCGGGAGGCAGAGGTTGCAGTAAGCCAAGATCATGCCACTGCACTCGCAGCCTGGGCAACAGAGCAAGACTCTGTCAAAAGAAAGAAAAGAAAAGAGAAGAGAAGAGAAGAGAAAAGAGAAGAGAAGAGAAGAGAAGAGAAGAGAAGAGAAGAGTAGAGTAGAGAAGAAGAGAAAATTCCATCTGGCAGTGATGAAGTTCTGCTTCAGAGATACACAACATCCTTTCAACATCTTCTATTTTGATAGTTCTCACTGTTTGAGAACTACTACTGTTTTGAGTTCTACCTTCTCACAGTAGAATCCACAAACAACATGTTGCCCAGGCTTCCTTAATGCTGGCCAGGTGCACGGGCTCTGCCAATTGGGCATACTCGCCAGGGATTTGGGAATGGGGATGGGCAGCCCAAAGCCACAGCTGTGTGAGCGGGAACTTTCTTTCAGCGAAGGCAGAAGCAGCAGCATCTAGTTTTTCTGGGGAGGCTGTGATGGAGCTTCTCTGGTCTGGTCCTGAGTGTACTTGGTGCCCACGCTGGGGCAGAGTGGTGGCTTTGTTAAAATTGCACCAAGGGGTGGCCTGCGGTCACTGTGCTGTTCTTGGCTATATAGTTTCCAAAGCTGCATCTCTTGTCCTCCCTGAGATTCTGTGTGTTAATGTCCTATAATAAGAACCTTTCTGCTTATATGACCGAGAGGAAGCTCTGTAGTTTGTAATAAAAACCCTATAACGCATACCGGCCTTATGAATGTTGATAGAAGGAAGAACCGCATTGACTGCAGAATTTGGAAATGCCCTGTGCCCACTCCCCAGCCTGCCTGGAAGTGAGAGTGAAGGCCTGTGAGCTCCATTCAGCAACTCAGGTGCACCAACCCAGCCCTTACAGTGGGAGCAGGTGAAGGAAACAGGCCAGAGGAGAAGGGTGTCGGTCGGCAGTTTCAAGGGCAGCAGCAGCAGCGGCCAGGGTCCCTGGCTGGCAGGGACGGTGCAGGCCCCGAGGCCCTCAGCGCCCAACTGCAGCAGTGGTGTCTTCACAAGTCCAGTTCTGTGCTATGAGTTTGGCAATGACCTTGCTCTTGTTTTCCAGGCTTAGTTCTCCAAGCTCCCAAGGGCCCTCACTGATATCCTGCCCTCAAATTCTGTGCTTAAGTCAGCCAGAGTAGGCACTTCTCACTCTTCACCAACTCCAAAAACCCTTCTACTGTGCCATCTGGAACTTTCTGGAACTTGGTTTTATTATCAGCATAATTCACCATTTCCTCAACCTCTTTTCCATTCTCTTCCCCTCCTGCTGTACCCGAAACCTGGCTCTCCCCTGAGGAAACTGCTTTCTTTTTTTTCTTTTTTTTTGAGATGGGGTCTCACTCTGTTGCCCAGGCTGGAGTGCACTGGCATGATCCTAGCTCACTATTGAGAGCAGCAGGAGGCAGCCAAATGCCTGGGCAAATAGGGGCAGGTCCCTGGTGAAGCCCCACCTCCAAGCCGAAGACAGTTTAAAGCCTGAACACCAAACTACAAGTTAAATCCCCAGATCGGATGGAGAATTCGTCTTCCTGTTTGGCACACTTTCCTCAGATTGTTCCCACCCTGCACCTATTTGACATATACCTAACCTTTCCTAATTTGTTTTCTGCATTGTCATGCCCGCCTTTGAGTGGTGTCTTCACTTTAACCTTTTTTGCATACTCACAAACCAATCAGCATGCACTCCCCATCCTGAGTCCATAAAAGGCCCGGACCCAGCCACATGAGGGACTTTCCCACCTTTGGGTAGGGGGACCACCCCCGTGTCCCCTCTCTGCTGAAAGCTGTTTCGTCGCTCAATAAGAGTCTTCTCCACCCTGCTCACCCTTCCATGTCCAGCATATCTTCATTCTTTCTGGGTGCAGTACAAGAGCTTGGGAACCACCAAACATGGGTACAAGCTATAACGCAGGCAAGCTGGGGCACACCAGCTTAGCCAAGCAGGGCCTGGGTGGGGTGTTGCTGGCCAGAAGTCCTCAGCTTGCAAAGTGATTGAGAAGAAAAATCCTACATCACTGTAACCTCGAACTCCTGAACTTAAGCGATCCTCCCACCTTAGCCTCCTGAATAGCTCAGACTACAAGCATATGCCATTGTGCTTGGCTAATTTTTAAATTTTTTGTAGAGATGGGGTCTTGCTGTGTTGCTCAGGCTGGTCTCAAACTCCTGGCTTCAAGCTCCTGCCTCGGCTTCCTAAAGTGTTGGGATGACAGGTGTGAACCACCATGCCTGCCCCCACCGCACGCCTGGCCCCCACCGCACGCCTGGCCCCCACTGCAGTCTTTGCAAATGCTCAGTGTTCTCTCCCCTCCTTGCCTGTGCTGCTGGGCAAGGACAGGCAGCTGTCCTTCTTGGTCCTCATCACAGCTCCTGAATTGTCCCTGAAGACCCACTAATTCTACTGTTCTTCTCTAATCCGTTTTCTCTCCTAATCTCCTAGAAGACTATGTAAGCTCCCTTCTCTGCTTGCATCTCCAATACTCTCTCCCCTATCCTTACTCTCAGCCAATACCTTTTCTTCCTATTTCTTTGAGAAAACTGGGACAAACAGAAAACTTCCACTGGATCCCAGCCCCCTGTCAACCCCCCTACCTGCACCTAAGCAGATTCTCTGCTGCCACGATGTCCAGGCCCCACCATTCTTAGCTGAGGCCAACTTTCTACTGAGGCATTAGATTCGGTGCGCCTGTAGGCAAGAGAACAATGCCACATCTCCCACATTGTTGGTTAACTCCTCTATGGGATCATCTCATTCTCATACCAACAAAAATGACATATTTAGCCCACATTTCCCTCCAGTTACCATCGTATTTCTCTCTTTTAAAGAGAAAGTCTGTGAGAGAATTGTTCCTACTTTTTATCACTAAGCCTTCTTGGCCCATTCTCCCCTGAACTCATTGAAATCATGCTTTTGTCTTTATACCTTGCTGAAAGTCATCTTGCCGACATCCCAAAAAAACCTCTACATGGCTAAATCCAAAGGTCAATGGAAGTCCTCGTGGCACCTGACCTATCAGCAGCCTTTGGCCCAGCTGCTCCTCTCTCTTCCTTAGCAGGCCATCTTTCCTGGCTTCTGAGATCCTTTCTCGCTTGGCTTTCATCCTCTCCCCCAGGCTGCTCCTGCCTGATTTCCTTTGCAGGCTCATCATTGTCCTAATCTCTAAATAAAAAGTTGGTCCTTGGACCTCTTCCTCTTCTTATCTACAATCACCCTGTTGGTGATCTTGGCCAGTCTCTTTTTCCTAAATGAGTTCTTTTGTAGTCTTCCCCACGCGTGGCCTCTGGCTACAGTCAATTGCAGGCAGATCACGTGGGTCTCTTGTTTCCATGTCAAGAGGGCCTCAGAAAGGTGACAGCCATGGGGAGGCTGCAATGCCCCACTGCCCCACCTGTGTCAGAAATGGCAATGACCCCCCTTCTCATCCTCCTGCAATGTCTCTACATTGTTCTCTACTGAGAAAGCATAACATCGTGCACACTTTGAAGGAGAAACGCTTAAAGAGATATATTGAAAGTGCATTCAGAGGTGAGGCAACTAGTTCATAACTTCCCAGGTGGCTAAAATTCAAGCTCAAATTTCAATCCTGTGATGTGCCCAATTATTGCATCACTTAGTTCATAGCACTGACTGGAAGAAATGAGACTTCAAGAATTGGGGGGCCAGACACGGTGGCTCATGCCTGTAATCCCAGCACTTTGGGAGTCGAGGCGGGCAGATCATCTGATATCGGGAGTTTAAGACCAGCCTGACCAACGTGGTGAAACTCCATCTCTACTAAAAATACAAAATTAGCCGGATATTGTGGCGCATGCCCGTAATCCCAGTGACTCGGGAGGCTGAGGCAGGAGAATCGCTTGAACTCGGGAGGCAGAGGTTGTGCTGAGCCGAGATCGCACCATGGCACTCCAGCCTGGGCAGCAAGAGCGAAACTCCATCTCAACAGCAACAGCAACAACAACAAAATGAATTGGGAAGGTTTCCATGATAAATGCCATGGAGCCTTCCTTACCAATGAAAAATGTTTCTCTTTCTCTGCCTGATGAGCCTGTTCCTGCCTAAGCTGAAAATCCTGTCACATCCTTGCCTGAAGGATACACCACACACCCCAGGTAAACCAGTTTTCTTCATGATCCACCCCCTCCCTGCCTCTAGACTTCAACTAGAGTCAGATCCCTACATGTCCTGGCAGGTGGGGCATGGGAAAACCTGAGAAGAAACGTAAAACACACCCCAAGTCTGCAAGATTCTGCTTGTTTGTGGTCACAATCTGGTGAATATACACAGGAATAGACTCTTGAGGTCCTAGACCAAGGACAGAAAGTTGAAGTGGAGTTTGGCTGACAGGGGTGTGCTTTCTAAAGATTTGGGTTTAGTCTACAAAGTCGAACAGCTGGAGAAAGTACTCACAGTTTGCTCAACTGGTAGTCCATGCAAAGTGAAGATGAGATACCAGAAATTAGTTCAATGTAATGGAAGACTTGGAGGAACAGGAATATTGGAATGGATTTCTTAATATATGACCTGCTCGCCTTCCTCCTGATGTGGAAGGACTCATCAGAGACCTCTTTTTCCAAGACCTTGAGAGGTGCATTGGTGAGGAAGAACCATCATCTCAATTACAGGAAAGTGCAGGAAGTGGTTTGAACCTTCAGTCCGAAGGTTAGAGTTAGGGAAACTTCTCAGTGCATGGCTGTATTAGTCCATCCTCACATTGCTGTAAATACCTGAGACTGGGTAATTTATAAAGAAAAGAGTCTTAATTGGCTCACGGTTTGCAGGCTGTACAGGAAGCATGGCTGGGGAGGCCTCAGGAAACTTACGGTTATGGCAGAAAGCAAAGGGGAAGCAGGCACGTCTTCACATTGCTACAACAGAAGGAAGAAGAGAGAAGGGGGAGATTCTACACTCTCTTAAACACCAGATCCTGTGAGAACTCACTCACTATCATGAGAAGAGCAAGGGAGAAATCCACCCTTACGATCCAGTCACCTTCCACCACACCCCACCTCCAACATTGGGGATTACAATTTAACACGCGATTTAGGTGGCAACACAAATCCAAACCTATCAATGGCACATGTCCATCATCTGTCTGCTGAAGGAGGAAGCAAGAGGAAGCTGTGTAGTGCCCCCTACCTAACAAAACCATAAATGCAATTAATACAATGTCTCCAGAGGAATCCCAAGGATTAGGGCCACCAGCAAAGGCTGTAAGGATGCAGAAGTGGTAATTTTGATGATCTCCAAATGCTACCTAAGGTAGATGGGTCTCATAGAATGTCAGTGGTTCATTGTAAACTTAAGTGATTCCGATTACAGAAGCTGTTCCCAATGTGGCCCGAATGCTCATCTTCCCAGCAGTAGTGGCAAACCCTGGTCTCTGGATGTGCTGGCAGAGCCCAGAGGTTCAAATTATTCACTTGGTGGCAAGTTGATTGTAGTGAATGCCTTATATGCTTGAGAAGGCAGCAATCTGGCTTTTGTGGAATACAGTAGATGCTTATTCTGGAGAATGGCTGGAGAGGAAACCAATACATACCCACTCTAACCTCATGATCTATTACTACAATGAGCACTGTACCTGTCTGTATTTTCTTACTGGCTTTGCTAATTTATTTCATATTCTGCCCACCCCATTACTTTCTATGTGTGTATTTTGAGTGAACGTTATGATTTATTCCATAGAAAACAGAATTTCAAGGTGGCACATGTGTCAGGAATTAGAGCAGGAGGCTGGACTTGGAGCTGGATGGTCACTGGTGAGACTTGGGGTTCTATCCCTGTGGAGTTAGGGTGGGGTTAGGGGGAGGCTTTTTGCTTGTGTGAGGAATGGTTGCATTCTGCTAGATTCTACATTTGTATGTTTGGCATCCACTATATGCACGGCCAAACTAACAGCCAACTTTGTTACATCTCCCCTGCAATCAGCTTTTGCAGGTGCACTACAGTTATAGTACAAGCCCTCTGCCTAATCTTGACTCAGTATCCCCAACAGCACCATTTGTCTAACTCTCACACACCGAGCCAGTATTCCTCCTGCCACAAATCACCTCAGAGCTAGGTACTGGGCAATTAGAGACCATCCCTATAGCTCAGAGCCCACCAAGATTATTCCAACTATCTCATCGCAAGCTGCTTCCTTGCACTGCCCTGGTTTTCCCGGGGAAACCTCATAAAGGCTCGGGGCCAGGCTTCCCACATTGTGCCCTCCACCTCCTGACACTCCCTGGTGCTGCTCTGTGTGGCCCTGCGGGAATGTGCCACCCCTCCTGTTTCTAGGGATCTGTGAGTATAAACTCCTTCCTTTATGACAGTCACTTCTGTGTCTGCATGTCTTACCAAACCTGATTAAAACAAATTCTGGGTGAAAATTTTAGGACAATTAGATGTAAACATTTTTTTTCAAAGTGTGATGATGGAAAGTCGAGTGTGCACTGATGTTAGGAGCCAAAGAGCTAGATTTCGTGTGGCGGGGAGGGGGGTGCTTTCCAGCATTGAAACAACTTTCAAATATTTCAGGAATGTCCCCCCTCTTGAAGTGGGCAGAGCCCACCTTCCACATAGAAGCTCAAAACCCCAGATTCCTGCTTCCTTGGCCTTCCTGGCATCTGGTTTGGGAGCACATGCTTTAATCAGATGCATCTGTTTCGACCTTTGTATGCAGAGCTAGTGACACAAAGGAGCAGGGCTGGAGGAGAATTAACTGTGGCAGCGGTGGCAGCAGCAGGGATGGCTGCTTCCAGGGACAGCGGTGACAGCGGCACCCATGACGGTGCCAGGTTCACATGCAGCTCTGTAGCAGCAGGACCCACCATGCTGGCCGCGGGGCAGAGGCTTCCCTCTTCTCCCTGCTCTCCAAGCAGCCCCTCCAGATTTCTAGGTGCTTCTGTGAACCACCCGTTGTTCCTCAATAAAACCATTCTCCACTTAAAGTAATTGGTAGGTTTTTATTGCTTGCAACCAAGAATCCTGATGGATACAAGCTGTGATTTTCTTTTCTTTTCTTTCCTTTCCTTTCCTTTCTTTTCTTTTTTCTTATTTCTTCCCTCCTTCCCTTCCTTCCTTCCTTCAGTCTCCAAATGAAAAATGTATACATCTAACTTTATATATATGTAAATATGGTAAAATATTAACATTTATTAATTATGAATAGTGGAAATATGAGTGTTTATGGTTTTTTGGTATTTTATGTCTTTTAATTCTCTCAAAAGATGATTCTAGCAATCGCATGCACATGTGTACACACAATGCACGTGTGTGTTTGTGTTTATTTGTGCTAATTGACTCCTCATAGTAAACCTATGAGGCAGGAGCCATTGTTCACATCCTCTTTTTACATCTGAGGAAACTGAGGCATAGGAAGCTGAAGAGGCCTGTCCAGGATTATGCAGCTGTTCAAGAGCAGAGCTAGAAATTCAGCCTCAGCAGTCTGTGGCCGGGTCATGTCCAGGGCCTTTGCTTTTAACAAAATAAGGGAGATGAGCTAGCAAGTAGCTTGAGGGAAAGGCCGAAAGCAGAGTGTTTTTAGGGTGGAGGATGAGCTTCTTTAGGGGCTGAAGGGAAGGAACGAGTGGGGCAGAGAGGGAGGATCTGAGAAAGCCCAGGCTGTTAATAGATGGGGTGATGTCAAGATCACAGTGGGCCAGGATTCGCCATGCACAGGAGGAGACAGGAGTACTCATCTGATACTAGAGAAAAGGAGGCTTCACCGGAAAATCAAAGGCAAGGTCACCTGCAAGGAGGCTGACGGGGTGACAGAGAAGCAGCCACACCGGGTGGCCGCGCAAGTGACCGGTGGTCCTCTAGGGTGGTGGGGGGAGGGGTCTCACAGGGGAGGAGGGCAAGGAGAGAACCGTGGGCTGGCTGGCAGCTCTGTCCTTACTCCAATTTTTCCGATGCTATTTACTGACTTAGAAGGTAAATACATTCCAAGGTTCTTCAAGTTCTTTACAGCTGGGCTTGTTCCAAGGCTGGAATTTGTGAAGTGGATTCACATACAGTGAAGCTGTATTGACAGACAGACCCAGGACCCAGGACCCAGAACCTGTGGGTGCACTCAGGGGCCCCAGGCAGTGATCCTGGAGCCCAGGGGTCCAGAGAGCAGGGAAGGGAGCATCGTGGTGACTGGACAGAGCTGCATCTGTCCCCACCGGACATAGGCTGGAGAGTCACAGGCTCCTCCTCCTTCCCCTCCAGAGAGGCTGTGTGTGTGTGTGTGTGTGTGTATGTGTGTGTGTGTGTGAGAGAGAGAGAGAACAGCGTGAGCCTGTGTGCTTGTGTGCTGAGCCCTCATCCCCTCCTGGGGCCAGGCTTGGGTTTCACCTGCAGAATCGCTTGTGCTGGGCTGCCTGGGCTGTCCTCAGTGGCACCTGCATGAAGCCGTTCTGGCTGCCAGAGCTGGACAGCCCCAGGAAAACCCACCTCTCTGCAGAGCTTGCCCAGCTGTCCCCGGGAAGCCAAATGCCTCTCATGTAAGTCTTCTGCTCGACGGGGTGTCTCCTAAACCCTCACTCTTCAGCCTCTGTTTGACCATGAAATGAAGTGACTGAGCTCTATTCTGTACCTGCCACTCTATTTCTGGGGTGACTTTTGTCAGCTGCCCAGAATCTCCAAGCCAGGCTGGTTCTCTGCATCCTTTCAATGACCTGTTTTCTTCTGTAACCACAGGTAAGAAAGGTACCCAAGGCTTATGTTGAGGGCGGCATGCATGTGGAGAGCTTGTGGATATGGGGTCAAAGAAATACTAGCAGTTTCTGGGTACTCAGGAGGGGGTTATGTCTGAATGCTGGATGTCACCTGCTCCTAGAAATATTTTAGTCTCCTGGTTGTCCCTGCTGGAGCTGTCCACAGCCAGGTGACGATGAACACCTCCTGGCTAGGATGGCTAGCCCAGTCTCAGGAATAGTGGCTTTGTTACACTGTATCTGCTCCTATGTCTTTACTACTGCTGTCCATTCTTTTGTTCATTTATTTACTCATTCTGTAAATTGTCTATGTCCTTTAAAAGGGCTAAAAGACAGCAATGCTATTTACTGACTTAGAAGGTAAATACCTTCCAAGGTTCTTCAAGTTCTTTACAGCTGGGCTTGTTCCAAGGCTGGCATTTGTGAAGTGGATTCCTCCATCAGCTGGTGTGGTTGTTCAGATGACCTTCAAGATCCCACCCAACCTTGAGTGTTAAACTTCTGTGATTGAGCAAAACAGATATAAAAGCTAGAATTACACTCTCTAGCCCCTAAGCACCTTGAGTGCATTTATTTGGAAGAAGAAATCATACTGGTTTCTCTAATGGAGGGGCTTCTTTGGGAGTGTAATGTTGCCAGTTGTGAAAAAGCTGAGACCTGTATGCTTGGGGAGGTTCTGGACAGCAGAAAGGAACCAGGTGGGATGGAAGCAGCCTTTTGGGAGAAGGAAATGTTAGTAAAAAGAGGAGAATGTGGACTGGTGGGTGAGAAGTTGAAAACAGAATTAGTAGAACCATGGACAGGGAAGTGAGCTCAAATCACCTTGACCTCCACGGAACCAGGATTCAGGCAGGCTAGAGATGCTGCAGTGAGTGTGGGGGTGGGGTGGGGGTGGCCTGGAACTGGTGTACGTGAGCAGCGACACAAGCCCAGTGGGGACACTGATGTCCGAGCACTTTACGTATGCAATCTCTTTTACATAGGCTTCTCTGTGTACCCCATTCACCCAGACCCACTTTACAATTAGGGACCTCATCCCACTCTCTCCCCTTCCCCAAATCTGCCAATCCAGCCACTTAGAGGGTCAAAGTGTGCAGCTCTTTTTTTTTTGACATCTTCCTAACCAGAGGTGGAAGTTCCCTCTAATTACTGTCAATCACCTGGAACAATTCCTCCTTTGGTTTCCAGTGACAAATTAAATGAAATGATATAGTGGGCTTATCACAGGGGATGCAGGTTTGAGGCATCTTGCTGGGAATACATCCTCTAGAGTCACTGCATCTTATTTGCACATTCTTCTGGGGGTTCCCGGGTGGCTCTCCTTGGATCTCTAAATGATGCAATGTTAGCATGCTTGGATTCCTATTCTCACTAATGGAGAAAAAAAAATCTCCTTTTTAAAAAATGCACTTGGTTAAAAGGTGAAACAGATGATAGCTTTGGAATTTGCAACTATGATATTGGTTGGCTGGATGAGAAAGTGAATCTGCACTAGAGGAACCTGCTAGAATCTGGGATCCAGGTGGGCCTAGCTTTGGGGTGAGGTGCCTGTCCCCTCTCCTCACTTGTCCTCAACAGACCTCAGTCCTGATGGTGGCTTAGCAATGACAGACACAGTGCTAGGGTCTACGGAACACAGGTGAGTACTGGCTGAATTGCTAATACGAAATCGCCCCCCTAGTTAACACCACGTTATAATTTATCGCATTCTAGTTTCGAAGCTAAAGATCTTAGCTTGAATCTCAGCTTTATCACTTTTTATCTATATGGCTTTGGTCAACTTCTCTGAACATCAGTTTTTTTTTTTTTTTACTTACATGAAAGGGATAATTATATCTCTTCCCCACACCCTCCTAGGGGTCACGTGAGGCCCAAATAGGTGAAAGCTGCAAAAGTACCTTGTAAACCTGAAAACAACATAAATGCACAGTGTTCTTAGGAAGACGTTTTAGGAATTAACATCAAGGGGGATTCTGAAATCCTCGTTCCCTGCCCCAAATCAGCCCTGTGTTCTAATATCTAGTAAAAACTTCACGCCTGTATGAAAGTAGACATAAGCAATGGAATTTCACAACTCTTTTTTATTTTAACTAGCAAATGAAACTTCTAGATGGCACTGAGCCACAGGTAAATGGGGAAGGGTGTGGGATCTTTGAGGATCCTAAATCCTCCAGGTAGAAAGGATGAAAGAGACAAGAGACAAGGAACCAGAAAGGCAGCTTTGTGATTGTCAGGTGTTTGAATGATTGCGGAGAGCAGAGAAAAAAACTTCACCTGCTCTGCAGTTTCCCCTGGGTATTAACGAGATTTAATCTCGGATAACAACACTAGGGTCTCTAAACTCAACTCAACACAACTCAAGCATCTCTCAGATGCTTATGCAGATTCAGACTCGAGGAAAAGCTTCCCAATGTGGAGAGTTGTAAAAAGCCTGGAAAGGATGCCTCAGGGAACTTGGGGCCTCCCTGGATGGCTTTGGAAGCAATGGGGCTAAATGAATAAAGTCATGCCCCACATTAGGGGTGGACGAGTGGATGAGACTCTAGCATTTTCCTTCCTTTTGGTTCTTCTCTACTCAAGCTCACTCAGTTCCCTGTTCCTAGTGCCTGGCACACTGTTGGCCCTGATGAAGAATGAGGTAGTACATTCTCTTACAGTCCAAGCATGAAACAACAACAACAACAAAATGAATGAGGTAGTGGAAAGATAAACAAAGAAAAGGATAAACAATCACACTATGAATGCAAATGTTTGATGCAGTGCTGCTCCCCAAATTAAGTGAGAAGCCTTAGTCTCCTTCCTCAGGCTCTTGGAGCCCTCCTCCTGCCCTGGGTACCTTTTGCAGGTAGCTCTGAACACCTGGAACCCACAAAGTAAGCTGGGGCTGTGCTTGGGGCTGGAGGGAAGAGGTGAATAAGATACAGTGGTCACCCTTAAGGAGTGACCTCACGACAGGAAGTTCCACTTTTCTCTGAAAGTCCCATTTGACCTTTCAGATCAATGTAGCGATCCCATTTCCTAGGCCTCAGCCCTAAGGTGATTCCAGATGAACACAGCTGACCTTTAAAAAGACTATTTTTGTGGTAAAATATACATAACATAATTTACCATAATAATGTAACCATTATTAACTGTATATAGTTCATCGTGTTAAGAACATTCACATTGTTGTGTAGACATCACCACTGTCCATCTGTAGATTTTTTTCATCATCCCAAATGAAACTCCGTACCCATTGAACAATAACTCCTCACTCCCCTCCCCCTAGCTCCTGGCACCCACCATTCTACTTTCTGTCTCTATGAATTTGACTATTCTAGGAACATCCTATAAAAGGAATCATAATGTCTTTGTCTTTTTGTAACTGGCTTATTTTACATAGCATAATGCCCTCAAGTTTCATCCACGTTGTAGCATGGGTCAGAATTTCTGTCCTTTTTAAGGACAAATAATATTCCACTGTATGGATAGACCACATTTGTTCAACCATTCATCTGTCGCTGGATACCGGAGTTGCTTCCACTTTTTACACAGCTGATTGATGAACTGCACTGCATTCTGATGGAAGAGTGGAGTCAAATCTACACAGTTTGGGTGAGCTCCTGCTGCTGTGAGATGAGGGGAGGGCTTGTAAAACACATCACAGGTATTGCTGCCTGCTTGAAAATTATTTTTATATTAAGTGACCGATACATGTTGATAGTGGGAAATTTGGAAAATGCAGAAAACTGTCAAAAAGAATAATAATCACCTCTAATTCCTGCGCCCAGAGATAACACAGGTGATCTATTTGTATGCAGAAAAGAGATTAAAAGAGAAAAGAGCAAGATGGTAAAGCTGTCTCTGGAAATCAGTTAGCTGTGCTGTTTCCTTTGCAATGGTCTGCTTTGGGGAAGTCCCCTGGGGACAAGTCCCTGCACCTTCGAGGGCCAGAGATCCCAGACCTTGCCACTGCGGTTCACCTGAGCCACAGAAGCTGCTGATGCCCAGGCTGGGGTGGGTGCTGTACAAACATTCTGCATAATTTGCAGGGCGATGTGAGTTTACACATTATATAAAGCTGCACTCCTGAACGAGAGCTCTTGACAGTTATGCTGCAGGGTTTGCTGTGTGAACAGAGCAGCTCCAGTGGGGCTGTGTGTACCAGGCCTATCTGTGGAGAAGCTTCCCACTGCCAGGACTCCCTGCTTCTCCCCCTGGAGGCACCATTCTGGGAGAGCTTTGGGATGCTCTCTCGGGCAGTTCATTCCATACATATACTGGGAACCGCCAACCTTTTGCACCTGCCAGCTGGGGATTTTCAGAGCCAGGAAGGAACCGGGAACCTCTAAGAGCTGGGACAAAGGGAGGAATCCCAGGGCAGGATGGGGTGTAGGGTGGCATGGAGGATAAGGGCAGCTCATGGACAGGGGCAATATTCTCCCAAGGGAACAGAAGAAAAATGTAATCCTCTATTTTCAACAAGTCTTTGAATTGAAACCTTCTGGGGAAATTGATGCAGGCAGGCCCTTTTCCCCTAAAACACTCTGGTGTCTGTGCTGTAGTCAGTATATGCCAGCAATTCCAACACATTGAAATTCACATCAAATCCTTCCCACATTCCTCTTCTCCTACTTGACCCAAACTGTCATTGTGCAATGCCACTGTGGGTCATGGGCCCTGACAACCATAAGAGCAACCTGTTCCCTGACCAGCCCTCTGCAGTTCCCCGGGGACTTTCATGGGCACAAGTGATCCCGTTTGCTCCCGTCACTCCTCCCACAGGGCAGAAAGTGTCCAATCTTTATCTTAAGACAAAATCCCAGGGGGATTGAGTGACCTTTCACAGATCATCACCAGCCAGTGGTGGGGCCAGGACTCAAAGCGACATTTGCCAGTGCCAGCCCTGCTCTCATCTCCTGCCAGGAGGTTAGGATGGGCCGGTGCAACCGACCCTGGGAGAGATGGAGGATTAGTGATGCTGGAAACACTGTTGAGAGTCTGTGTCAGAGTGGACGGGGGGGATGAGAATGACTAGATAGAAGTGGTTTCACAACTTCATGAATAATAATTCTGATTCTCTCATACCCGGTGGTTTACTTTTATTTTTATTTTCTTTTTGAGATGGGATCTTGCTTGTTGTCCAGGCTGGAGTGCAGTGGCAAGATCATAGCCCATTGCAGCCTTGACTTCCCCAGGCTCACACGACCCTCCCTTCTTGGCCTTCCCAGTAGCTGAGATCACAGGCACGCACCACTATGCCCAGCTAATTTTTGAATTTTTTGTAGAGACGGCGGGGGGGGTCTCACTATGTTGCCCAGGCTGGTTTTGAACTGCTGAGCTCAAACACTCCTTCCATCTTGGCCTCCAAAAGAGCTGGAATTACAGGCATGAGCTACTGTACCCAGCCCTTGGTTTATATTTTTAAAGCCACTTTTACCCTTATTCTTTCTTGAAAAGTTGTGGCTAAATACACATAACATAAAATTGATCGTTATTGGCATTTAGTACAATTCGAACAGTGTGCAGCCGTCACCACTATCTAGTTCCAGAACATTCTCACCCTTCCAAAGGAAATCCTGCACCCACTAGCTGTACCGAGAGCCTTTGTTATCTCCCTAGGCCACATACACGATGTGTCCCGGAACATGAGGCCATGCTCTTCTCTCCATAAGGGGGGCTGTTTCAAAAAATGCTAATTTGAATGTGTAAGCTTTTAAGGCAATAATGTTATTTTAGTGATATATATATATATTTTTTAAATCAAATACTCTATAAAATAATATTTTAAAATACTGCTTTTCCCAATTTTCTCAATTATGAAACATTCATTTCATATGAAACATTATATTTACCCCATCTTTGACATCTGTGTCCTTCTGGTCACTAGAACCCTTTGTGTATTGATTCTCCATGTTTGGCAAATATCACTGTCACCACAGTCAAGAGGGGTAGCTGCTGCTTCTTAATCCATGAGGTGTTTGTTTATTTTTTAATAATAACTTTTTTTGAGATAAATTCAAATATCATAAAATTCCCCCATTTAAAGTGTGCAATTCGGTGAATTTTAGTATATTCACACATCTGTGTAACATCACACCGTCTAGTTCCAGAGATCTCTTATCCCCTCTAAGGGAAACTCAGTGATCATTAAGCAGTCACTTCCCATCCCTCCTTCCCGCTGCCCCTGCAACCACTAATCTACGTTCTGTTTCTATAGATTTGCCTATTCTGCATATTCCATATCAGTAGGATCATACAATGTGTAGGAAAAACCACAAACTGTTTTTCTCTGCTCTCACCCCACAACAATCAACACGGAAGACTTCTGTGACCCCCCAAAGATGTGGGGATTTCTCCTCACCCGCAAGCAAGCTGTCAATTCTGCAGCAGAGATCAGCTGGGTGCCTTCTAATTCAATTCAGACACCATCCATCTGGAGACAGCTCAGATCCCACACGTCGAGGGCTCAGTCCCCAACACTGCCCCCCAATGTCAATGCCGATCACAAGTCCTAGGTTGTTTTACCTGTGCTTCTAACCCACTGGCTATAAATTGGGGTTCCCATGACCCCCTCCCTGGGTTCAACTAACTTGCTAGAGTGGCTCACAGAATTCAGGGAAACACTGGTTTACTAGCTTATAAGAGATAGTGTAAGATACAGGTGATGAGATGCATACGGCAAGGTTTGGGAAGGGGCACGGAGCTTCCATGCCCTCGCTGGGCTCATCACCCCTCAGGAACCTCCAATGTTCTGCTATTTAGAAGCTCTTCAAAACCTGTCCTTTCGGGGTTTTATGGAGGCCTCATTATGCAGCACGATTGATTAATCCAGTGGCCATTGGCGATCAACTTAACCTTTATCTCCTCTCCTGTCCCTGGAGGTTTGAGGGGTGGGGCTGAAAGCCCCAACCCTTTAAAGCCTGCCTTTGTCTTCCTGTGACCAGCCCCATCCTGCAGCTGCCTAGGGGCTGCCAGCCACCAGTCATGCAAAAAGATATCATTTTGGAGATTCCCAGTATCTTAGGAGTTGTATTCCAGGAGATAGGATTGAAGACCAAATATATTTTTTACAATATCACCTTCAGTATGTGGCTTTTTGCCACTGGCTTCTGGTACTTTGCACAATGCTTTCTAGGTTCCTCCATGCTGTAGCAAGCGTCAGCACCTCAGTCCTTTTTATGGTGGCATCATGTTCCGTTGTAAGGATTTACTGCCTTTTGTCCATCCATTCATCAGCTGATGGACATTTGTTTGGACAAAAGGCTGTTTCCACTCTTTGGATCTTGTGAATAGTACCCTGATCCTTTTATTGACCACTCTTTGCAGTATGATTATCCCCATTTTATAGATGACCACTGAGGCAAAGCAATGGGGACCTCAGTCCCATCCTGTGCCCTCCTTTGCCCAGTAGGTCAGGGCTGGTCTTAGGGCAGAGTCGCTGGCTGACTCTGGAGAAAGAGGAAGAGGCTGATTCCTCAATAAGCCAGGGAGAGCCCAGGAGCACTTAACTGCTGAGAGGCCTGCTGAGGGCCTTTTGCTCTCATTTCATGCCTGTGTGGAGCATGAGAAACAGAAATATGCCTATGTCAAGGATGCATGACCCTAAGAGCCCTTTCTTGGGCTTGCTCAGGTTCGGTGGTGAGAGGAAGCCTCGCAGAATCCAGCAGAATCCTCACAGAATCCAGCAGCAGCTCTGCTGGGGACATGGTCCATGGTGCAACCCACAGCAAAGCCCTGACCTGACCTCCTGATGCTCAGGAGAAGCCATGGGCCCCTCCTGTCCTGTGTTCCTGTCCTTCACAAAGCTCAGCCTGTGGTGGCTCCTTCTGACCCCAGCAGGTGAGTGTTTGTCACCTGTCATTGTAAGACTTCATCTCATGCCTGTGGGCTCACAAATTGTAGGAAGGAGTCTGCAGGTGGATGTGTTGCAACCGTCAAAGCTGCAGGGGACTTCAGAGGCCATCAGCCAGGTGGCTGTTTCCACTGGCAGAGGTGGAGGGGCAGTCACAGCTCTGACGTTAGCATCTGTGTCACCTTAAATGTCCCCAAGCTTCAATGTCCTCAGCTGCAAAACGCAAATAGTGTTGTGTACCTCCCAGGCCTATTGTGAGGATTAAACGCAAGTTTGTGACCAGAATCTGGGATACAGGAGGCACTCGGGACACAGCGCTTTCTGTCCCAGATGGTGCTGACACGTTTTTCTGGGATTTGGAGCTGTAGTTCTCGACTCGCTCGGACAGCAGAGCCCTGAAGGGGTGAAGCTGTTTGCTGAACACAGTGAAAACTGACATGAGCGATGCCATAGAAACATTTTGAAAAGTTTTGTTTATCTGATAGGAAGTGGCAAATGCCCATGGTTTAAGAAAAAATTGGGGAGGTTCCCAAAGCGGTCCATTTCCCTGTTAGCATTAATGGTTCATCGGACAAGTGGGTGGGAACGGGAGACTGCTTACCCTGGCCAGGCTTACTGCAATGCCAGAGCCCTTCTCCCTGCAGCCCCGCCACGTAGACCAGGCGTCTCTTCCACTTCCCTGTCCACCTGGCACTCCTCCATATGGGGCTGAATCTTGTCTCTAGATTCGTTTCCCCTCTTCCCTGCCTCTGCCCCTGCCCCTCGCCACCTGCAGCACTAGTTCTCACTCTTTTCTTCTCTAACATCACAAAACAGCTGACCTTTCCTGAGCTCCGACCCCGCAGCCTGCTCATGCTGTGCTCAGCTCTGATAGACATTATCATCTGCCATCTTCAACAATGTTTTGAGATAGGTTCTGGATAAGCATCTCCATTTTACAGATGAGCAAACTGAGGCTCAGTGAGGCTGAGTGGCTCTGATTTGATGGCAGGTGGAGAGGAAGCTAAGCGCCCACCTCCCAGGGCTCCTGGAGACCCACTCTCCTCTCCCAGTCCCACGGCATTGCCGCAGGGAGGCTCGCATACCGAGACTGAGGACCGGCTCTTCAAACACCTCTTCCGGGGCTACAACCGCTGGGCGCGCCCGGTGCCCAACACTTCAGACGTGGTGATTGTGCGCTTTGGACTGTCCATCGCTCAGCTCATCGATGTGGTGCGCCTGTCTTCCCACCGCTGGCCCGAGGAAGGAGATCCCAGACCACCCACCGCTTTCCCCCTGCTCCTTCCTCTACCCCAGCCCTGCCCTCACGCACAGCAGTGACTTGGGGTGGGGTTGGGGATGGCTCTTCCCAGGGCGGCTACGCTCTCCCCTCTCCCAGCTCTGGAGCTCCCTCCTAGGAGGGCATTGATTGGCAGCAGTGCCTGTGTGACCCTGGAGAATCTGAGTAAGGGTGGCAGGTTTCAGAGTGGGTGGCGGGCGGGCTGGGCTTGGGGTGTCCTATCAGAGGGTCTGAAAACAGCCCATCCCACTCCACCCTGTCTTCTGGGGCTGGGCCCACCCCTTTAATTGCTCCTCTGTCTCTCTCTGGGCCAGGATGAGAAGAACCAAATGATGACCACCAACGTCTGGCTAAAACAGGTGAGGGCCCCCCTCCTCCAGTCCAGGTGGCGGGTACCGGGAATCCATGGACCCCAGACCCCTCCAGGACTTCTTCGCTAGTGAAAGACCAAGGAACAGCAAGACCCTGAACTTAGTTTACCAAGCAGATGCCATGTGGGATGTTCCCAAAGCTGACTTTTTCCACAGGGCCTGTGCTCTTTGTGGCTAGACTGGAGTCTAGTGCCTGAGAACATAGCCTCAGGCACTAGAAAGCCAAGTGGTGCTTTCCTGGGAACAGGCATCTGTTCATCCCTGCTACTTCGGAATCCTCCCCAAAGCCCCACGGGGGGTTCATTCTGCCCATTTTACAGCTCAGGAGATCACGAAGCAGAGAGAAGCTGGGCTGGAAAAGGGGGCCCAGCTGTGCCTGACTCCGAGTCCCAGGCTCCTTCTATGGGAGAACGCTGAGTGCTTAATACCTATACTGCCACCCAAATAACCCCAAACTTAGAGGCTCACAGCAGCTCCCAGCTCACTGTATCTCATGGCTTTATGGCCAGGAGTTTGGGTGGTTTCTTCTGCTTCACATGGTGACCACTAGGGTTACTTTGTGATATTTGAGTGAGGGTTCATCTGGTCTGGAGGGTCTGAGACAGCTTAATTCACACATCTGTCCCTTAGCAGGGATGTCTGGAAGGCTCTGGAAGGTGCTGGAAGGTTCTGGAAGGCTGGACTCAGATGGGCCCTTCGCCCCCTTCAGGCATCCTCAGAGTCTCTCCAGCAGGGGAGTCAGACATCCTGCCTGGTGGTTCAGGGATTCCAGAGTGAGAGTCCCAAGAGACAGGGAGTAAAAGAAACTGGGCCAGCATTGATCTTGTTGTATACTACTGGTCCAGACAGTCATAGAGCCCAGTTAGACTCAGGAAAGGGCGCACAGATCCCGCTTAGGTCGGAGGCTTCCCTCCCTCTGATGCTGTAACCCAGGAGCTATCAGGGGGTCACTCATCTCATCTTTACAGATGTGACAGCTGAGGGCCAGAGGGAAGCAGGAACTTGGAAGCTACCCAGTCATGCGGTGTATGTGTGCAGGGAGGCAGGCCTAGAACCTGGGCTGCCACAGTTGTCCCCATGGGCTGGTCACCTGGGCTTCAGGGTTGGGGTGGCAGGGCAAGGAAGGAGTACTGGAGTTTGAGGCCAGTCAGCAATGCCTCTGATTAGCTTGTGATACTGGATGAGCTACGTAACCTCTCAGAGCCTCAGTTTCCTCATTTGCAAAATGAGGATAACACAACCTACTGCCACATGCCTGGGAGGATTAATGTACCACAATTTGGTGTGGGTGCCTCAAAATGTTGGTTGGACCTGAAAACTTGACAGATGGACTACGGAGATAATACGAACCTGATGGAGGCAGGGGGACTGATTTGGACCTGCGTCGGTGGAGGCAGGGGTGGGGGCCAGACATCCCGTCTCTGGTGGGACTCCTGTGGGGCACTTGAGAGTGCAGTTTGAAGGTCCCCGGGTAACACCCCTGCCTCACTGTATGCCTCTGGCTGGTTGATTTTCCTGTCTCTGGGTCCTCAGTTTGCTCATCTGCTAAATGGGGAGATACTTTCACCTGCTCTGCATTCCCCGCTTGGCTCTCCCGTGGAGGCTTTTCCTAGATGGAGAGCATAAAACAAACCATAAACTGTGATGCCCTAAAAATGAGAGATTTCACTAGAGATGAGTGAGGTGGCCCACCAAGGTCGTCCAGCCAGGGATTGGCAGAGCGAGGACTAGAGGCAGGACAAGGGTGAACTTCATGTGCCCGGGACCTTGACTACTAAAGTCCAGGCAAAGCGAGAAGGTTGGTTACTTGCTCAGAGCCCGTTCCCAGCACCGCAGCTCCCTCCACTATTCTGGGCTGGGTGGGGAGCCCTGGCTGCTCCAAGGGGGCTGCTTGGCCCAATTCTGGGCATCCCCGGGGTGTGCTAGCTTTGCCCTAGGCTGCTCCCTGGAAGCGAGGTTGACACAACTCCTTCCCCACACACAGGAGTGGAGCGACTACAAACTGCGCTGGAACCCCACTGATTTTGGCAACATCACATCTCTCAGGGTCCCTTCTGAGATGATCTGGATCCCCGACATTGTTCTCTACAACAAGTAGGAAGCCATTGGGGTCCTGGGGGGATGAGGGGAGGCCAACTTGCAGGGGCCGGGTCCATGGCCTTGGGAGGGGCCCCCCTGGTGTCAGCTTCCTCGCCTCCTTCTCGACTGCTGTGCTGAGCATGCCTCCCCTACCTCTCTCTCTATTCCTTCATTTCTTTCCTTTTGTTCTCACTCTACACCAAAATGAATGGCAGCTGAGCACCTTTTAGGTATCAGTGCCTGGCACTGTGCTAGAGGGACAGAGATTTGTCCATACTGAGTATTCTTTGAAAAATTTGGTGCAGGCTCAAAAAACAATACCTTGGGGTTGAAGTTGTGAGGGGTGGCAGTGTTGTTCAGACAGGCAGGCAGCATCGGGCCAGCACCTTCAAAGGGCATGTGCTCACTTGGTATGCAGTTTCCTTTTTCCCAATCATGTTGTTTTGTAGTTGTCTTCAAGACTAAAAAGGAGTAATCTTTGACCACAATGACAAGAAGTTAATAGAAGGCAGAGGAGTCTAAAGAGAGCCCCAGGGGACAAAAATAAATCAATAAAAAATATTTTGATGGAATAAATAGACATCTATAATTTCATTTCTGTGTTTGGTATCAGACAATTCTTCCCTTAGAAGTAAAGAAGTTAAAATGAAAAGATATTTGGTGTTATGTTCATCTAAAAAGGTTTTCTAAGGTGGGGCTGTAAGGAGCATGGCTTCTTTGAGTTATAAATAGGTATGAAAAAGGGTTCTGTGGTCAAGTAATTTTGGATAACATTGTATGTCACAACACCCACCCCCATCCCCACCCAAGTCCTTTGGAAAATGGCAGAGCACAATAGCATTTTAAAAAATGTTATTTGAAGTTCTGCAGCAAAGACACCCACCTAGCCCAGCATTTCCCAATTCATTTGATCCTACTTTGGAAATGCTATCTTTAAAGAAAGAAATAAAAGGAAAAACAACCCATTTCTGGATTTTGTGTCTTCAGATGGGTCAGATTTTTTTTTTTACACCGTCCAGTTCTGGTCAGAACTACGCCCTTGCACCTAAGCCATTTTGGGGAACACGTGTTCATCCTGGGTTCTTACACTGGCCGCTCTCACACAGCAGGTGCCTAGTGTTTGCAGCTGCTGCAGGACTCATGAACTCCCCACCCTGTCGTATCTCTGTGCCCCATAGCTGGCACCCAGGGTCCTTCTAGTTTCCACTTCCTGTACATGTGGCAGAGGTCAGGAGCAAAGTCCTACATCAAATATGACTTCGAGTTTGACAATTATCCAATAAGACTTCAGCCGGTGTTACCTGATTTATTACAAGAAATGTTGGTGGGGGACAAAATTCCAAGCCGAAGTCTTGCTTACATTTAGAGATGGATCCCCTCCACCCAGATACCCCACTCAAGGTTAAGAGGAAGGCATCTTAGAGTTTGCAAGGTTCCTTCCCCCAAGTGAGCACATGTTGCCATCTAGTGGTCATTGTTTGTGATAAACAAAATGCTTAAAAATTTTTTGTTTTTGCCTGGGCGCGGTGGCTCACACCTGTAATCCCAGTACTCTGGGAGGCCGAGGCCGGCGGATCAGGAGGTCAAGAGATTGAGACCATCCTGGCCAACATGGTGAAACCCTGTCTCTACTAAAAATACAAAAATTAGCCGGGTGTGGTGGTGGCACCTGTAGTCCCAGCTACTTGGGAGGCTGAGGCAGGAGAATTGCTTGAACCTGGGAGGCAGAGGTTGTAGTGAGCCGAGATCACACCCCTGCACTCCAGCCCGATAACAGAGTGAGATTCCGCCTCAAAAAAAAATTTTTTTTAACTTTTGTCTCAATGTATTTGTTACTCCCTTTCAAAGTTCCTATTTCCAGCCTGCCCATATCTCTACCATGGAACTACTCCATGGGGGAAAAAAGCCCCCTGTTCCCAAGTACTCTTCTGATTTCTTGGATTTTAGGATTGACTGTGGGAATTAGAAGGGGAGGGAGGATGGTTAAAGACTAGAGCAGGAGCCCACCGAGCCACCTCCTGGTGGAATCAGGGGCTGAGGCTTCCAGGAAGTGCTACCTGACTGGTCACCACTATTCCAGTGTCCCCAGACTCCTTGTGGGTCCTTGAATGCCTAGTCCCACGATACCCCTGATTCACACTCTCTGTCCCTGTGTGACCCTCTACTGGAAGGCTCTCTGCCCATTTCTCAGCCAAATCCTACCATCAGTCAAGGCCTTTTGCAAACGGCAGGCTTATCGATGACCCTGCTCACCTCCCAGAAGGGAGTTTTCCCCCAAAGGGTCTGGGGAGCACCCAGACTGCCCTCTTAGTGTTGCCAACTGCCTGCCTGATGTTGCAGTGGTTCCTGGAGACGTCTCATCTCCTCATGGCTCCTTAAAGGCAGGGACTTTTCTCATATTCCTCTTCTGCACAGCTCTGGTACAGGCCCTAGCGGATGAGGGGCTCAAAAACGCATGTTAAATGGATACATTCAAGGTAGTATCTTCACCCGCAAAGGTGTTAGGTCTCTTCTGAGCAAGGATGATCCCAGGTGGAAAGGGATCGCCCTCCTAAGGGACCGACTCATCATCTGCTAGGGAAGAAAAACAGACTCATAGATATCACTCTAATATATTAAATGATCAGCTCGCAGGAGGACAGCTTTGACCCCCTGTGATGTCATCCCCACCCAGCCAATCAGCAGCAAGCACCTGGCCACACCCACCCCTTCCCCAAAACTGCCTTTGAAAAACCCCTAACACGCACGAACTTTGGAAGAGATGCTTTGAATGCTATCTCCTTCTCCCCCGTGGCGTGGCTGGCCTTGTGTCTATTCAACTCTTTCCTTACTGCAAATAAAATAAAATATTAAATGAATAAAAATAGGCAATCAAGCAACATATACCCCATGATCACAAATATATGATTGTCATATACTGATAGATTATGTATATATAATCGTTTTACATTTTATATATATACATATATATCATCAAAATGTTATTAGTGGTTGTTTTTAGAATTCTTGGTACTTCCTTCTATTCCTCACAATTCCTCCTTTTGTATTTAAAAAGGTAGTAATTGACAAGACAGCTCAGTGGCTATAAATGTGCATGCCGGGGGAGACTTACACACTTGCATAAATAAACCCCGCCAGTGTGGCCGGGTCTGACTTGGTTCTTCGGGTTCCCCTGCTGCCAGCTCTCTGAGTAGCCTGGCTCAGGCAGGTGGGTGTGCAGGGGTCTCCCCAGCTCCTCTCCTCTTCTCAGTGCAGATGGGGAGTTTGCAGTGACCCACATGACCAAGGCCCACCTCTTCTCCACGGGCACTGTGCACTGGGTGCCCCCGGCCATCTACAAGAGCTCCTGCAGCATCGACGTCACCTTCTTCCCCTTCGACCAGCAGAACTGCAAGATGAAGTTTGGCTCCTGGACTTATGACAAGGCCAAGATCGACCTGGAGCAGATGGAGCAGACTGTGGACCTGAAGGACTACTGGGAGAGCGGCGAGTGGGCCATCGTCAATGCCACGGGCACCTACAACAGCAAGAAGTACGACTGCTGCGCCGAGATCTACCCCGACGTCACCTACGCCTTCGTCATCCGGCGGCTGCCGCTCTTCTACACCATCAACCTCATCATCCCCTGCCTGCTCATCTCCTGCCTCACTGTGCTGGTCTTCTACCTGCCCTCCGACTGCGGCGAGAAGATCACGCTGTGCATTTCGGTGCTGCTGTCACTCACCGTCTTCCTGCTGCTCATCACTGAGATCATCCCGTCCACCTCGCTGGTCATCCCGCTCATCGGCGAGTACCTGCTGTTCACCATGATCTTCGTCACCCTGTCCATCGTCATCACCGTCTTCGTGCTCAATGTGCACCACCGCTCCCCCAGCACCCACACCATGCCCCACTGGGTGCGGGGGGCCCTTCTGGGCTGTGTGCCCCGGTGGCTTCTGATGAACCGGCCCCCACCACCCGTGGAGCTCTGCCACCCCCTACGCCTGAAGCTCAGCCCCTCTTATCACTGGCTGGAGAGCAACGTGGATGCCGAGGAGAGGGAGGTGGTGGTGGAGGAGGAGGACAGATGGGCATGTGCAGGTCATGTGGCCCCCTCTGTGGGCACCCTCTGCAGCCACGGCCACCTGCACTCTGGGGCCTCAGGTCCCAAGGCTGAGGCTCTGCTGCAGGAGGGTGAGCTGCTGCTATCACCCCACATGCAGAAGGCACTGGAAGGTGTGCACTACATTGCCGACCACCTGCGGTCTGAGGATGCTGACTCTTCGGTGCGTTGGGGTTGGGAGAGGCGCCAGCCTGGGTGGCCCCACCAACTTAGCGGGGAACCACCTTACCGCAGAGTGTGAGCTTGGGCAGCCCAGGCCCCTCTCGTGAAGGCCCACTTTCCTCAGTCATGGTCCTTAGATGGAATAAATAGCAAGAGAGCACATGTAGCTGGCCGCTTTGAGGACGTTTATTGGCACGTGGCATGTTACACACCACGGAGTCAGGCATGAGCAGCTCAGCCTAACAGGGATCCTGAGAGCCGGAGAGGGAGGATCCCAGATGCTGAACCCCGTGCCTCCCTCACGCCGCCAGCTCCCACCATTGCCTTGGAGGTGGCGGCAGGCAGGGGGAGCATTTCAGGAGAGACCCAGAAAGTCAGCTGCTGCAGTGTCAGCCTTTGTCTTTTGTCTTGGATGGTCTCTTCCTCCGCCTCCTTGTTCATGGGCTCCTGAGGATCTTGCAAACTTCACTCTTCAACCATAAACCCTGCAGATTCTTGGTTGTGCCAGGTGGACTCCGCTCCCCCGCCCCTGCCATGGCATTGGCCCCACCCTGACCCCTGCCCCAGCTCCTGTCTGCCATTGAGCAGGCCGCTACTCTAGCACAAAATTCTACTAAGCCTAGGGAAGGATGAAAGGCCGGGAGGTTATTACTGAGTGGCCTTGATGAACAGACAAGAAAATTAATCATGATGTCATCCAGGAGCAGTGGAGAATCCAGGCTCCCTTGTCTGGGCTGTGAGCCCAAGTTCTACAAAGCCCCCGCCCCACCCCCAGCCTGCCTGGGGTCCCAACCACCTTCGCCTGTTTCCCTCTCCCCAGCTCCAGCAGGTGGGTGAGGAGGCAACCTGTGAGCAGCAAAGTCTGGTGTTGCATTGAAGTCACTGCAGGCCCCCTAGAAGGGCCCATGCCCCTGGGTGGTCGTGCCGCCTCCTTGCGTCCCTCTAGCCTCCTTTACCTATAGTCTAGGAGCATAATATGGACAGGTCTGGGCATGTGGAGGGGCTGGGATGGGAGGGGAATCATCAGTGGAGCTTACTGGAGCCTTGAAACAGCCCGTCCCTCCCTTCCACTCACCCCGCTCCCTGTGCTGACCTTTGCTCCCCAAGGTCTCTGTGGGGCAGTTGCTGCTGCCCCCAGTGGCCGCCTGTGCAGGGGCTGTGAATGGGGGGAACACATCCCTTTCCCAGGCCTGGCCCCTGTCACTGTGTGCTGTCTTCCCCACAGGTGAAGGAGGACTGGAAGTATGTTGCCATGGTCATCGACAGGATCTTCCTCTGGCTGTTTATCATCGTCTGCTTCCTGGGGACCATCGGCCTCTTTCTGCCTCCGTTCCTAGCTGGAATGATCTGACTGCACCTCCCTCGAGCTGGCTCCCAGGGCACCCCCGCTGACCATCTTTTGACCGTCTCTGCTACAGCTGCCTCTGGTGTCCCCTTTGGGATGAGCAGGTGCCTCTCCGCGGAGTCTGGACACTGACCCAGGGATTGCAGGCTTCCATCCAGCTTAACGTTATTGTACCAGGGCTGACAGCCTGCTGGGTGCAAAGCCCTGTTTTGGATACGGAGGAGCTGGGGAAGCTCTGCAGAAGGTCGCAATAGTGTGGTGACCAAGTGGGGCAGAGTAAGATTCTCCTGGAGGAGCAGTGCAGACCCTAAGTGACAGAAGGGTCAACCAGGGGGACAGTGGGGCCAGGGTGACGAGGAAGGGAATGCAGACCTCAAAGGAGGGGCCGTGGGGGCAAAGGGGAGGGTTCTTGGATGTGGAAGGGCTTTGAACAATGTTTAGATTTGGAGATGAGCCCAAAGTGCCAGGGAGAACAGCCAGGTGAGGTGGGAGGTTGGAGAGCCAGGTGAGGTCTCTGTAAGTCAGGCTGGGGTTGAAGTTTGGAGTCTGTCCGAGTTTGCAGGGTGCTGAGCTGTATGGTCCAGCAGGGGAGTAATAAGGGCTCTTCTGGAAGGGGAGGAAGCGGGAGGCAGGGCCTGCACCTGATGTGGAGGTACAGGGCAGATCTTCCCTACCGGGGAGGGATGGATGGTTGGATACAGGTGGCTGGGCTATTCCATCCATCTGGAAGCACATTTGAGCCTCCAGGCTTCTCCTTGACGTCATTCCTCTCCTTCCTTGCTGCAAAATGGCTCTGCACCAGCCGGCCCCCAGGAGGTCTGGCAGAGCTGAGAGCCATGGCCTGCAGGGGCTCCATATGTCCCTACGCGTGCAGCAGGCAAACAAGAAAGACCATCCTGAGCTGCTCCTGACCCACCTCAAACTCATCTCATTTGGCCTGTCCTCCCTCCCTTCACCCCTCCTTCCCTCCCCAGGAACCCTGTTCCCTGTGCCTGGCTCCATCAGGAGGAGGCCTCACTTGGGAGTTGAAGATCTTTGCCTTTAGTTCCTTTGATTCTGAACTTCTCAAAGGCAGGTACTCTGCCTGTTATTTTTCCCACCCCCAGCACCTAGCACAGCGCCGGGTGAGTGGGGTCAGCACTTAGGGCGTTTGTTCTGAGTGGTTGAGGGGAGCAAGCTGGATTGTTTGGGCCCCAGGACTGTTGTGTAGATGGCAAAGCTGTGGTCCCGTCCCTTATCAGCCTGCCTCGTCTCTCCCAGAGCCCCGAGGTGTGTTGACCTGCTCTGAACCCTTCAGAGCAGCCTGTGTGTGCACCTTGGAATGCAATGCACCACCCCACAGTCTGAGGCTGCACCCAGGATCCCAGGCCGAGCTGCTGCTCCTGGGATCGGGCAACAGACCTCCCCCCAACTCTGTCCAGACTGGAGGGTGGGACATTGGCAGCTAACAGATGTGGGCATCGGGTTCTCGGGACAGCATGGAGGCTCCAGGCAGGAAGCCGAGCAGGGCGAGCTTCCAGTTTCCTTTTGGTCCTAGGGGTCCCCTCCTTCCAAACCCCAAAATGTCTCTCCCTGACACTCTCAGGGGAAACCAGCCTGGCTGTGACGCCCTGGCCCAGGCCCTGCCATGCCTCACTTCTCTCCCACAACCCCCCTGCTCATGGCACATCTGGTCTCTGGCTCCTGTCTACTCGTGTGCATGCAGCCCCCAGCGCCCCCTCTCCTCCCACTTGCTCTCCGGAGGCCTCAGAGCTCTCGGGTCCAGGCTCCCAGACCCACTCTCCTGAGACAGTGATGTTCACTTCTGTTATCCATGTCTCCCATCCATCTTGCATGTGAATAAAGAGATTAAATAAAGCTGCACCTACTGCTGACTCAACTGTGCGACCCCCTCCTTGCCAGCTGCACTTCAACATCGCCAGTGTCACCCAAGCCCCTCCAGAGCCTGGGTGGTTTGGGGGCCCACTAAGAGAGAAATGACATGGCATTCCTCATGTGGCCATGGAGGGGACTGCTCTGGGTCCCTCCTGGAAAGTTGCCCCCCACTGTCCCTGCAAGGGCAAAAGGGCCAGCGCACACCCCTGACCCACTGCCGGATATCACCATTCAAACCTCCTTGGCTGATGACCAGCGCTGGATAGCCCTTGATCTCTGTCCAACATGAACACAATAGGTTTCTTCCAGGACTTGGCTCACAGTCCCCATTATCCCCCAAAGGGCAGGTCAAACAAACAAAACAAACCGCAAAGCAAATGGGACAATTTTAATTCAACCACAAGTCAAATAGAAAGAAGTTAAAAGAATGTTTATGCAAACACATGAGAAAAGAAGGGTGCAGATGAGAATGGGGGTTGGGGAGAGAAAGAGGAGGAGTAAGAAAAGAGGGAAAAGCAAGGGAAAGTAAAGGAAGAAAGAGAAAGAGGGGCAGGAAGAGAGCGGATTTGGCCCAAGGTCCTATCTTGGCCGCATCTCTCTGCTTCTTCCCCCTGATGCTTGGTTTGTTGACAACACAGCATCCTGTGCCTGGACTCCCAATTAGCTTGTTCCTGGACTGTGCCCCAGGTCCTCCCTCAGGAGGGCACATGCTGTCAGTCCAGACCAAACTCACATTAAATAAATTTCAATATACACTGTACAAGAATGCCAGGCCCATCCCTCATCTCACTGGCTGCCTGACCCCCAAAACAAAGCTCCTCCCCAGCTTCTCTGTGCATCAAGGGACATCTGAGGGCCGAAGAGGAAGGGAAAGGAATAGCTTGGTTCCCAAATCGGCCTGCCATGTCCATATATAAAGCTAGGGGCACCATGTGACACCTCCCCACCCCCAGGAGCCCCCTGCATGGACCAGGCTGGCTTAGGGAGCAGTGGCCAGGCAGCAGCAGTCCCCCTCTGAGCCATCTTTGTCACCGTCACCCTGTGTCCATAGCCCAGAGTCCCCTCTGTCCAGCTGCAGCCTGAGCAGTACAGCCAGGGGTAGGGGTGGGGAGAGGGCGTCGTGCAAAGTGGCAAGGGAAGGTGACTCCCCTTGGCCTTCCCCCTGGAAGACCCACATGACCAACAGCAAGGCAGGGGAGGTACATGGCAGGCAGGGGCGGAAGACGCAGGCAGGTGGCCCCCACCCTCCGTCACTCTGCAGGTGGGTGGGCCAGATTGGCCAGAACCTTGGCCTGGTCCACAGCGTCGAGCAGGTTCTTGGCGTCCACAGCCAGGGTGTGTGAAGCCGTCAGCATCTGCCTCTTGCACTCCTCACTTAGGGAGGTCACGGCGTTCTGCTGTGCCAGCCGCATCTTGTTGATGAGCTCTGCCAGGTCTTTGTTGAGCAGTTTCTGGGTGCCCTCGATCTGTAGGAAGATCACACAGGACAGGTTGAGAGGCCACAAAGTCTGTGCTTGGAGGATAGGGAAGCCACAGAGGTGTCCACCTGCATGCTGGCCAAAGCAATCAGAAGTTCCCTGGAAGCAAATCAGACCTAGGAGAGGGCTGAATGCAACACCCCGTGCAGGGTCGAGTCAGGTCTGCAAGGACTGACATCACAGACATCTCAGAACCCAGCCAACCCTGTGTAAGCCCAGCCTGACCGTCCCTTCATGGAAACATCCCCTCATACCTCATACTTTCTAAAATGCGAATCTGATCTTTTTTTTTTTTTTTTTTTTTTTGAGACTGAGTTTTGTTCCTGTTGCCCAGGATGGAGTGCAGTGGTGCAATTTCAACTCACTGCAATGCCCGCCTCCTGGGTTCAAACAATTCTTCTGCCTCAGCCTCCCGAGTAGCTGGGATTACAGGCACCTGCAATTACGCCTGGCTAATTTTTGTATTTTTAGTAGAGATGGGGTTTCACCATGTTGGCCAGGCTGGTCTTGAACTCCTGACCTCAGGTGATCCTCCGACCTTGGCCTCCCATAGTGCTGAGATTATAGGCGTGAGCCACCACACCCAGCCATCCACTGAAGGCTTGAACCCCTCAAAATCATCCATGAGGGTTGGAATCAACTTCTTCCAAATGGTTAATGATATTTTGACCTCTTCCCATGAATCACAAATGTTCCTAATATTATCTAGAATGGTAAATCCTTTCCAAAATATTTTCAGTGAACTTTGGCCAGATCCATAAGAGAAATCATTATCTATGGCAGCTATGGCCTTAGAAATGTATTTCTTAAATAATAGAAGTTGAAAGTAGAAATTACTCCTTGATCCATGGGCTGCAGAATGGATGCAGTGAAAACATTAATCTCCTTCTATATCTCCATCTGAGCTCTTGAGTAGATGCACTGTCAATGAGTAGTAATATTTGAAGATAGTCTTTTTTTTCTGAGTAGTAAACCTCAATAGTAGATTTAGCCTAATTCCTAAGGGCCCTAAAATTTTCAGAATGGCCAATCAGCACTGGCTTCAACTGGCATTAGCCCCTAACAAGAGAGTCAGCCTGTCCTTTGAAGCTTTGAAGACAGGCATTGACTTCTCCTCTAGCTATGAAAGTCCTAGATGGCATCTGCTTCCAATAGAAAGTTGTTCATCTACATTGAAAAATCTGTGGTTTAGTGGAGCCATCTTCATCAATGATCTTAGCTGGGTCTTCTAGAGAACTTGCTGCAGCTTCTCCATCAGCACTTGCTCCTTCACCTTCAGTTTTATGTTACAGAGGTGATTTCTTTCCTTGAGCCTCATGAACCAACCTCTGCTAGCTTCCAACTTTTCTTCTGCAACTTCCTGAATCTCTCTCAGCCTTCATAGAATTGAAGGCCTTGCTCTGGATTAGGCTTTGGCATAAGGGGATGTTGTGGCTGGCTTGATCTTCTATCCAGACCACTCCAACTTTCTCCATATCAGCAATAAGGCTGTTTCACTTTCTTATCATTCATGTGTTCACTGGAGCAGCTAACTTTTCCTTTGCATTCACAACGTGGCTAACTGGCAGAAGAGGCCTATCTTTTGGCCTGTCTTGGTTTTCAACATGCCTTCCTCACTCAGCTTAATCATTTCTAGCTTTTGATTTAAAGTGAGAGGTGGGTGACCCTTCCTTTTACTTGAACATGCAGAGACCGCTGTAGGGTTCTTAATTGGCCTAATTTCAATATTGTTGTGTCCCAGGGAAAAGGGAGGCCCAAGGAGAGGATAGGGAAATGCATGGTCGGAGGAGCAGTCAGAACACACACAACATTTATTGATAAGTCTTATGTGGGCACAGTTTATGATGGCCCCTCAAAACGATTACAATACTAACATCGCTGATCACCAATCACCAATCACCAACCATAGCCGTTATAATCATAATGAAAAAGTTTGAAATATTGTGAGAATTACCAAAATGTGACAGAGACACAAAGTGAGCACGTGCTGTTAGAAAAATGGCACCAATAGGCTTGCTCATTGTAGGGTTGCCACAAATGTTCAATTTGTAAAAAATGAAATATCTGGGAAGTGCAATTAAAGCAAAGTGCAATAAAATGAGGTGTGCCTGTTCATAGCTGGTGCTCAAGAGGTATTTACAAATGAAGTAGATGAATGAATGAATGAATGAATGGGTTGGCATCCCAAGGGTAAGGAGCTCTTAAATGAGACAAGACAGCCCCACAGCCCCACCTAGGGCTCCTGTATGTGTTGTCACTGCCCCTGAGAGAGAGGCCAGAAATTGGCCCAAACTCTCCTGCCTTCTCCTTCCTTGGGTGGCCACTGACAGTGGGGACAGTGGTGGGATGTGGTAGTCATCTGTGCCGCAGGGCTGGCTGCTGGGAGGCAGTGGATCAAAGGGCTCCAGACGGAGAACCAACAAACGTCCCATGGCACTGTATTGTGTGCCTATGGCTTTGGCAACAAATTACCAGAAATTTAGTGGCGCAAAACAACACAGATTTATTGTCTTATAGTTCTGAAGGGCAAAAGTCTGAAGTGGGTCCAACTGGGCTAAAGTCAAGGTGGCCACAGGGCTTGTTCTCCCTGGAGGCTACAGAGGAGACTTGCCTTCTCCAGCTCTGACAGGCTGCTGCCTTCCTTGGCCTGCGGCCTCCTTCATCCATCACATCTGTCACCCTGACCATGTGTCTCTTGTCACACACTGCCTCCCTCTTGTTTTATTTATTATTTTGAGATAGGGTGTTGCTGTTACCCAGGCTGGAGTGCAGTGGTATGACCATGGCTCACTGCAGCCTCCACCTCCCAGGCTCAGTCTATCCTCTCACCTCAGCCTTCTGAGCAGCTGGGACTATAGGCACAGGCCACCACGCCCAGCTAATTTTTGTATGGTTTTGCCATGTTGACCAGGCTGGTCTCAAACTCCTGAGCTCAAGCAATTCACCTGCCTTGGCCTCCCAAATGGTTGGCATTATAGATGTGAGTTTCCACACCCAGCCAGTGTTGTCACAGAGATCCCTGTAAGATCAGGACCCCTGATCCTGGGATCCCTGTGACAACACTGGGCTCAGTCTGATAACTGAGAACAATCTCCCAATCTCAAGGTCCTTAACTTTATCACATTTGCAAAGTCTCTTTTGCCATGGAAGGTGGCATGTTTTCAGGTGCCAGGGCTTAGGATGTGGACATCTTTGGGGGCCTTTACTCTCCCTACTACAGGAACCATCTCATGGAGCACCAAGACTCTTGTTTTGATTTTCAGTGATTGTTTCTTATTTAAATAAAGAAAATCAGATTAAATAAAGAAACCTTAAGTGATATTTCTATGACACATCCATGTTAATCTTAACACAGACGGCAAGGCAACCAGATAAACAATAATAGGAGGGGGGAAAGGAAGGTGTGTCCCCTTTAGCATAAACTCAGAAAGAATTCACTGCCGTCATCTGGAGACCTGAACTAGGAAATCCCTGCTAGCCTCTGGCCAGGTCCCTGGGTGCCCTCTCAGCCCTCTGGTGGTAGCTGATGGATAAGCCACATAGAACCCACCTGGTGGGGACTCAGTGGACAGACATGAGGTTGCCCAGGCAGCCATCATGAGCCTCTAATGAGGCTCATAAGCAGGAGCAAAGCAACAGCCTATGGTGCTGTCTGGAATGGGACGCTCACCTCTGTCCGTGAAGATGACGGCAAGGAAGGCAGGAGATCATCCACGCTCCCGATGAGCTTCCGCAGGGTCAGCCCCACATTCTGGGGGGAGAAAGGGGCAGGATGGCCGCCACTCCTAGCTATTGGAGAGAGCCAGGTTTCCCCTGGGAAGAGCTCTCCTGGGGTGGTGCTTGTCCCCCGCGAGTGGCCTGGGACTCAATTCCCCTGGCCCAGCTTGCTCTAAGAGGATCTGCTGGGCCAGCCAACAGGAAGCGCAGTCCCCTTTCCTTCCAGGGCGGACTTGAGCCGCCTCCACCTCCCCAACCCAGCCCTGCTCTCACCTTCACCACCACCACGTAGCCCTCGGGGGGCAGCTGACAGAGCTCATTCTTGAGCTCCAGCACGGCCCGCACCAGCTCCATGACATTGAGGTACACCAGGTCATCAGTCCGGTCCAGGTTAGCTGTGGGCTGGATGGACTGAGGGGAAGACGCAGGTGGCCAGTGAGTTGGGGAGAGCCAGGGGCACGGAATGATTCTTTCCTGGGCAGGCACCACTGTGGCCAACTCCACCACCAGCCCGATTGGAAAGGACTCTTCTTTAGAATAATTGTGCCCTGTCCCGGGGTGCATTGCCTCTGTCCACTTCTGGGGCAGTTTCCAGCCAGGGAGCCTTAACGGAATACTAGTGGTAGCCTCACAACAGACTATTAGAACCACCACCTGGACATAGGGTGCAGGCAGGCTTTTTTTCTTTGAAGAGACAGGATCTCATTCTGTTGCCCAGGCTGGAGTATAATGGCACAGTCATAGCTCACTAATGCCTTGACCTCCTGGGCTCAAGCAATCCTCCTGCCTCAGTCTCCTGAGTAGCAGGCGTGCCACCAAGTCCAGCTAATCTTTTTTAAAAAAATTTAGTAAAGATGGGTTCTTGCTATATTGCCCAGGCTGGTCTTGAATTCCTGGGCTCAAGCGATCCTCCTGCTGTGGCCTCCCAGAGTGCTGGGATTACAGGTGTGAGCCACGGCACCTGGCCTATGCAGAGAGTTTCAAAGCTCCTTGGGTGATTTTAATGGACAGCCAAGGCTGAGAACCACTGTTCCAGAGGAAAGAAAGCCAGCACCACCCCAGATGGCTGTAAGGACAATGGATGCTGGAAACCAAGTGAGGAGGCTCAGAAGAGGGAAGCAGCCCACACCACTTTCCCTGAAGCTGGACCAGGGAGCTCTACTCCAAGTCTGGGAGGGGGATGGAGAGTGGGAGATTGGTTCTTCCTCTTGCTTTTTCATGAATTAGCTGTGTGGCCTTAGGCAAGGCACCCCGCCACCCGCCCCCTAACCCCGGGCTTCATCTGTATCATGAGGACACTGAACTGGATTCTATCTGAGAACTGTGAATCTTTCATAGACCATGGTCTTCAGTTTTGTGCAACCCCCACTCTCATTTATCAGTTTCAGCAGAGCCAACACATACCTGTGCGCCCAGCCTCGGGGGCTTCTGTGGGGGCCCTGTGAACTCCACTGCAATAAAAAGAACAGCAAGTGGGGGGCAGTTCTCAGCACTCCAACCCTTCCCTTCGTACCTGCTGACATCAAATGAGCCCCTTCCCCTCTACCACCAGGAGACTTCAGGGAAATTAACTCTGAATCCAGGAAGCGGGCAGGGGAAGGAACCTCCTGGTCTCCCTGGTTTTGCAGTAGTCAGGGACAGCACTGTTGTCCCTTTTATAGGAAGAAAAAGGCAAAGTCCCAGCAAGATGGGGGGATTGCAGTGGTGCCCCAGCTCTGGCTTGGGCTTCCTGCCTGATGGACACCAGGCCTAAGGAACAGTACTGGGTGATCTGAAAGGAAGAAACCTCTCTCTCTGATGCCAGCAGGTGTCTGTGGTGCCCCTGACCTGGGGAGACAGCAGCTCATGGGGTAAATTTGTGTGGATTCTCTAATGGTTTTCCCAGAGTGTTTGGGGCTGAAGGAAGCAAAATTGCAGCAGAAACATGCTATTCACTCCCACTTTGAAGAGCAAAGACACATAAAAGTCCACTCAGCACACTTTGTTCTTTTTTTTTTTTTTTTTTGAGGCAGGGCTTGCACCGAGGCTGGAGCACAGTGGCGTGATCACAGCTCACTGTAGCCTCACCTTCTAGGCTCAGGCAATCCTCCTGCCTCGGCCTCCTGAGCCGCTGGGCTTGCAGGCATGCATCACCAGGCCTAATTTTCTTAATCTTTTGTAGAGATGGGGTCTTGCTATGTTGCCCAAGCCAGTCTCAAACTCCTGGGATCAAGTGACCCTCCCACCTCAGCCTCCCAAAGTGCTGGGATTACAGGTGTGAGCCACCACACCTGGCCTTCTATTCTCACCTCTGCCGCCAAAGAGCTCTGTGACCACTCTAGGCAGCTCACATTCCGAGCCTTAATTTTCATTTGTAAGATAAGAGGGTGAGCTCAGAAGGGACCCTAAAGTCAGAAGGCTTGGGTTCAAATCTGAACTTTGCCAATTATTAGCTGTGTGAATTTGGACAAGTTACCTAATCACCCTGTGCCTCAGAAGATAATAAATGGTCCCAGGCCCATGCCTGACTTGTGTCCAGTTCTCTGTGATGGCTGTCATCATCCTCCTCCTCAATGCCACCCCTCCAGGCCCCGGGCTTACTGCTGGCTCTTCCCTCCCTGCCTGCAACAGGGTCTTCTGGAGAGAGCCTGAGGGCTCAGCTGCCCCTCTCACTTTCTCTCCTCTGTCCCTCAGGCCTACAGAAGATGAATCTGAACTGGGACAGGCAGGTGGCACTGCTTAACTTTTCCCACGGGAGCTTCCAACAGAGCAGGAAATGAGGAAGAGAGAATTTCCAGCTCCTCCAAACTAATGCAGGAGGGGGATGATCTGAGGAGGGGCCTAAGGATGTGGCCACTGAGAGAGAGAAGGGCAGGGTGCTAGGCAGGGAGAGGAATGGGGTGGAGGGAGCGGAGGGGAAGCTGGCCTGCCCCACATGCTCTGAATTAAATCATGGCCGATGCTGCAGGGAATGCAGACAGACTCCGCTGCTCCCTGCCCTGGGCGGTGGGCAAGGATGGTGGCTCTGCACAAGGTGCCAAGAGGAAACCCCCCGAAGAAGGGCGGGAACACTCACGGTAGCCGACCTCCTTCTCTGGCGTCTGGAGGAAGGAGGAAAGAGAACAGGAACGTCACTCATGCGGCTGTGGAGACAACCCCCTCCCTGGTTACCCATTCCCCAGTCCCTCCACTGTGTGTTTAGAGATTACAGCCATGGGGTCGGGGGTGCTTCTGGGAGCAGCTCGTGACCCAATGTGACCTTTCTGGGAGGCCGAGGGGCCCTGGGGAGGGCCACAGACAGCACTAAGGGCACGATCACAGGAGAGTTCAGGAAAAGGGCCATGTAGGGATTGGCAGAAAAGGAAAAGACACCCTCCCAACATGGAAAGCCATTGAGGAGGAGCTGGGCAGGCCTGGGGGTAGGAGCAAGTTGGGCGGGGGGTCCTATGGTGGGCGAGGCCTTCCCAGGCCTTGGCATGGAGGAGGCGGCCTCTCCTGGCAACTCACCAATGGGGACTTATCATTCATATAAACCATGGGGTCCTGCAGAGGAAGAAACAAGAGCGAAGGACTAAGAATTCTGGAGCTGAAAGCACCAAGAATGCAGGGGACCCTTGCCCCAGCCACCTGGGGAGGTGGAAGAGGACACAGATGGGTGCAGGGCACCGACATCCTTCCTGGGGTGCTCACCAGGGACTTCTCCTCCTGCCTGAGCCACTGGTAGTCCTCCACCATCTGCTTCTGCTGTTTGTCCAGGATTTGCCGCATTTTGACCTTTTCAGCCTCCCACAGCTGCTGGGCCTCTTCTCGGCTGCTGGGTTGGATGAAGTCCTCCTCCTGGGAGGACGGCAGAGAGAAGGGAGAGGATGCAATGAGCCCTGCTCTCAGACTCAGGGAGGGACAGTCCTCTGAAGAACCTCATGGCAGCTGCAAGCCTTGGCCTGGCCAGCTGCTTTTTTCTCATAAGTTTGTTCTTAAACCCAGAGCTATATGTGCAGACAGCTATCCAGTATCAGCCCCGAGCATGTATCTGCGTTGCAATGTGATACCAAACCCAAGAACCCACTGCTCAACGTGCGCTGTATTCAAATGATTACACGATCTGCTCATGATATTTTACCAAGTGACTGCCCTACTATTATCTCAGTGTTTGTGATGGTTGTTGTCATTTAATATATTTTAAAAAGAAAAGCTATTAAAGTCTATTAAAATCTATTTTAAAATCTACTAAAAGCATCCAAAGGGTTTCCAAGGGGCTGGCTTTGCTTAGTTGGAGAGCATCACACCCTTCTGATGCTATCTCCACCTAAGGACCAAGGTGGCAGGTCTGGAAGCTTCGAGAGACAGGGGTGCTGCCTCTAGCCTCACGGTGTGCAGTCCCACGTGTGTCCATGAATGAGCAGAGCCTGAGAGAACAAGCAACAGCATGCACCCACCAACCATGCCTTCCTATTAAGACACATTCTTTATTAAGATAATAGCTTGGGTTATTTAACTAAATGTTAGGAGAAATGCATGAGCTAAGAGATAAAATAAGGAACAAAATTTCATGAAATACAGCTCTATAGAGATAAGATAAATGCAATCATAGCTTGAGTTATTTAACCAATGATTAGAAGAAATTCATGAACTAATAGATAAAATGAAAAACAAAATTCAAAGAAATATAGTTTGATAGAGAGAAGATAAATGCTTCCTCTCCCTAGATCTAGTAATCTAACTCTTGCTTTAACTTACCTCTGGGGCTTTGGACCTATTCATAATTTTAGCTGCTAGTTCCTAAACAGAAAGTATTGCATGTCTTCCTATTTTCATTCAGTCTTCCCCCACGGTTCATTTGTATAAATATCTGCTCAGTGTCTCTAAACTATTTTGCTCTTGTTGTGCTGCACATGGGGACCCTGGCCTCCTGGACAGATGGAGGAGGAATATTATTGGCATCCTCTTGATTGCACAAAGCCCAGGAGTTGCCTTTGCTAGGGCAGGATTCTTCTGTGACATCTAAGCTGGCAGGTCCCTCAGTTCCTTGCCTTTGAAGTGGCCATTTGCATACAGGTCACTTGCAGAAGATGCTAACAATTATCTCTATCTACTTTTAGCAAGCAATAATTCCTACCAAGCCTCTTAAAAGAGTTTCCTCACTAAGCCCTACAAAACACACTTGAATATTACAATATGGTCTAAAAGTGGTTATATTGGGATGTTTTACTTAGTGCACACTGAGCTTCAATTACTAACCTCAATTTCTAATCACACGTTTCCCCATGAGTTAGGTTTCTTGCTGAAATATTTATTCATTAATCTATTCAACAATTATTTATTAAGCAACTACTATGTGGCAGGGCTGGGTGCTGGGAGGACAGTGATGTTAAACTATACGATGTTCTTATTCTCGTGGGGTTAAGTAAATACTAGTCAGACCAAGGCTCCTCAACCTCAGCACTACTGACATTTGGAGCCAGACAAGTCCTTATTTCCAGGGCAATTTCCTGTGCATTGTACGATGCTTAGCAGCATCTCTGGCCTCCCCACAATATATGCCTATAGCACCACCCCAGTTGTAACAAAAATGCTGCCAGACATTGTCAAATGTCCTCTCAGAGGGAAAATAACTTAGCTGAGAACCACTGAGCTAGACCTTATTTTAGGAAAACAAATTCCAGCATATAAGAGTATTTTATAATCATGGAATTGATAAAAATAAAATAGGTTTTGTTGATCAGAGGCTGATACTCAAAAATGAGGACATTTTAAGGCCATAAAAATCCCCAGTTAAATGTCAACACCTGCAGACACAATGGCATGGCTGCCCCAGGCTGTTGACAAATAGTGACAAACAGGAACTAAGTGTCAAAAGTTCTAAATATAGAGTTAGGGATTTCTGGATGTGAGAAAAATGTATGGGTTAAGGAAGAGTATGGTAAGTACCAGTTGGATGAGCTACTAGAATCAAGAAAATTCTACAAGTATTTGTAAGTATTTGTAAGTTTATAAGTGTTGACAGAAGATTCCACCACTAAAATGCCTAGCATGCCTCAGGCCTGATCGTACCACATATTCTAACAAACACAGATTAGGAGACATCCTGATGCCTTCCAATTTCATAATAAAACTCAAGGAGAAAAATGAACACTCAAAAAAATGGAATCTCTTTGAGGTTGGTTTTGCTGAAATGCGCCTCCAATATTCTTATTAGGTAATGGATACTTACATTGCTCATTACATTCTATTCTTAAAAGGAATTGGGTACTCATGGTGTTTTAAAATGACTCTCGTAAGTTGTGACACCTTCCATAATCTGGCTATGACCCATCTGTTGGCTTTATTTCCACATCCACAAGTACCCTTCCTGCTGTAGTCCAACAGTTCTTGCACTTGTCCTGTGGTTTCCCACCACTCAGTCTTGCCTCCTACTGAAGCCCCTGCCTCTTCCATTCCCTGAATCTCAGTTTCCTCCTGTCCACATCTTTCCCATCTTTCAAGGCCCAACTTTTAAATAGAAGCTGGAAAGGGTTGTCCTCCTCTCTGAACTCCCACTTTGTGGTACCCACGACCTTCTGGCTTGCATTACAGGTAAGTGTGCACCTGGTCTGATCCTTCTGGTCGACTGTAAGCGCTTTGAAAGCAGCGCCTCCCCCCTTCAGCACCGAGGACAGCGTCCAGCAATCACAGCAAGCCCTACTGTTTATTGAATTGTATTATTTTTATTTTATTTATTTTTATTTTTGAGACAGGGTTTTGCTCTGTTGCCCAGGTTGGAGTGCAGTGGCGTGATCTCAGCTCACTGCAACCTCTGCCTCCCAGGTTCAAGTGATCTCCTGCCTCAGCCTCCTGAGTAGCTGGGATTACAGGTGCACACTACCATGCCTGACTAATTTTTTGTATTTTTAGTACAGATGGGGTTTTGCCATGATGGCCAGGCTGGTCTCAGACTCCTGACATCAAGTGATCCACCCACCTTGGCCTCCCAAAATGCTGGGATTACAGGCGTGAGCCACCACGCCTGGCCTTGAATTGTATTATTTTTAAAGCTCAATTGTGAGGTCTTCAGGAGAGAGACTGCTGCCATCCCAATGCTGGTATGGCATCCCACAGACTCCCTGATGAGTCAGGCTATAGAGCCACTCAGTAGAAAAACTGTTTTTCTGGGAACACCACCTCTGTATTTTTGTTAAATGCTTCCAAATGCTTTGTGAGGAGCCTATTATACCTTCTCAGCATTCTACCTGGAAGAGACTTTCTCAGTGTTTCTGATCTGTGTCATAAAATGGAGCTTATATTTTTAACTTTTTTGGGTTTGTTTATTTAAAGACATGCTCATTATGTTCTTTTAGGCAGATTTTCCTTATGTCAATTACTTCTAAAGCCCTGATACAAAAGGTCTTTTTTCCTACTGCACAATCTCTTTATGGAACTGAACAAGGTCCTTGTGGAGAAGCAGGAAATTGGACGAAGGCAATGCTACCCCTCAAATGTGCAAAATAGCTTCTTTCTAAAATAACACAATTTAAAGCAAAACTTACTAAAACAATCATTTATGAATAGAGAGTCAAAGGCAGGAGGGTGGAGAAACCGAACACAGCCTAAATTATAGCACATGCCTAAAAATGTAGTTTATTATTGTTAAGCACACGCAAAGACAGAAATTGGTTAAATTAATATAAAAGAGAAAAACGAGGTAGGTCAGAGGAAAATTGATTTCACAAAAAATCTTAGTGTCTGGAATTCTAAGTTATCATGCTCATTTCAAAATTCTACTAAATTAAGCATAATGGCATGAAAGTAATATCAGCATACTTGCCTACATCTTCCAAATATATTATGATAAACATCTAATTTTTTTCAAAAAATATTTTAGTCATGTTTAGTGAGCCTGAAATATTGTGCATGCATGCAGAGTTAGAGCTAAAATAAGTGTTTTAGTTGGTTTAGTAAAATAGATCAAGTGTTCGTGGCAACTGACCACTAGGGGCCATTTGTATGGAAGAAGGTGGTTGGTGACCAGTGGGCATCTGGTTATAAGCAAAAGTGTCTTTTTCACACAAGACCTGACAATCAGAAGCCAGCCATGAAGCACTCCGGGCTTCACCAGCAGTTAACAACCCCCCGTGACAAAGAGCTGACAAGGGAAGTGGCTTAGGTCCCTGCTCTAGCCAGTTAATGAGGCTGTATTCCCACTAGCCCTAAACTCCTTCTCACCCAGCAGCAGCCTGAACAAAAGCAGAAAGGGGAGCAGCCACAAGAAAGCCTTTCCTTTGACTGAGGAGAGATTTCACACCCAAAGCCATCATTTAGGAAGGATACTCTCCAGCACCACTAAGCTGTGCTGTGCCCTGCCTAGGAGCCTCCAAGCTGCCACAGATCCCCCTACCCCTGGGGCTCAGGAGAGGGGGAGATTTGTACATCTCTAGCCATAGCACCAGCATGGCCAAGGGCAGGTTAGGTCCAGCTGGTGTCCTCCAGAGCAGGGCCTGGTGTGGCTGCCAGCCTCTGATGTGTTTGCAAAGGGAAGGAAGTCACAGAGTGCCACCTCAGTGGCCTGACTGGTGCATGGGAACAGGAAGGGCCCTCCTGAGCTGAGGACGTGGGGTTTCCAGTGTCCCCGGCCACCTCCCTCCAGCAGCCTCCTCAGTCCGGGCAGGGACCAGCATGCAGAGCCCTCTTACCCGCATGCTGTGGCGTTTGAAGACATTGTGCCGGTGGAGAGGTGGGGTGTGCAGTGAGTTAACGGGAGATGGATACTCCATAGGGCTGGTGAGCGTAGGAGAGCTGGCACACAGACCCTCAGGAACCTATTCAGGAAAAGCAAAGAAGCACAAGGCACGGGACAAAGCGAGAAGGTAGACAATTAGCTGCTACAAACACGAGCACAAAGAAACTATGCATGAGCACCACAGGGAATGGGGCTTGCTCTCCAGGAGTTAATAAAGAACAAAACGTGGGCCTTCCATTGCTCCGAGAGAGATGGTGGAGCAGTGCAGCCTCTCATTCATCCAACATTCCCCCAAGATGCTCTGCACACAGTGGGGTCCATGCTGGTTACGGACCCACTGAGACCAGGGCTCTTCCTTCAGGACTCTTCAAAAAATAGTTGTTTCAGTTGCATTACAGACTGACTGATGTGGTTAACACACCAATTTATACAGATATGTATGAATTGTTTTTTAAAAATTCAGATAGGCTCTTGCTCTGTTGCCCAGGCTGGGATGCAGTGGTATGATCACAGCTCACTGCAGCCTTAAACTCTTGGCCTCAAGTAATCCTCTTGCCTCAGCCTCCCACATAGCTGGGACTACGGATGCATGCCACCATGCCTGCCTTGAATTTTTTTTAATTAAAAAATAAGTATATCACAATTTTATTGTATTACTATTTGTTTTTAGAGATGGGGTCTCACTATATTGCCCAGGCTGGTCTCAAACTCCTGAGCTCAATGAATCCTCCCATCTCACCCTCCTTAGTAGCTGGGACTACAGGTGTGTTCCACCCTACCTAACTCCCTGTTTTAAATATTGCACATGGGTATATCTCTTTTTTTTCAGAACGATTTTTCCATCTTCTGAATCAGGCTTTCTCTTCACGTGAAGAGGATTTATCTATTAGTCCTTAGATGGTCTTGTTTTGGCACTCAGGCATTTCCTTGAGAACAAATATAGGACCATGGGACACCACCTTTCTATAAAGGGCACCAACTAAATGGACATTATTTCTGGTGGTTGAGGGGATCAATTTTTGAGCAGTGGCTCTGAGCTGGGGGATGCAAGAGAAGAAATAAGAGGAGACTGGACTCCCTCTCTCCTAGAGGCAAGAGAGACACAGAACAGAGACATTCAGGGTCAGGGACGCACAGCCTGGGAAAGAGTCATGGTTGGGGATAATGGAGCTGGGAGAAAGCTCAGGTAAAACCCTGCTGTCTCTTCAATGGCCACCCAGGTTCTGGATGGGGCCTCTTTGGGGAGTCCCATGGAGCTACTCCATTTGTTGGGAAATATTCCCTGGGATTCCTTCTGGTAAGGAGGCCAGGGAGGCCTTAGATGTGGGGAGAGAGCAGCAGGCAGGCACACAAAGCAGCAGATGATGTAGACAGAGGGATGGGGCTTAAGGCAGGTCTTAGCTGAGCACAGCCTGGGAGAACTGCATTTTAATTCTTGTGATCTGAGTCTGCATTCTGTTCTGGGTGCCAAAGAAGAGTCAACCTAGGCCATCTCCATCACCCAAGTGGGTGACTGCTGCTCCTCTAAGGCACAAGAATGGAGTTTCAGGACCTGGATGAGAGGTAGACCTGAAGTTCCCGTCCTCTGGTTCTATCTTTACCTGGAACTGCAGCTTTGGAGCCAGGAGGTTGGTTTGCGGAGGGGGTCTGTACTTAGGTCGGCTGGGCTGGAGAGAGAACACAGATGGGTCAGTCTCTGTCCCTCTCCTTGAGTGAACACAACTCACCAAGGGGAACATCAGGTCAAAGACACCTCAGGCTTGTTCCAAAGGAAGGAAAGTTGAGGGACAAAGCTGTCATGAAACTCATTTTGCATCCATTTATTGAGCACTGATTATCTACTGAGTGGTGGAAGGTACAAAGAAGCCACCTCACTGCCCTCCCGGGGCTATGGCTAATTGGAGGGTTAATGATTGGTGCATGTGTTGCTTCCCTATACGTGGGAGCACCCACCAAGTCAGAGCTCCAGAGCCACAGGCATGCAGAGGTAGGAGCTCACCAGGGGCTTGGGCATTCACAGAAGCTGCATGGAGGAGATGAACGCTGAGCCAGGCCCGCGGGGAGGGGTGGGACATGCCAGGCAAGAGGGACAAGTGAGAAAAGGCCTTAGATGGGATCAGACATTGTTATGGACTGAATATTTGTCCCCCTTTTCAATTTGCATGTTGAAGCCTGAACCCCCAATGTGATAGCATTAAGGAAGTGCAGGTTTTTGGAGGTAATTAGGGTTAGATGAGGTTATGAGGATGGAGCCCTTATAAGAAGAGAAAGAAAGACCACTCTGTGTCTGCCAGGTAAAAACACAGTGAGAAGGTGGTTGTCTGTAAGCCAGGCAGAGAGCCCTCACAAGACACCAACACCTTGATCTTGGACTTCCCAGCCTCCAGAACTGTGAGAGATAAACATCTGCTGTTTAAGCCACTTGGTCTGTGGTCTTTTGTTGCAGCAGCTCCAGTTGACTAAGACAGGCACGGCCTCTCAGACCCACCCACCTAATGGCAGCAGGGCCCTGGCTCCTGAGCTCAGGGTGGCCATGCGGGGTATAGATGTAGGGACTGGACCTAAAAGACCCAGGATACTTCCCACCCATGTGTCCTCAGGGGGATCTCATTTGTTCCTAAGAAAACACCTAGAAGAGAAGCCCAGCCCCTCAGGGGACACTTTTGAGGAATGATTCTTGACCCAGCTATCCCACAAGGTGGCTGCTATCTCCAAGTCCACCTGCCAGGGCACTGATGTGACACGCTGACAGTGATGGTGGATGCTGGGTGAAGGACTGAGAAAGGGCTGTAGGGGGCATCCTGCCTGTGCAGTAAGGGGGACATGGATCAGACAGGGACCTGGCTTTGCTTTGACTCACAGGACTTATGAGGCCATGGCTTGGCTTACCTTGGGTGGGGGTTCCTGGAAGGCTGTGGGCTCCAAGATTTTGGGGGTTCGGTAGCGAGCATTCCTCTCTTGCTCCATGGCAATGTCCTTCTCCATCTGATAAACGTCACTGCAGGGAGTCACGTCAGATAAGGAGAGAAACTAGGTCAAAGTGAGACGCTCCTTGGGGCTCCTCTTTGTACTTCGTGGAGGCCCAGAGAGGCCTGGGCAAGGTTGCTAGGTCCCATTTCCGTTTCGATCTTCACTGCAGAGTGTCCTGGGGAGAGCCCCCTGAGACAGGCTTGGATATGGGCCCTGAGGCCACACTGAGGTTGGGAGGATCACAGGAATGGATCCAAGGTGGAAAAGCGTCCTTGGTGAGCCAGTCCCAGCCCAAACATGCAGCAGGAGCCTGACTGCAGCCCCACTCCTCAGGCCTTTTGCCCTCCTGGGCTTGTGATTGGCACCAAACCCCTATGTAGATTTCCAAAGTCCCAGCCAACTTCATGGCCCTGGCCTAGAATCTACATCTCCTATTTCTCATGAAACATCCCCCAACGCATCCCCGGTATGTGCTAATGAGGCATGTGGGTTCACTCCCAGGCTAGCCATGTGCGCGCCTCTCACCTTTCTTACCCAATCCAGTGCTCCTAACCTGGAATCACAGACCCCAGAGGACTCTGGAATTATTACTGCCCATGAATCCACATGTTCATATGGGTAGCAAGTATTATATACTACTGAATATGTGACACTTGATACTATATTTTCAAGTGTGTATATATTTTATTATGTATAATAAAAATGCATTATATAGCCCACTACATTTTGTTCAGCAAAAGATTTTTAAAATATAACTATTGTTACACAGAGACACTCAAAATTTGACATTAGAAGGGCCTTTCCTCCCTGGAACGGTTAGGAAACACTGATCAAATCCCTTCTGAACTCTAAGGAGGAAGAGTCAGGTGGTGGTCTGAGGAAGCAACCTGGGGTCTTCTGAGTCTTTCAGTGTTTTCCAGATCACACCAGAAACCTGCTCCCACCTCCACTTGTGGCAGAGGCCTGGTCGATGCCTCTGATGGGAACACCTCTCAGCCCAGGAGATGATGGGAACACCTCTCAGCCCAGGAGAGACACCTGCACAGCTCCCTGTGGCTCTCAAGGCCTCAGAGTGAATCAGGACTCCCAGCTCCATCCCCCCAGGGCTTTTAACCTCCCAAATTACATCCTTCAAATACTTTTATCCTGCAGCCTTTTGACTTCTCAAACCTCCCATACAAGGGACCAACACAGGAGTCTAGAATTAACTGGGAGGCTCACTGAAGGGATAGAGAGGAACAGAGATGCCTTTTAAGCCAGAGGTTTTACAGATGATGTTGAAGGCCCTGCCCCACAGAAAACATGCAGGGTCACCCTCAGTGCCCCTGGCCTGGGCATTGCTGGCATCCCCTGGGGTGCCTCCCCACCAGGCAGTTTTCAGGGACTGTTTACTTGCCCTAAAATCAAACAAGGCAACATGTTGACTACAGTATTTAAAATCAGTATTAAAGTACAGTATTAAAAATATTTTTCAAGTCAATTAAGTTCCAGACTCCCTAAAGTAGGGTTCAGCAAATAAGCGCCCAGAGGGAAAATCTGGCCTTTCATCTATTTTTGTATGGACCCAAATGAAGAATGGTTTTCACATTGTTTCAATGACTGAAAAAAATTAAAAGACAAAAAATATTTCATGACACATGAAACTTATTTGAAATTCATATTTCAGCATCCAAAATGGTGTTTCACTGGAGCCCAGCTACACCCATTCATCGATGTATTGTCTGTGGCTGTTTTTGAGCTAAGAGAGTTAGCAGTTTTGGCAGAGACTTGCATAAACAGCAAAGCCCCAAATATTTACTATTTGGCCCTTTATAGAAAATGCTTACTGACTCCCACCCCAGAGGAAACCAAAAGAAGTCAGATCTCCCACAGGAGGGCTAATGGCAGGCTTGCCACCAAGAAAACTGGGGGACCCTGAACCTCTGAAACAGATGACCTTCTTCCCCAGTGACCTCCCCAGACCTAGGGAATCATGGCTCCTGGGCACCGACGGGCCCTCAGGTCCCTTATCCCCCATTCAGAAGGGAGAGGTGGCCCCTGGGTCATAGTCTTGAAAACAGGTCAAAGATCACTCCCTTCCTTGCTATCTGGGAGGAAAGATCAAAGTCGAGAGACAAGGCGAGAGGAAAGCAGGTAGGATGCCTCAACATCACAAAGAGCACAGGCACTTCGATGAGAGTCTGGCTCAGGCTTTTGAGTCTAACCTAGAAAATATTTTCTGAGCACATCCTTTGAACAAGGCTCTGTGCTCTGTGTTGACAGATGCCCAGATGAGTCAGGCTTCCCCACGGCTGCCTTATCTCTGAGCTCATATCTGACAGTGAACCTGGCTTCAGCCTCCTGTCCTTGACCCTGGCCCGTCTTCTTTAGGGAGATGTGGTGCAAACCTCTCTGTGTGCTGGTCTTGCTCCCTGGTGCAGCCGGGTGGGCCCCCAGCCCACAGCCCACACTCCATGCTCACCTGAGGCTGCACACCAGCTCGGTGAAGCGGGGCCGGTCACTGGGGTCGTAGTCCCAGCAGCGGGTCATGAGGGTATAAAGGACCGGTGGACAGAGATCAGGCTTGGGCAGCCGGTCTCCTTTCTCCAGCACCCCGATGACATCCTTGTTCTCCAGCCAGAAGAAGGGCTGCTTCCCAAAGCTCAGGATCTCCCACATGCACACGGCTGGGGTGTAAGGGAGCGTCAGGCCCTGGGTGGGGGAGACCAGTCCCTCCCACCCAGAAGCACCATCGCCATTAGCACTCAGTCTCCACCAGGAGCAGCTCCTGCGGTCCCTCCTCCTCCTCCAGCACCCTGGGGTCCTGCCTACCATGGTGGTCTGCCCGAGGGACAAGTGACCTACCTCTGCAGTAAGTGACCTAAGGCCTTGCTCGCTAGACCCCTGTCAGGGTGCTGCAGGATCAAGAGGTGGCAGTCATGGCATGCTATTGGGACCACAAGTGTCTTCTCTTAGGAGGGAGGGGAGCCACTCCTTAGTAAAGCTGGAAATGGAAGCCTCGCACCAACACTTGGTGCCTGTGTGATTGCGGGCAGGCTCCTGACTCATCTGAGCCTCAGTTTTCGTAACAGGAAAATGAGAGTAATAATAATGTTCTACAGGGTTGGCTGTGGGAGCACTAAGTGAGATGGTTTGCAGGAGGTGTTCCGTAAGGGGCTGTCTCTCTACACCTGCCTTTGCTCTCTCTCCTTCCTGTACCTCTCTCAGAATAAGTCACAGAGTTTCGTCTTAGTTTCTGGGGCTGGTAGGTGGAGCACACATGTCACAAGAGCCTCTTCCAGGAAGATGAGCCTGCACAGCCCAGGCCAGTCCTTAGCCTGGGTCACTCCCCTTCCTACCCCTACTGGCCTCCCCACCTCTGAGACTTCTCAGTGGCCACAGCAAAATAGAACCCTGGGAACGGAGGGTGGAGGTCAGACCCCTGCTCCCTGCACCCACCCCCTTAGCCTGGTTCAGAAGTGAGAATCTGAACACCTTTTCATGCCCTCCCAAATCAGCACTCACCGAACATCCAGACGTCACTGGCTGTCGTGAAGCGTCGGAAGTTAATGGACTCTGGGGACATCCATTTGATGGGGAGACGAGTCACAGAGGCTTTGGGTGGGCAAAGAGGTTGATTTTTAGGGAAGAAAGATCAGAATTATCCAGAAATACATCCTACTTTCTGAAGACCCTTAGCCTGGGCTGTCCAACTGTAGACTTCCTTCTTCTGGAATTTTTGGCTTCAGCGACCCCTCCAAGGCCAATGCAGAGGCTGGGAAGCCCCCTCACCTTTGTAATAGTCCTCGTCCTCAATGTACCGGGAAAGACCAAAGTCCCCCAGCTTCACACACTCAGGGGAGGCCACCAGGATGTTCCGGACAGCAATGTCCCTGGAAGAAGGGCATCAAGACCAGGATGAGGCACTGCCCACCCCCATGGGAGCAGGAACAGAGAGATGGACAGACAGATGGAAAAAGAGACCAAGAATCTAAGCCAGGGACTCGGACTCCAGAGCAGAATCGGGCAGCTTCTGTGGGTCACTGCCCCCATCGAGTGGTCTTGCCACAGCACACCTCAGGTGGGAGCCCAGCTGGCCCCTCTGCACCCCAACATGCACAGGTGCTTTGCCATCTCCTTCCCTCTTGCTGTTGGGCTCTGTCTCCCATCACCCCTTCATCCATCTCCAGCTTGAAGCCTGGCTCAGATTCCTGGCATCTGCTACACTCCACTTCTGTGCTGTTGCCTACACTGTCCCCCATGCCAGGGAGGCTGTCACCTGGTGATTCTTCAAGGATAAACTCCAACCACTTCCCTGAACACAGGTATTCTCTCTCATCTGCATTTCCACAGGACTGGTTAGGTCTTTGGTATAGCAGGAGTGGCAGCGGCAGCACAGCTAACTCTGATGGGGCACTTAGGATACCAGGATCGCATGAGAGCTTCACACACCCTGAGTCAGGCACAAGGCCACAGAGCCAATGTCAATGGTGGGTAATGCCCAACCACTGACTCCCTTGGGGGTCAGGTTCTCATGGCAGGGAATGGGAACAAAGCCAGGTAAAGCAGGGGCCAACTCCACAGCCACAGGGAGACTTGGATTTGGCAGCCCAGGGGTGTCGGCAACCAGGGTGATGTCTGGCCTAGGACCCCAGGATCTTCTTGGCCCTGCTCCAGCCCAGTCCCTTCTTCCTGGGCCATGTGCCACCAAGCCAGGGAGCTGGAGGTGAGCAAGCTCTGAGCAAGGTTGGGGGCGATTTCCTGGCACTCACAGGGGAGGGGCTAGAAGGTCTTGATATATAGACAGACACCTCGGACTTCAGAGTTACTCGTAACAACCCCATGAGGTACATACAGTGCCTGCAACTTTACAGATGAGGACACAGGGTCAGAGAGGTTGCTCAAGTGCTCAAAGCTGCTGGGCCAATTGCTGGGATTCCAACACTGCTCTGTGTCACCCACAAGCCCTGCTTCTACCCAGAGGCCTTGAGGATCTGGTGAAGGCCTGGCTTCCATACCGCTGGCCACTCCCTCCACCCCTACCTGTGCACGCAGTTGATGCTCTCCAGGTAGGCCATGGCTTTGCATATCTGCAGTGAGTACAGCACGAGGGTGAGCACCTTCAGGGAGTTCTTGTTCCGCTCCAGGTAGTGGCCCAGCTGCAGGAATGGGGAGGTGCCATCAAGACCCCTGGTTGGTCCCAGTATGGAGCCAGGGGACCAGGGTGCTGGCAACCCCTGACCCTTCCCTGGGGGCGGTGGGAGACAAACCCAAAGCTGGCAAAATGTTCCAGCAATTTCCTTGACAAACAGGGCCTCTGGCTTATTTCAGTGGAACACAGAAGTCAGGAAGCTGGGAGGAATGGGCTGTGCTCTGAATGCCCCCCATGCTGCAGCCCAGTTGTCATCGCAGGGTCCTCCAGCTCACCTCCCCATAGGGATACAATTCCATGATGATCCAGGTGGGCTCCTCTTCAATGATGCCGATCAGCTTCACGATGTGCGGGTGGTCGAGGTTCTTCATGATCACTGCAGTGTGGTGGGGCAAGAGGGACAGGTGGAGCGGCTCAAAGGTCCAATTCAGAAAAGGCCTTTGCTCTTCTAGCTGGGAGGACGGGAACCCCTCCTCCAACATGGGTCCCTGCACTGTTCACCCCTCTCTTCCCAGGCTGAAGCCCCTCCCATCTTGGAGGCCTGGTTGGTCTCAGGGGTCCCTACCTGCCTCGCTCATGAACTTCTCCTTGTTGTCCAGAGTGCAGTCTTTCTTGCAGGTCTTGACAGCTACATTGATTTTCTCCCCTTTCTGTAACAAGAGTGTGTTCAGGACCCCTTGGTCCAGCCCAGTGCTCAGCAGAATGTTCCCTCCTGGCCTCCCCATGGCCTCCTGCAGATTTTGCTGCCAGGAAAGGGCCCTTTCTCCTATGTCTCTCTTCTTCTCCCCTTTGTCTTCCTCTCTTCTCCTTCTCCACTCCCCTTCTTCTTGATCAGGGTCTGTTAGAACTGAAAAGGGCTGTAGTGGTCAAATGAGTCAAGCCCCTGGCCATCCAGATGAGGACACTGAGACTGAGGGGCCGTGTGACCTGCCCAAAGCCAGAGGCACCTGCAAGCCATTATCATGCCTGGGGGCTGGGCCTTTCTCTATCATTGGATTTTTCATTCTTACTGCCTCTTTCTTTCTTCCCCTGGGCCTGCTAGAAGCGTTACCACAGCGGTCAGCCTTACCCTGCCCCATCACTGGCCTTGACACTAACTCCAGATCCTGCCTCACCTTTTCTCAGAACTGTCTTTATCCCGCCTCCCCCTTTGTATTCTCCCACCAAGAATACTGACCCTTCTCCAGGTTCTGCCTATATCTCCACCCCTGGTATTTTGCTACCCTTCTTGGAAATGACTCTTGTCTCCACCACTCTTTGAGTATTTAATAAATACCACCATGCCCAGTGGACAAGAGGCCCTTAGGGACAAGGGGCCCCAAGTGGATGAAGGCTGTGCCAACTCCAACCTGCTCAGATTCGAGCTCTGTCTCACCCTACAGACATGTGGAAGAGGAGTGTAAGGGAAGATCCTAGAACTCACGTGATTTGTGTAGACACCTTCATAGACCTCCCCAAAAAAGCCTTCCCCAAGAATACGATTCAGGACCACATCTTCACGGGCAATGCCATACTGTGGACCTGCACAGACAGAGAAAACAGTCGCAGATCACAGAGATCGGTGGTATCCCCTAGGGAACCTGAGTGTCTGCAGGCTCTAAAGCCAGGCGTCACCAGATCTATAACACCTCAGCCAAGATCCAGGGACTGGGCTGGGGAAATGGGGGTCTAGAATGTTCCACTGTCTCAGACCCAGGGAAGAGCCATCACCCTGCTCCCTCTGAAGGCTAGGTCCCAGGTCCACGTTACTAGAATCCCCGCACAGCTCCATGGGCACACAAAAGGTCAATCAGTATAGGGAGAGAAAAAAAAATCTCAGCTTTCAAATCCAAGGCATCTCAGGTTTGCCACTGTCTAAGTCTAGCACGAAGGGAGGATAAAGGAGGAAAAGAATGTTCCCTGTGGTGTCAC